>NC_000004.12:32168202-32500609 GCF_000001405.40 Homo sapiens | reverse complement strand
AAACTACTCATATATATGTATAATAACAAATCTAACAATATAGTGTTACAATTACTATTTTATATAAATTTTTATAATTTAAAGACATAAAAGAAGGAAAAAGTATCTGTTATATTAATCTTCTTATTTAACTATGTTTATTTCACTTCTTAGCCTGTGATATTTAGGGTAGAGAATTTGTCTTAATAGTCATCAACTGGGTAAAAGAAGAAAACTTTGACATCACTGCTACATTCATCTAAAATTTAGCCTGTGTAACAATAAGGTGGTATTGGGTAAGAAAAGCTAGTAGCCTGCCTCTGCTGTGGTGATACATCTTCCTTGACTAGGAGCTAGGGTGAAAAAGAAAAATTTGTTTTTGGAGACAGAGATTCATGGCTGAAGTTTTATAGACTCTTGCTGACCTAAGTAAGATTTAACAGATTATTTTGAATAAATGTTTCTTCACTTGCCTTATATCCTTAAGGAAATTTCTAGAGATTTTATTTTATCTTGTGTTTTTAACCTTTTTTTTAACCAATTATTGTTGTGTTGCTGGGGTCCATTAAGCTCCTCACATTGTTATTTTGGAAGGGAGATCTAGGAAATATGTTTTAAATAATGAAATATTATTATATCCCAGTTTTGATTCTATCTCTAAATAACATAAAGTAAAATAAGAGCACATTTGATCACTATAGACAGGTGGGAATGAAAATTTTTGTCAAAGCATTGGAGAAAGAGACATTTGGTAGATTTGATGATAAACTGTTTCTATTTTCTCAGTAAAGAATTGTCCTATTCTTATCAAATATGCATTTTAATAAGAGGTGAAAACATAAAATAGCTGGTATATAAATACATATTTTATAATATGTTAATGTCATAATAGTCTTTGTGGAGATATGTTGTGAAAAAAATAAAATGAGTAATTGTCAGTTTGTGACTGGGCAATGTTCCGGGTTATGTTCTAGACAGCAGGATAAGAGAAAGAGTCTCTGAGAAGAATATATTTGAGCAAAGATGTAGATAACCGATGGAAAGAGATGTAGAAGTTGTGAGGGAATGCGCTCTAGGCAATAGGAGAAGAAGGTGAAATATTCCTAAGGAGGACAATTTCTGGAAGAGCTTAGACTGTTCTAAGTATGGCAAAACATTCACTGTAATGTGAAAACAGGGTGGGGGAGTTGCTAAGAGATTAGACGGCCTAAAGGGAATGCGAAAGTGTCTGGGTGTTATAACGATGTCATATGTAAGCCATTGGTAGTTTATGAGCAAGGGTATGACACCATCAGAATAATATGGATGATTGCACAAATGTCTTGGATCGTTACACATCACTTTGAATTTCAAGAGAAATACAACATTGATGAAATGCAAGGAAGGTGCCAAAGAAAACAACACATGGAATGGACACTGTGAGAAAAATAGTACTTTTTCTCAGCAAACTCTTGAAGAAATCATTATTAGAATTAGAGCAGGACATATTTGATTTTTCAGTTTTTCTGCTAGAACACTTTCTTATTTCCTAGTTATTACCTCTATTCCGCCTTCTGTTGTTACTTATGAGCATTCTGAATTTATGCCACTAACTTACGGTTGTTATTTCAATCTTTATTAAAATTTTCCTTTATATGATTACAAATACACATAAACAGATGACTACTCTCTTTCCTGAACATCATTCTTAATTCCCTTCACAGCCCTCCCAGTCCTCAAATCATCATTCTCTACCATAAAAATCTCTCCAACTTGAAAGACATATGGCAATCTCTTGAACATAAACAGTTGCGGATGTAAATTTCCATCCAATTTGAAATATACTATTTGCTTGTTATTTTTAATGCCATATATAATGTATTCCAGAAGTTTTATGAAGAATTATTCCCAGAAAATATGAGAGGTCATAGTGCAAAAACAATAACAAACCGGTAAACAAATTAAAACACACAACCATAGGACCTGACATTTTAAAGAGAGAGCACTTTCCTTGTGTGAAAGCTCAATCTTAAGATTATTATGTGATTGAGTTTTAAAATGCTCAATAAATAGACTTTTCTTCAGTCCAACCAATCTTAAAATAGTGAAACCAATTTGTTATACTGTATGTGAAATAAGTATTTTATTTTTATTGTATAATCTTACCTCTTAAAGATATAGTAAGACAAAATATAAAATCTACATAGTGGAAATGGAATTGTAAAAGCATAACATTTCATTAATGGTGACAGCTCACTCTTCCTTACTCTTGACCATATTCTACAATCAACATATTAAGGTCACAAAGTAAAAATTGAAAGGTAAGCCACATCAGTAAAAAATGTATATTGAGTCAAACATTCCCTGGAGGTAGAGGTTTGGCAAATTTTGAAAATGTGGTAACGCATTTAAGCTTTGGACAATGAACTACTGCTACATAGATATACCTTGACCTCAATATGGTACAGTATGCTTTAGAAAGGTCTAATTTACCATCAAGAAAGAATTAAGTTATTGGTGTCTTAGGTTTATTATATATTATTTTTAATATGAAATTAGCAATTTTCACAAATATAAAAATATAGTTAATTTTATTTTATGAATATCCATAAGGAATTTACCCAAAGAAATATAACTAATAAAGCCCATCTCATTTTCTTGTAATTACTATAGCATATTATTCCTAGTAGAGTTGCTTAATATTAGCCAATTGCATAATTAAGTGAAACAAAAAAGCTTATTATAGCTTATGGATTATTTGGTGTCTTTTTTAAAATAAATATGCATGTAGACCTTTATACAAAAAAGTCTTGAAATTTCAGGAAATGTATAGACTTCCTGAAGCACATAAAAGGATCCTATGTTCTATGGATTGGGTTTGAGTGAGATCTGAAAGAGAGATCTGAAAACATAATTGCAGATTCTCTCAGGCTATCCTTTTGCATAAACTCAGCAGGTTTCATGGAGGGTTGCCATCGTAAATAACACCACCAAGCTTGGTATTGACTTGAGTAGCTAATATGGAAGTTTGCATGGAACCCACTATTGGAAATGTACATGAGTTAACTCATTTAATGTTCTTAATAACCTACAAACTAAATAGTTTTTATAATCCAAATTTTATAGAAAAGGAAAGCGAGGCTCAGAGCACTGAAGTTACTTATTTGCATTACACAGCTAGGAAAGTAAATGTTGAGTCTAAAGCCAGCTAATCTGCTTTCAGAGCCCTTGGTTTGAGCTATTATCTTGATAGGAATTATATATTAAGCATATTCTTCCCTTCTCCTGAAGACAATTGCTCTCAATTTTCTTTAGTATCCCTTCATAAAATTTTTTATTACTTAAAGTTTTATAGCAAAATGTGAAGTATATAAAATCTAAATTATGAACTATAAGTACCATTTGTAGACCTAGGTCTTTATAATTGGTTCAAATTATCTGATGAATCTTCCTCGTTTTTTACCTTTTTAATGATTATTTTCTAGAACTAATAGTATTTTTTTCTTTATGAGACTAAATTTTTATGGCTTTATGAGAATGTCTGTATCCAAAATGAAGACTTCTGAGTTATAAAAACTGAAGGGAGAACAAATGAAAATAACACATTGTCTTTCCAGCCACCAGGAGAGGGTGGGGTAGGGGATAGAGGAATGCAATCACTTCATTAATTGAAAAGGTATCGTCACACATTCCCAGGCACTTTCTGCTTTCTTGGAAATTACTGGTCATTAATCCTCTACCATATTGCTATTCTGAAATTATATATTGTATTATAAAGTAGAAGCTACAGACTACACATCCTATACCCACATTTTGCCTCTTCCATGGGTTTAACATCAATGGGAAGTGTCCATGTTATTACATAATCTTATATACAGGACTTAATCAAACAAGTGCAGTAAATGAGACATATATTTGATCTTTCAATCACAACTTTTGTAAACTACTCCATTTTCAGGGATGTTGGGAATGTTCCAGCGGCCACATTATTATATGTCTTTGTTTTTTTTTTTTTTTTTTTTGTCCCATAGTTGTTTGCACAGAGTTAGGGTATGTTTGAACATTTGTTGGGGAATTCCCATTATTATGTTTTTGCTAATTACCTCTCTCATCAAGGTTTTTATAGTCCTGGTGTGACTGACACCAAGTGCAAGTTCCAGAAAAGAACATGTAACTTAGGACAAGTCACTCAATTTCTTTATAACCCTAGCAACATTGTGAGGTTCATGGTGGGTAGGTAAAATCACTGAGGGAAGCAGGATCCTCCGTAGAAATGTTGCCATAAAAATTTGAAAAGAAGCACAGGTTTTCTTAATATAACTACCTCAGAACATTATGGAGCCTTAGAACCAGTAGTGGCCATATTCAACACAGCACAGAACAGCCTACCTGATTAGGAAAACAACAGGCAGATCAGCAGAACATATGGAGAGATATACAGGGATGTCCACAGTCTAACTCCAAGATTCTATCTTGACTGATGCTTTATATACCTCTGCTAATAATTTCCCATCTATTATAAGCAATCAATTCATTTTTATTTGGTTTAAGCAAATTTGAGAAGTTACTATCCCATGACATAAACATAATTCAAATTATTACAGGGTACTTGACACTAAGAGCTCTTAGGAAGAGAGGACAGAGATAGGTTGAAATGAGACACCCTCTGAAGACTGAAACTGAAGGCAAGTCAGTCAATGTAGAGAAGGTAACGGCCAACTTGCAGTTGTTTTCAAAAATTAGATGACAATTTGCTTTTCCCATGACCCAGTTATTCAACCGATCACTGAATTCCATTAGTTAGAAATGTTTCTTTCTTTCTTCTTTAAGACAGCTAAGGAAGAGGTGGTTAGAAAATTTGAAAAATATTTTACTCTAGAGACACAACGCAGCCTCCTGAGCAAGCTAAGTATCAAACAGTGGTAATGTGTGCAGTTAAAATATCTTCATTTTGTTCATTATATTGTTCTTGTAATACCAAAGAGTGCATAGCTACCTAGAAAGGGAATTTCAGTAATAATATTTTCCTGATATGGAGATTTTAATATTTCCCAGAAGTACTTGAATAATTTAATTAGAAAAGGGCAGGTGAAGAGATAGCTGCCTTATAGTTGTTACCTGGTATCTGTAAAGAAAGAATTGCAAGGTACTCTTCCTTCATACAAGCTACATAGAGTGAGAATCTTTATGAGGCCTCCCAATGACTATTTCTTATGACTCTGTGAATCATACACACTGAAATATACATAATGACAAACAGCAAAGCCTTAGAATGTACAAATATTTAATTTTAGAAGTAGTTTTTCTTGGGCCGGGCACAGTGGCTCATGCCTGTAACCCCAGCAATTTGGGAGGCTGAAGGGGGTGGATCACTTGAGGTTAGGAGTTCGAGACTAGCCTGACCAACATGGTGAAACCCCATCTCTACTAAAAATACAAATTAGCAGGGCATGGTGGCACACACCTGTAATCACAGCTACTTGGGAGGCTAAGGCAGGAGAATCACTTGAACCAGGAGGTGGAGGTTGTAGTGAGCTGAGATTGTGCCATTGGACTGTAGCCTGGGCAAAAAGAGCAAAACTACAAAAAAAGAAAAAAAAAAAAGAGAGAGAGAGCAAGAAAGAAAGAAAGGAGTTTTTCTTATTTTCTTTACTATCTATTCACAAAATTCTATTTTATCACTGATAAATGAATACAAATATGTCAATAATACAATGCAATTCTCATAGTATGGTGGCCTTATAATTAGTTTGAATTATCTTATAGAGCTTCCTAAATGGAGGTGAAGGTAAGCTGGTTATTCTAGCAACATTACATTCAAGAAATAAGAATGTGCATAGCTACAGATATTTCAATAGCTTCAATACTGCAGCAAATAAATTGATTTCTTTGGAAAACATGATTATGTACTTCTTACCCTGCAGATAAAGTGATCAAACACTGCTGGATCTGGCCACCCTTTTATTTAGCCCACATTATGTTGGCTTATATTTCCTTGTTAACTCAAAATATTCCAAATTAGTTTTCTGTTATTCTGCTCATGTTGAAAGGTT
Organism: Homo sapiens; assembly: GCF_000001405.40. Taxonomy (NCBI): domain Eukaryota; kingdom Metazoa; phylum Chordata; class Mammalia; order Primates; family Hominidae; genus Homo; species Homo sapiens. The sequence continues at coordinate 32,494,598 of NC_000004.12, read as the reverse complement.
AAAGTTTTGGGAAAACTGGGCTTTCAATCCTACAGTATCTGCCCAGCAGAAATTAAGTAATTAGTAATAACATTAGAAAGGATATAATTTCAGGACTCTCAGCACCTCAGCTGAGCTTCAAAGAAGAGAGAGGAAGTGTATGCTAACTTGCTGGGTTGCCAGGTGTCCGAAGGGCTGATTAAAGCAACAAGCCAAAAATGAAAGAGTTAAGCTTCTTAATCCCTTACTGCAGTCATTTGACCAAGAGGCTAAAATTTTAGAATATGCTGACTGACTTGTGCCATTTTCCCTGATAGAACAATGTGTCAGTCAAGGGTCAGCACAGATATTGGGGTCATCTCACTGTCGAGGAAGCCGCAAGAACAAAATGATCCAGCAGTTTTCTGGGTTCTAGGGTTGTCGTGAGGACTTGGAGGAGGGCTAAGAGCATCTCTACCCATAAGGAGATCTTGAGAGACACCCCTGAACAAAGCCTCAGAGAAAGTGACCTAGGAATGCAGGCTCAGGGACTAGGAATACAAATATGTGAAACAGCAGGACAGGCCAGAGGGGCCTGATTCTTTGACAGCAGCTCCTTTTAGATACTGTGATGTCCTGGATGTGCACAGAGAGTCTGATGTGGGGATGGCAGTTTGTCCACAGGAGGCCTTCCATGTAAAGTCTTTGTCAGGCCTATGATCAGGCCGGAAATTTACGCTTAGATTTTTAACCAGGAGCTGGAGTCCTCAAGGACATTGGTCTATAAATTCATTTTGGGAAGGTGTGAATAAGCATAATTTGCATCTAGCACAGTTCCTGGTACTTAGCATAGCTGTATAACGGATATTTCTTAAAACAAAAATTGTATTTTTAATAAAACATTTAAGATTTTTTTGTGTGCACATATGACTTAAAGAACATTAACCCAGGAGTATGTTGATGGCAAAATATAGTAAGATAGTAAAAATAAGGAATTAAATTTTAAGTTTGCCATTAAAGAATGCTATTATTCTCCTTTGCAATTTAGCTTACTTACATAATATTTATAGTTTACACAAGCTACAATTTTTTAACTCTATGGTTAACAGTTGTTCTTTCTTATTTGTTAATACTGAGTTATATGTAAAACAGTATATTTGGATGTTTAAAAGTTTTAATATTAACAAATACTATTCAATCTTAATTCAATGCCAAAAAATCACCAGGAACAGAAAAACAGAATAACAAAATCTCATATACAGTTAGTACTTGATAACATAAAACTAACTTATTTAATATGTTCTGGACCTTTATTCAAATTTTCATCTTTATTTTGTTAAATCATTGACTTTTTAGACATTGTCTACTGTAATTGTTTGTGTTAATTACCCCATCATTAAGAGTCGATTATTTTATGTGTCCAGGTCCTAGCAGATGACAAATGGCACACAAAAAGGAGAAAACTGAGAAGAATATGGGCAGAGTTAAGAGAAAACAAAAGATTATGCAATATTCTATGGCTAGCCTTAGCTGAGAACCACTACTGAAGTTAAGAGGGAAGGAATAAAAGTAGAAAACTTCTACTTAGATGTACAGAGAGCAGGGGCTGCCTGATAGGAACTGTAGCTTTTACTAGAGTGATTCAGCCAAATTTTTGCTACCTGTCAAAGAATGTCCTGGAGAAAAAATAACTTGACCTCTCTGGTATTCTCTACTCTCGTCCAGTCCCTAATATCTTAGTGATGCACCTTTCTTTCACTCCCATTTGGCCAACTGAGGAAGGGCTAGGAAAATATTTCTTGCATAGCATAACAGCTGTAATTATCCCTTCTAGAACTGAGCATGGAGCCATACGTTGATATCCATAGATCTCTTTTACAACTAATTGCATGTTCGTTTACACTTTGTCAGTGCCTCAAAGGGGTAGATGTTTTCCTGTTAAGGTGAACAAATGCTCTATTCCTTCAGGATCTGACTGTCTTCAGCAGGTTAAAGCAACTTTCCTTTGATGATATTGCGCATGGATAACTAAGAGATGTCCCAGTGAATTCACTGGGGTCCGCACATAGACCTTTTTGCTCCCATTGAGTAATAATACCAAATTTTCCCTTGATAAACAGAATAAATCAGACTGTTAGTATAGCATCTCCCTCCCTTGTTTGCTGCTTTATCAGCATTAAGAGACCAAAATGGCCAGGAGTAGTTTCAGCTTTCATATTTATTAAATCACTGGTGTGTCTCTGGGTGAAAACATTTCTCTCTTGGGATATATGATCTCCAAACACACTGAACCCAGGGTCATGGGCAAAGGAAATAAAATTTCTTCTCTAGTCATTGCATACAATTGTGGGAGGGATGTCTCACAACTTTACCGAGGCCCTGAGTCCTTTATTACTGGCTATGGGGATAAAGCCTTATATTTTGGCTGCTGGTTTCAGGTACATATCACCTACTGCAGAAATTCACTTGTGTCTCTTAAAATGGTATTTCCCATGATTGAGTCATTCAACCATTTTATGAAACCAACTAATTCTAGGAGACAGAACAAATAGTATACTAGTGATTTCATGGAATTTATTTTATAGTGTAGGATGTATACAATTTCTTTTCTGTGCAGAAGAAATACTGTGAGATACCAAGCAATGGATATTCTTCTGCAAGTTCTCAACTAGTGGTGCTGGTGAGAGAAAACATGTTTATTCCTGGAATATGAATCTGACTTTGAAGAGAGAAATGGTTCCCCTCTCTATAATGAAAAGTGTAGGGTTTAACACACCTGCTACCTGCTAAAAGGTTCTTCTTATGCCATAATAGGGGTCCAGGTTTTCCTCTGATATTGGCACGTAGCCTCTTCAGCAGTGAAACTAGCCAGATTAACCTTGGTGGGAGAAATTCCATGTTTCTTTTTTAATTTTAATTTTATTTTTTAAGACTCTATATTTTAGAACAGTTTTAGGTTCACAGTAATAATGCAAAAGGAACAGAGCTGATCCATACTCTCTCTACAAATGCATAGCCTCATTCTTTATCAACATCCCCCATCAGAGTACATATTTGTTACAATTGATAAACCTACATTGACACACCTTTATTATCCAGAACCTATATTTTATATTAGGGTTCACTCTTGGTGTTGTATATTTTATAGGTTTAGACAAATATATAATGACATGTATTCACCATTACAGCATACAAATTATTGTCACTGCCATAAAATTCTTATGCTTCTCCTATTTATCCTTCTTTTCCACCTAACCTCTGACAACCACTAATTTTTTGTTTCCTGAGTTCTTCCTTTTCTAAAATGTCTATATTTAAAATTATACAGCATATACCCTTTCAGATTGGCTTATTTCACTTATTCATATGCATTTCAGGATCCTCCATATCTTCTCATGGCTTGGTAGCTTATTACTTTTTACTGCTATGTAATATTCTATTCCCTAAGTGTATAGTTTATTTATCCATTCACTTACTGAGAAACATCTTGGTTGCTTCTAAGTTTTGGTTGGTGTAAACACGTGCAGGTTTTTGTGTGGCCATAAAATTTCAACTCTTTTGGTTAAACATTAAGAAGTGGAATTTCTGAATTATATGGTTACTGCATTTTTAGTTTTGTAAGAAACTACCAAACTGCCTTACAAGGTGGCTGTACCGCTATTGCATTCCCACCAGCAAAAATTGAGAGTTTCTGTTGATTTACATTATCACCAGCATTTGGTGTTGTCAATGTTCTGAATTTTGGCCAGAAATGGGATGCTACTACATACTAATAGATGCAAAGTATTCATGGTTCATACTAATAGGTATGTAGTAGCATCTTACTGTCATTTTAATTTTAATTTTCCTGATGGCTTATGATATGAAGCATTTTTCTATTTGCTAATTTACCATCTGTGTATCTTTTCGGTGAGATAAAATTTTATGTTTTTGAATGTATCCTTAGCATCATTCTCTGACACCATGAACACATTGTACTTGAATCATTAAGCAAGCACAGAGATAGCTGGATAAAGCTTCTGACTGACATCTGAAGGGTTGTATTCAACTGTTTATTTTGTCCCCACTGGAGTGATATCTTCTAAAGAGCATTTGAGAACGATATAAATATCTTCACACTCTTACCTACTCTATCCACTGTCACTAATTTTTCATTATTTTTTCTTTCTGAGCCCCGGTCTCCCAGTCAACCAGGTATATACGGCCTGTGAATTCATAGAGCTGAAGCTCAGTCTCCTGTTCTCTTTCCACACAAAAAAATCCACGTACACCACCAGGCCCTTTGCCCACTAAGAAAATGTACCCCCAGTGAAAGATGTAAAAATAATGTACAAATTCTGGCAGGGTAAAGATCAGTCAATAATTAAAGTGAAATGTATTGTCTTAAATAACTACTTAGCAAGAATAACGACACGATAAACTAGCATCGAACATAAAAAAAAAACTTCAAGAAACAGCAAAAGAAACACAAATAAAGGGGAAATAATAAGTAGAAGAGTCAATAAAGTGTAATTATTGGAAATGTTTGCAAATGATACATTGACTGTCTATAGACAAAAAAGAATCCAATTAATAAACTATAGATTTGAAGGAATGAAAAGTAATTAAACTTGGTAAAAAATAAATACTCGTGAGCGCACAAGTACACTTGCACACATATACACAAATTCTCACAAGGAAACAAAGGTCCTTTATATGCCAACAATTTAGTATGCTGTTAAATGCATGACTTCTGGAGTTAGAAAGCCTGGACTCATTCTCAGCATTGCTACTGTGTTATTTCATTACAAAGAAAGAGAAATTAAACTTAGTACAAATCCTTCAAAGTTTGTGGTGAACTATAGAGAAAAATCATTTTAAAATTAAATGAATTAAGTACTTATTCACTGCAAATTTATGAAGAACAAAAAAGATATCATGAACCAAGAGATTTTAAAATTTATCCTGAGGCATTCATATTAGTATTGTAAATATGTCAATTATCTTTAAATTTATAAGTGCATTTAATATAATTCCACTTAAACTCTTCTTTTTCCCTTTGGTTGTCTAAAAGTTAGATGAATACAGGGCTTGTTTATATCTTCAGAAAATAAAGTTACATTTCTATCTTATGCTATTAAATATATTAAACCAGAGATGAAAAATATTAATATTATAGAATTAAAATTATACACATATGAATATCTGATCTCTATGTACTATAAAATACCTGGTGCTGAATAGTAACATTATGAAATATATTTGTAAAGTTTTATAAGATATTAATAAATTTTACTATGTAAAATGTAAATTGTTTTCTTATATTAAAATATTAAGATCCTACAAAGGAAATATAAAAGTTAAGAGTAATCTGGAAAAGTCTTTGAATCATATAAATAGCCCAGTGAAAGTCATTAACATGGAAACAGCATTTCACAACAGTAAAACGAGTGGCAGAATAGATAAAATGGAGCAAACAATATAAACTAGCAAGTAAAGACAGAAGAAATAAAAGTGACTAAAAATACATACAAAGTTGTTGGCCTCATTAGTAGGCAAATAAATACAAACAAATATAAGTAAAATTTTAACTAGTGGTTGTTATCTATGAATTGGAGAAGCTTTAAAATATTAAATTTCTAATCTTTAAGGATATACATATTCATATGTTGGACTTATAAGCTGGCATGTTTCCAAAAAGAATCTTCTCATTATGAGTCAACATCTTAAAAATGTGTTACAAGCAATTCCATATCTAGGAATTTACTCTAAGGATGTTTTAAAGGATGTAACACAGTCACCTACGAAAATGCTGCCTACCAACTATATATTGACTAATGCATAGTTTGACTAATGCATAGTTTTAAAAACAGCTTGCAAATATTTCATATATCCTGCAAAACAAAAATCATCAGTAGCTCTAAAGGTCATACAATTCAGATAAAGAAAGGTTTATACAGAAAAATATCTAAAAAGATATAATACATATATGCAGTATACCCATTAATCTACATTCTTTGTATTTAATAAAAAATTCAAATTATTTCCCGTGTGTCTATATATAAAATCTTGTTACAGAAATATTCATATAAGTGCAAAGATACTATATACACACAAATATAATACATATAAGTATATATATACAGTTATACAAAGCTATGTATATATACATATACTTAAAACTTTGTAAGTTTCAAAATAAATTAATAAACTACTTGAGATATCAACTAGTAAAATTAAGCTAGATTATCTCTTCAACATTGTAAGAAAAAGAACCAGAAAATAATTTAAATAATTTCTATGTGGAAATAATTAAAATTAGATTTAAAATTTTAAATTAGGGAATATTTAGAGCCCTAAAATAATCCATAACATAAAATCAGATGGATCTAGGTATTGAAAAAATAGTGGAAATATATATCAAATGCATATTGGTGTGGAATTATATTTTCTATACTTTTGAAATTTTCCTCAATGAATCTGAGATGCTTTCATCAAAGGCATAGCAGAGTATGTGAAGACACCTAAAAGAAATCTACCAGTTGTGCCCCAAAATTTTCATCTGGAGCAAGCTTATTGGATAAGATGCTTGTATTTATTAACAGGAAACAGAAATGAATGCATTAAACTTTATATTCAAGAATTTTAAAAAGACAAAAGAGCTTAATATATTTACAAAGATTTATTTATACACAACTTAAAGTTTCTCCTTTAAGGCACTATATGATTTATACAGTGTACATTTTGGAGCAATATGAATGTCCAACTAGAGCTAATTTTTTATTTAGATATTTATAAACATAAACGTATGATAGAATACTAAGAAACATTGCAAATAATGGTACTAAACAATGAATGATCTACAGAAAGGTTGATATTATATTATTATGTGAAAAAGCAATCTATTATATGGATAGACTATTATAAATATGTATTGTCCCTGTGTATGTAGGTGTGCTACAGTAGTTAGAAAGAAATCTACCAAATTTTGTTAATTTTTTATAACGAGGATGCTTATTTTTAATAGGGTTACAATCACTTTACAGATATAATTTTTCATCATTGCATAAAATATTTTATGGAAAAATAACTGAATAGTGGCAAAACAACTTTGGTTAAGCCAACTAATAAAATGTTCGTATGCGATGGATGTCTGTATCATGACTGGAGAATGTTCATAGCATATGAATGGCAATATAGACTATTACGAAAAGGCATTAGATAGATGTCCAATATGAAAAAAGCTATGTAAGGGAAAATTAGGTGTCAAATTTTTATTTTTTTAAATTACAAAACAGGCATTGAAGATAGATAGCTGATTTCACCTAAGGATTGCTCCCGCCTTATACACCTTGAAGTGAAGTGGGACATTTGCCCAGTAACTGGACTGAACTAGGATATAATATAGATTATATAAAATTGGAGGATTATAATATAGAAAGGAACCTCTGTATCCAACAAAAAAGACTACAGAGTTTTCTAAATATGAAATATGAAACTTCATGTATAAACTAACTTTTCTGTAAATTGAAATCTAACCTTTAAAAGGAAATAAATTGAAGAAAGCAATATTCTTTGAAACCGTAGACTTTGTAGATAAATGAAGCCTAGAGAGATTATCACCAATTAACAGTAAAAATTAGTGTATACTGACTGAGCATCAATCACAATTCCAAACATTGTATACTAATTTTTTCATTCTTCACAATTACTCCAAGAGTTAAGTGCTATTTTTCTTCTTGTTACAAAATGAAGGACAAGGAGGCACAAAAAAGTTAAGTAATTTTCTCATATTTTCACAGGTAGCAAATGTAAATCCAGCATTTCAACCTAGGCTATCTGACTCCAGAGCCCATATTTCTAAAGTAGTGCTTTTTCTATATAAGGTAAGATTTTTGCAGTAAATTAAAATGTGTGAACAAATTAAGAGTATAATATCATGTTGATTAACATAGATGCAACATATCTTTTACAGTTCATAATTGTGTAATTTGGATTTGATTTGAAATCTCCTTATGTGAAAATTAAAAAGAACCCAGAATGTTTCTGTGTAAAATCCAGTCATTAAAATTTACACTATGTCATTTTTACTTTTGTCTTTTCTTTTCCTAAGTGGAAGTTAAATAAGAGTGAACTTTAAGTTTTACTTTCCAATTAAACAAAGACAAATGCCAACTCTAAAGCAAGAACACTGCTAAAAATGTTTTAAAATCTTTTTCATTGGGACATCTCAGGGTTCCTGCTAAAATATAAAGAAAAGGAATGCCCTTAAAACCATTCTACAGGAAGAAAAAAAAAAAAACTTTTAAAGAGGAAATACTTAGTTGCAAAAACCTCAGAATGTTCCTCTCAAAGTAATTTTGTTGTTGTTGTTGTTTTTTTTTAAGTGTATTCTCTGAGTTCAGAATAAGTTCAGATGAATGAATGCCTGTCATTGAAAGAGCTTCGTAGTCTCAGGCCTGGCTGTTTTGGGGACTGTGCAGGGAATCAAGCTGTGCTACACATTGGGATCCCTGCCAAATGAATGACATTTCCTGAGAACCTAAGCAGAACTTTAAGAAGTTGCCTTGTCCTTCCTAAAGAGTTGCGTTAAAGGGTATTTTAAAAAGAAAAAAACACAGTCAACCTTATAAGGATACTAGAGAGAAAAACCAGCAAATCTCCAAACTTAACTGAGCTAAAAATAAGCTATATGGTCAGAAGTAATACATTCTCAGATTTTGTATGTTTTGATTTTTTCTTGTCTTTTTTCATTTAAAAGGAATCCAAATATTGTATATCTTTTGAAAATTCACATTTTAGAAAACACATGAATAAACATTTTATATTGCAAAAGGACTTGACTAGAATTGGCTTTATCCTCACCAAAAATATATAAAAATATAGCATAGAATAAAATAATTTTAATTTTAAATGTAAAACTATCTGCATAGAAAATAATAAAAATAAAAAGAAACTCAAGTGAGACCAGTGTATTTGAACTGTGATACATGATATTGAAACTGAAGTTTCATAGTGGCTCGGCCAGGATAAGCTGTCTCATATACAGGAAAGGTAGTGTCTAAATTAAACACCTTGCATCAAGCTAAGTGCCTAGAAGGCTTTATTAAGAGTGCCAGAAGGATAGAAGATGAAAGAGGCACTATTAAAAGTTATCATGGTTTATAATTTTCAATATTGCAAGAAAGGAATATGAGACTTTATATGAAAGTTGTTTGCTGAATCTGAGGCAAGATATTTTTTAAAAATAAAAAGAATATTACCAAAGACAAAGAAATTATCTTATCGGTAACTAGAGATAATAATTATATATACATATATATATATGTGTATATATATATATGTATATATATGATTTTTTTTTTGAGACAAGGTCTCACTTTGGCACCCAGGCTGGAATGCAGTGGCATGATTTCAGCTCACTGCCACTTCTGCTTCCCAGGCTCAAGCAATCCTCCCACCTCAGCCTCCCAGGTAGCTGGGACTACAAGTGTGCACCACTCTTCCTGGCTAATTTTTGTATTTATGGTAGAGACAGGGCTTCACCATGTTGCCAGGCTGGTATAACAATATTTTGAATTAAAGAGTGGCTGAGTATCACTTGTGAGTGCTCACCAAATAAACTCTAACGTGTATTAATCTAGAAGAAAGGGTAGAAATGCAAGGAGAAAGTTAGAAAAACCAAAACAAGGTAGATTTTTGGTAATATACTCAATAAGTGAATAAATACAGAAAGTCCTATTTAAAGTTGAAGACATAATAAACCTCAAACTTCAGGTAACATAGCAGAAAAAAAGAAAATTGTATCGAAACTTTTAAAAATTCCTGTATTTTTTAGAATTTTCTCTATTTTTTTCTAAGGGAGATAGAGATGTTGATTACATGATAACTTTGTGATATCAAGTATGCATACTAAAAATTAAAGGGTTACTGTTAAAAGAATATCGAAAGAGTATATATATTTCAAAAAGCGAATAACAGATCAAAGATCAATAAAACTCAAGAAAAATAAATAAAAAACAAATATACATGAAAACATAAACAGGATATTCAATACAAGTGATAATATCAAAACATACAAATAAAAGAAAAACCAAAACCAGCCAAAACAGAACCAAACTAACCAAAAAATCACCTAGAAACAATAAACAACAATATGTAACATATTTTGAAGAAAAGTATGTCTTTTTTTAAGGAAATAAAAGTAGACCTCAACACAGGGAAAGCGGTATATTTTCAAGGCATCAGTATTATAGTGATTCCAATTTCATAGTAATCAAAGAGGTAATCAAAGTGATTTCATAAATAAATTGATCGGATATTCCCAAAATTCACAGATAGGAGTAAATGCTTGAGAATAACTAGAGTGGGCCAGGTGTGGTGGCTCATGCCTGTAAGCCCAACACTTTGGGAGTTCAAGGTGAGAGAACCCCTTGAGCCCAGGAGCTCCAGACCAGACCAGCCTAGGTAACACAGCCAGACCCCGTCTCTACAAAACAAACACACACACACACACACACACACACACACACACACACACACACACATATGTATATAAAAGCTGGGTGTGGTGGCACACACCTGTCATCTCAGCTACTCAGGAGGTTGATGCAGAAGGATTGCTTGAGCCCAGAAGATGAAAGCATCAGTGAGCCGTGACCATACTACTGCACTCCAGCTGGGGTGACAAAGTGAGATCCTGTATCAGGAAAAAAAAAAAAAAGCAAAAGAAAAAAAGGGAAAAAAAAGAATAGCTAGAGTGATTCTGAAGAAAGAAGCAGGAACACAATTAGACATTAAACTCTTCTGCTTTTGCAAAATGATGTATACTAAATATGCGAAAGACTTCTCAAATCGGATGGTAATTTAATCTTGGAACTGAATGGCATTAACATCTTTCTATTTACTCTATCATAGGAATATTTCATAATATAAAAATATAAGATTTTTGATAATTGATATGTATTTATTCCTAAGAAGCCTAAACCTGACCTTTTCCCTACCTTTCTTCGAATTCCGGGTTTTATGATTCTAAAATAAATTGTTTCTCTTGTCCTCTAAGGATTTGTTGTTTCCTAATCCTTTCTATACGTTGGAACTCAGCAGTCTGGTGCAGATATTTTCTTGGATTAAGACCTTGGTCACCAGACGGGCGTGGTGGCTCACACCTATAATCCCAGCATTTTGGAGGCTCAGGCGGGCAGATCACGAGGTCAGGAGATTGAGACCATCCTGGCTAACCTGGTGAAACCCCGTCTCTACTAAAAATGAAAAAAATTAGCCGGGCCTGGTGGCGGGTGCCTAGAGTCCCAGCTACTAGGGAGGCTGAGGCAGGAGAATGGCCTGAGGCCGGGAGGCGGAACTTGCAGTGAGCCAAGATCGCACCACTGCACTCCAGCCTGGGCGACAGAGCAAGACTGTCTCAAAAAAAAAAAAAAAAAATCTTGGTCACCGATGTTCCTCATGGCCTGGTGAGAGCTCTCCAAATGTCTGCTCTTCAGAACCACATTTCTGTATGAATCACTCAACTATTTTCTGTCTCCTATTTAGGTTAATCCTTTCTTCAAATTCCAGGGTGGTAATCTCTCACATCCAAATACAGGCCATAGTCTCTTTCAAAGCTGAGATAAAATGCTGATTGGAATAAGGTAATAATACTCTTCAAGACCTTTGGGAATTCTTATTTAAAATTCTCCTTAGAAAGTCTGGTGTAGCCTTTTGATTTATACAGTGATGTCAGAGCTTTTAGAATTCATTCTTTCCATCTATCTATCTACCTATCTATCATCTATCTATCTATCTATCATCTGTCTATCTATCCATCTATCTCTGTAATCTCAAACATATTATATATAATTCAGGCATTCCTTTGGGGATATGTTTGATTTTAGGGAACAAACCAACAAAATTGTATTCTGACATTCAACTAATAAAATAAAATTTAAATACTGTTTTGCTTAATTGGAAGGGGGCTGTACAAACTTTAAAAATTAACAGCCTGAATTGGGATTGTAATCATTGTAGTTATGTATGCTATTTTAAGACCACTAAAATTTTTGATTGACATAATTATGAAATTCCTATTATAATTAAAGTAATTCGTAGGGTTAACAAAAATAGGTTTAGAAATGTAAAATTAATTACTTATTTCAATAACCTAATAATTGCAGACAGCCTATGATTGGCCATGTACTTGATTATAAAAAAAAGAAAAATTTACTGTTTACTTTGATTCATATCCAAAAGAAACAAACAATAAAACCTGTTGAGTGTTTAGAAAATACAAAATATAAAATTTTTATTAAAAAACATTAAAAAGTTACATATAGTACTTATATTTGCAAATACATGCAGACACGAAATGACTTTTTACATCCTTGAAGTAATTTTCACTCTCTATTCTTTGAATTTAAAATCAACATTTTTTTTTTTTTTTTTTTTTTGAGACAGGGTCTCCCTGTTGCCCAGACTGGAGCGCAGTGGTGCGATCTCGGCTCACTGCAAGCTCCGCCTCCTGGGTTCGTGCCATTCTCCCGCCTCAGCCTCCCGAGTAGCTGGGACCACAGGTGCCCACCACCATGCCTGGCTAATTTTTTGTATTTTTAGTAGAGGCGGGGTTTCACTGTGTTAGCCAGGATGGTCTCGATCTGACCTCGTGATCCGCCCGCCTCGGCCTCCCAAAGTGCTGGGATTACAGGCTTGAGCCAGCGCTCCCGGCCTAGTATCAACTTTTAATTGACATCCAAGTCAACATAATAATTCACATTTTTAAAATAACGTGTCAATTATTTTGTCATTCCTGTGGTTACACTCTGTTTATGTCAACTAAATCATATCAAAGAATTAGATCTTTGAGCAATCATGTTGTCATTCATACATTGTTGCTTCTGAACTACATTATCAAAGCATTAACTATAATTAGGTCTTGCAGTTTAGGCAAAGTCCAACTTAGGAAAGTGTTGGCTGATTATTAGGGATTCAGAACGTATCTTCCCATGGGATCAGAATTAAAACAAGAGATATGGGCACAGGCTTCAAATATGGATACGTACTGTTCACATCTTTGGGTGCCTTGCATATCCTATTTTAGTGACAGACATAATCTATATGAGGAGGATGAAGTGGGAAATCTTTAAATTGGTGACATCAGTCAAAAACAAAGAAACACCACACATGCACATCCGCAAACACATATACGTATTGCCTCGACTGTAGTAATTATTTCACAATGTATATGTATATCAAAATACCATGTTGTGTGCCATGTATATGTACATGGGCGTGTGTGTATGTATGTGTGCGTGCATGTATGTGCATAAAGTACTACCTTAATCACCAACTCTCATTCTTCCAATGTTGCTTTTGTGGAGCTATGTGCTCCTCTTGCAGTTTCTTTAGTTTACAATCCCTGAATTCAACTTTATTTGAAGTTTGGATTCCCCTTTCTGCCAGCAAATACATTTAAACCCATTATATACCTGAAGTCCAAAATGGTTGGTGATAATATTGACAATAACTTTTCTAAAAGAGTTTGAATTCTGATGTCCAAACCTTATCCCCACCATTTTCCCCCTTCCAAAATTCTCATAATAGGGTAAGGAATCAGAGAATTTGCGCCTTTATTTCACAACCTTGCCTGGAAATAGGAGTGGCAACTTTTTGTTTTGTAGGCCTTCCTTTTGGAGGCAGAATTGGGAGGCAATGGTGTGGATGCAGAAAGTATCTGGAGGAGCGTGTAGAGATGACAAACAGGAAGAGCTGGAGCTTTGAGTCCATCTAGGTGAGGTAGTAGAGGCAGGCTTGATTTTTTTTTTAATGATTTTAGAAAAACAAATAGGAACTATTTATGTCAGATATTTATCCATGTCAAATATTTTTGTGTGATCAGTAAAAGCTTCGAATAAACTTACTGTTGCTTACTCTGTTCACAATAGCCAGTTTCCTAGTCTTTACATGTTTCTCAGCTTACTCCTTTTCATTCAAAATGGAAAGGAAATGATCCCCAACATGTTTCACAAATTGTTACTGCCCTTTCACTCTCCCAGATTACTGATGTAGCACCCAGTGACACTTAACACATTTAAATATCTGGAAAAAATGACTGTCTTAAAAGTGATGTTTTAGTTGATTCTGTAACACCATTTCCTTAATGCCTCACTGGAAGCCACTTGCTTAAGTTAAATCCTACTTCAGCTACACAGAGCAGAGCTCATCTGTAAACAACTTAGTTCACTGCTCCTCTTAGCGAAGTATATTTCCAGCTCTGTCTAGCAGACTCAAAAAAGTTCTAATTGCCAGGCTCCAACTATTAATCAGCTCCATGACTACACCAAGCACAGACAGATGTATCCCTTTTAGACATCACCAACTTGTGCATGTCACTATCTTCCTTTTTTAATCAGAATTTTCAGCTGATGACAGAAAAAAATACTTTAACATAATGGCTAATGTTGTATTTATAGTTAGAGGAAAACACAAGTTTCCAGCTATGCCATTTCTGTGGCAAAAACTACATCCATGAACTATTATGATGTGAAAAAGTTGACTTGGGTGTGTAAGTCCATGTGTTTATATATGAGGATACCTGGGTATGTGTATGTGTATGCACACGTTTACATGTGCATACCTGCAAGTAAAACTGTGAGCAGACATGAAAAGAAGTAATGATACCTAGTTGTTTTGGCTTCTGTTAAGTATCATTTGGAGTATGCTTCCAATAATCGTCTGTCTAAAAAAAAAGAAAAGAAAAACTGGGCAGTAAACTAAACACACATTTCTTGAATAAGTCAACTGCTGTTTTTCAATGCAGTTACTTTCCTTTAAGCCACTTTGGTTTTTCAGAATGTTAGTTTGCCAAGGACAAAATTGACACTAAATATTTTGCAAGTTCAAAGAAGTAAGAGGATCTCTTTGAACGTGTCTTTCCAGAAAGGACTAAGTGGAATAGATTGGATCTGAACAGCTGGTCATAAAAGATAACGATCATTGAGGCCAGTAAGAAGCAGGGAGGACATTTTTGATCGATATTACCAGTTGTTAAAATAATTCTCAATCTTACTGTCTACTATCTTGGAGTAAGTGATTGAAGACAAGAGGTACAGAAGCAAAATAATTCTATAAATATACAAATATGTATAATATTACCTATAGGATTAGGTTGTGATAGATTCTAGTACAGAGTCTCGGATGCTTTTTCAGCTGAAAGTCATCTTCATATATATGTGTGTCTGGTCAATTCTATCACTGGATCTAAACTTAAAGATTTTTCAGGGCCGGGCGTGGTGGCTCATGCCTGTAATCCCAGCACTTTGGGAGGCCGAAGTGGGCAGATCACAATGTCAGGAGATCAAGACCATCCTGGCTAACACAGTGAAACCCCGTCTCTACTGAAAATGTAAAAAATTAGCCGGGCGTGATGGCAGGCGCCTGTAGTCCCAGCTACTCGGGAGGCTGAGGCAGGAGAATGGTGTGAACCCGGGAGGCGGAGGTTGCAGTGAGCCGAGATCATGCCACTGCACTCCAGCCTGGGCGACAGAGTGAGACTCCGTCTCAAAAAAAAAAAAAAAATTTTTTTTTCAGTTAAAATTATCTTAAACACATAAACATAAAACATATATTACACATATAAATATATGTGCATATACATGTACACATATCTCTATATACATGAATTTATATATGTACAGGCGTATCTGTATATTATGCATACTCACAAATATATATTAAAATCTATATTAAATTATTAACATAATTAATAATTTATAGATAATTTATTTTTAATAATTTATAGTGATTAATATAATTCCACTATATTAATTACATTATATATAATTACATTAATAATTTATAGTAACAGATATCATTACTATCATAAAGTATTATTTGATTTAATTGAAATTAAATATTAAAGTCTTCAAATTACATTAAATTAAATATTAACATGAATATTTGATATTTATTTGATTAGATTAAATATTTAATTATGATAGCAATGTTAATAATTTAATATAGATTTTAATATACATATTTGTGTATATGCATAATATACAGATACACCTGTATATAATATACATTCATGAATATATAGATATGTGTACATGTAGATGCATGTATATTAAATATTTAATTACATATTAATATTAAAATACAGTTAACATTAAATTTTAATATATATTAAAATATTAAAGTTACAGTCAAGGAAAATAGGAAGTATAATTGTTCTCATCTCAGTCTTACTTTGAAGTACTCATGAATTCAGATAAGTAGAATTTGAATTAATTCTTCTAAGTAATGACTGAAATCCAATGTTTTTTCAAATCTGATACAGCTCTAATTTGAATTAATTATCCTTTTATATCTCTCTATTTGACCTCTAAAATAGCCTCAACTACATTTTATTTGAGGCTATAATTAGAATCGGCTCTCAAATATTTTTAGATAGATGGATGTGAATGTCTGGTTGAATTGATGAATAACTGATAGTAGGAGAATCACTCATTTTCTATTATGTTGTGAAAAATCAAAACACTCTGACTGTGTGAACACCTTTACACTTTACAGAATATATTCTTTTGAGATCTCTTCAGCTAGTTGTCTTCTTTATCTCAGTATGTCTTCTTGGTCTGGCATAGTGCTGTGCAAATAGTAGAATATCAATAACTTGTCTATTCAATTTATGCCACTTCCAAACTTAAAAAATTATGACCTAGAGATCAGTATCAATTTAATAGAATGATTAGGTCAACTCTGTGAAACTAGTCCTTTTTCAGTTGTTTTTTTCCTGTTTATTTTATCTGTGTTTTGCAAATGATCCTGATTTGCTTTAGCATTCCTTCTTCTCCTTTCTGGGAAGTGTGCATCTGCTTCTGACATCTGTCTTCTATCTTCCTTTGTAAATTATGAAGTGCTGCCAACTCCTTTTATCAACAAATTACCCGTAGAAGCATTTAGAGGGCTATAATGATTCTTTGATTTCCTTTGATTCTTTATGAATTTGCAAAATGGTATGATGCTTATATTAGCTTTGTTTGTCCTTTCTTTTTCCGTATTTAATATGTATAGTTGGCAGGCCCAGATGGTGTACTTTGTTATGTCCTGAAATGTTGCTATTTTTTTTCATTCCTTAATTACAGTAATGTCAGTCTGTAATATCCCCAGCCTCCATCTCTAGTTGACATTGTAGATTTCACATGTTGTATTATTTATTGAACAGACTGTATGTTTGACACTGTAAAATATACAGTATTTTTTCTTAACCTTGCTGCTTTTTCATGTTTGTCTGCATCAACCATTTGCTTTTTATCATTATGTAATGCCCTCGATGTATTGTACTTTTTAAAAAGTTTGCAGATATTTAGATATAGATAACTCCTTATAGACAAGACAAGGGATGATAAAAAGAAAACAATTGTTTCATGGTAGCAATGAGAGGCATTGTTGAAATATATGCAAACAAACCTATTTTTTTTTTTAATATCTGGAGGGGCCCATCTTTTTTTTGTGGAGACACAGTTTCACTCTTGTTGTCCAGGCTATAGTACAATGGCGCGATCTCGGCTCACTGCAACTTCTGCCTCCTGGGTTCAAGCCATTCTCCTGCCTCAGTCTCCCAAGTAGCTGGGATTACAGGCATGCACCACCATGCCCGGCTTAGTTTGTATATTTAGTAGAACCAGGGTTTCTCCATGTTGGTCTGGCTGGTCTCAAACTCACGACCTCAAGTGATCCACCCACCTCGGCCTCCCAAAGTGCTGGGATTACAAGCTTGAGCCACCATGCCCGGCTGGGATCCCTTCTAATAATTTGATATTTGATAAAGAAAAGTTGACTATTTCATTTCAAATTTGACACATTTTGTAGTTTAAAAAATGCATTTTATAAAAGCTTATATTGAAGAGCCTGATTCATATCATTAAAAATATCATTGATTTCTTTTCCTTAACTTATTTGGTTTTCATTATTAGATCTTGATCCAGATCTCATTTATGCTCAAATAATCTGTGACAAATTCATACCACTCATTTTCCTCAGAAGCTTTTATAAAATTTACGAGGATTTCACACGTAGGTCTCTTAAGGTCTTGTTATTGAGTTCTATTCTAGACTTCCACAAAGGCTTTTAGTTCTCCAACTCCATTTAAATTTTGTAAATGCTAATTGACAGAGTTTCTTCTAATGAAGTTGAATGTCTTATATCAAGAATCACCCAAATAACATATCATTCTTAATTTCTTCATTTAGCTAGATTATTATTATTTATTTTTATTTTTATTTATTTTATTCATTTATTTTTTTGAGACGGAGTCTCGCTCTGTCGCCCAGGCTGGAGTGCAGTGGCGCGATCTCAGCTCACTGCAAGCTCCGCCTCCCGGGTTCACGCCATTCTCCTGCCTCAGCCTTGGGAGCAGCTGGGACCCACAGGCGCCCGCCACCCTGCTCGGCTAATTTTTTTTGTATTTTTAGTAGAGACGGGGTTTCACCGTGTTAGGCAGGGTGGTCTCTATCTCCTGACCTCGTGATCCACCCGCCTCGGCCTCCCAAAGTGCTAGGATTACAGGCGTGAGCCACTGCGCCCGGCCCATTTAGCTAGATTATTAAGGAATCATCTTGGAGCATTCTCTCACAAATTCCCCGAGGGACAGACCTCAAAATAGAAGCCTCCTATTCATATAAGAGGCCTGCTCCGGGCAACAAAGTTAGTACTTTGCCCTTGGATTCAATATCAAACAAGATTACATAGATTTCTCAACTACTACACCTGACAGTGCAAGCCACCTTTTAAAAATAAATTTGCAGCGTCACTAGAGACTGCTTTTCTCTGAGCTCAATGAAAGCCCTGTACACATATCAGAGGGTGCTCTGTGACCCTTTGTTTTTCCTGTCTATTGTATCGTTTGGTTTGTTCTAATTTCAATATAGTACAAAGGATCTACAGCACTCTAAAATTATTACTTTAGAAGAATGAGATTATGAAATATTTTTAAGTTAGCATTTTACTTTGTATTTAATTTGAAATATGTGAAATCACAATATATTTTTACTAATATGATTCATATAAACAACACATAATTATTGAACACTTACCCTATGCTAGGCAAAAATGTTTACACATACACATTAAAATAATAGTTTAAGAGAGAGCACTTCAAGATTACAATATTTTAGTGAACTAAAGGACTTGGAACTAATCATAAGGATAGATCTAACAAAACTGGAAAAGTTTCACCCCCCTCACCCCAGTGGTAACAACTAGCTACCCACAAATATCTCTGGCCTTCTGTGGCAAAAGTTTTCCCCAATTCCCTATCTTGTCCCTACTACTCCCTTTCTCCTGTTAGATTCTGTGGAAACATTCAAATTTTACCCTGGAAATTGTCACTCAGTTTATTAGCAATTAACAAAAGCAATTTTAAAGTTACTAATAAAATATGCACATAGACATGCTTATTTTCTGGCCTTTCTGTTCATACACCATACTCCCTTTTGCGGAGTTCTGCTCTTCATATTCTTGGATTTCATTGGCTGCAGGTGCAGTAAAATCACTAGGCAGCTTAGGACACAGGATCTCACCAGCTCTGAGAACAAGTTTCATCTCTTAAACAACCCTGTTTATGGTATGCTGCATTCCACAGCACAAATAGAAAGTTTCCTTTTGTGGTCAAATGATAGTTTTCACTATCATATTTTCATTTCTCTTTTATTATTATTATTATTATACTTTAAGTTTTAGGGTACATGCACACAATGTGCAGGTTAGTTACATATGTAGACATGCGCCATGCTGGTGTGTTGCATCCATTAACTCGTCATTTAGCATTAGGTATATCTCCTAATGCTATCCATCCCCCCTCCTCCTGCCCCACAACAGTCCCCAAAGTGTGATGTTCCCCTTCCTATGTCCATGCGTTCTCATTGTCCAATTCCCATCTATGAGTGAGAACATGTGGTGTTTGGTTTTTTGTCCTTGCGATAGTTTACTGAGAATGATGATTTTCACTTTCATCCATGTCCCTACAAAGGACATGAACTCATCCTTTTTTATGGCTGCATAGTATTCCATGGTGTATATGTGCCACATTTTCTTAATCCAGTCTATCATTGTTGGACATTTGGGTTGGTTCCAAGTCTTTGCTATTGTGAATAGTGCCGCAATAAACATACGTGTGCATGTGTCTTTATAGCAGCATGATTTATAGTCCTTTGGGTATATACCCAGTAATGGGATGGCTGGGTCAAATGGTATTTCTAGTTCTAGATCCCTGAGGAATCGCCACACTGACTTCCACAATGGTTGAACTAGTTTACAGTCTCTTAAATCATTTCACTTTGTGGTTGGGTCTGGTTTTCTTGAACAGGACCAAGTATTTCAGAAAATGTTTTGAAACGCTTGTTTATTTGGTTGCTTGGTTAGTTGTTGTCCCCAGATAGTGACAGAGTGGAGGCTTTATTCCGAGTGTATTCATCCTCAAGACACTCTTATTGCTGTGCAGAAAAGTGAACAAAATTCTCTCATACACATTCCCCAACGCCAAGATCTATGTTATTCACTATTTATGAAGCTCTCTGTGGGCCATTACCTTTGTTTTCAGCCTGGCTCTTGTAGGCATTTTATTGAGCAGTTCCTTGTGTTATGCTAGACCTCTGAGAATTTTTTAAAAAATGAATAAGACCTAATATCCACTTCTAGAAAATTTATCTAGACAATGAGATACATCTACAAACAGACATCTGGAGAATTTTGAAAAATAGTGAAAGATGAAAGCTCAGCACTCTTGACTACAAAGCAATACTACTCATCTTAGGTGATTACAGCATAAAGTAAGCAAGATCAGCTTTCACCTGACAAAAACTGCATGATGCTGATAAGGGAGGGGGAAGGGAAATGCTGGGTAGAGAAGGACAGGGTTCCTGGCAAGAGCTCCACACTCAGGCCTGTGCCCAGGGACCTACATGAGGACAGGCACTGCTGTTTTCGCACCCAA
Source organism: Homo sapiens (assembly GCF_000001405.40). Taxonomy (NCBI): domain Eukaryota; kingdom Metazoa; phylum Chordata; class Mammalia; order Primates; family Hominidae; genus Homo; species Homo sapiens. The sequence goes on along the minus strand of NC_000004.12, from coordinate 32,473,681 downwards.
ATGTTGCATTTTCCAAAACCACTCTGGCCTGCCATGCCCCCATTCTGTGCCCATATAAGCCCGAGTTAAGTGGACAGAGACGCAAGCAGCTGGACATCGACAGGAACACACCGTCAGAAGAAGACACCAACAGACCCCGGCAGGCCATCGATGGTGGAAAGACGTTGACACCAAGGAAAATTTGGCCAAGGGTGGTCAGAGGAGAGCCCAGTCGCTGAGTGGTCTGACTCCAGAGGAAGACCAACTTCCCACTCCATCCCTCTTCTGGCTCGCCATCCATCTGCTGAGAGATACCTCCACCACTCAATAAAACCTTGCACTCATTCTCCAAGCCCACGTATGATCTGATTTTTATGGTACAATAGGGCAAGAACCCCAGATACAGAAAGCCCCCTGTCCTTACAATAAGGCAGAGGGTCTAATCGAGCTGATTAACAAGCCATTTGCAGATGGCTAAGCTGAAAAAGCACACTGTAACACACGCCCACTGGGGGCTTTGGGAGCTGTAAACACTTAACCCTAGATGCTGCTTTGGGTTCAGAGCCCAAAAAGACTCCCCAAGACCTGCCCATCTGCATGCTCCCCCTAGGGTTTTGAGCAGCCAGGCATCAAAGAAGTGAGTCACACCCTTGTCACATGTACTGAGAGGGCTACAAGGAAAAACTCCTCAGGTTTCAATGCCCCAAGTGAAAAGAGCCCAGCTGAGCCTCATTTTTGCTACCCCTGACCATAATAAAATAGTTGCTGTTTAAGCTACTAAGTCTGAGGTAATCACATATCAATAATACGGGGAAAAGCAAGTAATTAAATTGTGTATGCATTAGAAAATGAGAATGAAAAAAGTTATCCTTCTCAATATTTGGTGAAACATATTAAAGCAAAATGCATATATTTTCCTTCTTCACAGGCTATGTTTTTCGTTATTTCTCTTTTATATATCCCACGACATCTTTCTATTGATTTGACTATTAGCAGCCAAGGAAGTGTTCATGTTTCATTGTTTAAATTTTATTTTATTTCTTTTTACCATGTTTGTCTTTTAAATTAACCACTTACCTCGCCTGGACACTCATGACACTCTGTCCTCACCTCTCTCTGGTTATCACGTTACTTTATAACTAAGTATTTACATATTCAGGACCTTCCTACTCTGAATTATAGTGTCCTTCCCACAACATCTGAAACTTACATTAAGAGGCAGTCTATGAGTTAAACAGGAAATTAGGAAAAGTGCTTAATGGAGAAACAAAAGAAGACCAGAAATTAAGAAGTTAAATCAGTTCAGCAAGACATGATTCTGAACAAAATGTGTATTACTTACATTTTTAACTTTATCTTCTACTAGAAATTCTTGACATACAATCAAGTATTTCTTCCCTATACCTGAAATTGTCTGATGCCTTACTGACTTACTGTGGTGCTTTAACTTTCTTCATATTGTACTGTCTTTTTATCAAAACCTATTGGATTTTTCTAAGATCATTAATCAGTTCACCATGTAGACTACGCACTCAAATAAGTATAATTTTCATGTCATGAAAGAATTCTCAACTATGAAAAAAAAAATCCCAATCATTTAAAAAGAACTGTTGGGGGAAATATGGTCACGTAATTAGTTCTATGATCTTAATCTCTCTAGGGATAAATCATTGCTTACTTTTTCCCCCATCCTGCTTTCAGGATGATTTTGTACAGGTTTTCAGGTGATCCAGTATTCATAAGTTTCCACCTATACATTTGTAAAATATAGCTCTGCATAAAATATCCATATTATTTGGGTATATGATACTAAATAAGAATATTTGCTATGTGCAAGGGCAATATTGGGCTGGAGGAAGAAAACGAGAAGAGGAAGTACTAAAACTTAAAGTAACTGTGTGCTAGGCACAGTTATTCCAGGACTTCGCAGGTTTTTGATCATTTAATCCAACAAGAACCTTCCTTGATATGTATTCATGTATGGACCAGCCAGGCACACAAGTATTAGGTAAATGTGAGATTCCTTTCTCTATTTTGAATTGAAAAATGTAACTTATTTCTGCCTTATTATATATTAGGAAAAAAACCTCAATGTTCCTTCAAATCATTTTTAATTATTTATGTTAGAAATATGATTTAGCCCCCTTCATTATTAGTCTCTCTAGTTCTTTGGATTTAATTATTCTTTTTGCTCTTCTCCACTATGTTTGATTAATGAATTTATTCTGAAATGGAGAAAAGCACAAGATTATATACATTAATTTTAAATAGTTGAGCTCCTTTCACTTTAAACTTTTCAATAATGCTTAATAGAGTAGTAGCATGATATTTAGCAGCCGTATTACATCCATAAGTCATTTATCAGGCTTGGGAAACCATATTTATTGTGTAGCTCTTGCTATAAAACAGTCATATCTACTTTATTTTCATTGAATATTTCATTAAAATAAACTCTATTTGCCTGAGGTCAGAAAAAAAATTTAAATGAATCTCAATATTTTTCTATCTTTACTAGCTCTGGATTTTAATAGACAACTGAAATGAAACATAATGCATAAAAATATGAAAAAATTAAACTCTAAGCTCATCACTATTGTTGAGGATTTGTAAGGATTTCAATTTTAATACCAGATTTAATCAGTTTAACATAAGGTTAAATCAAAGGTCATTATGTATTAAATGTTTTCATTTCTTTATTTTAAGCTATATTATTTACATACTCTCCTTCTGAAATCTGAATAGAGGAGAAACATTGAGTATGCTTAAAAAAGAATTAGATGTGGATTTTTAAAGAAAAAATCATACAAGTTATAAAATAATTTATATTTTAATATGCAAAAAATTAAGCCTAAAATGATTAAAAAGCATTATCATATTTGTAACAGAAAACAAGTATAATGCTTGATATTAAATATGAAAATACATGTCATTGCAAATACTTGTTACATTAAAATATTGCAAGTTTCCCCTTTCTTTTTGATATAAGAAATATTTTTCTCACATTTACATATTATTTCCTTTTAAAGCAAGTCACATTTTTGGGGTGTTCATGTAGGAAGCATTGTAATATTACTTAAACATGTATATAAAAATAGAAATAAACATTTAATGCATATACCATTTACTCAAAAGGTGCAAATTTTTCAATTAAAAATGAACAACTCAATAAAACTAATAAAATATATTTTTAAACTATTTTATTAATGTGTTGTTTTGCTGAAATAAAATAGTATTCAAACCATAGATATAGTTCTGACTTCTGTAGCTTGAACATGTTTATACTTCTCTGTGTTTGCTCAATTATTGCTTAACTTTCTCTGTTTACACTAAAATCTCAATGAAAATCTCAATTCCTTCAAGGTGCCAGGACAATATTTGGTCTTTGCCTGGTAGAAATGCCTTTGTACAGTATAAAGTTAATGACATTTCTCATTAACTCAACTTAATTTAAGCAGTACTCCGTGGCAAGTGAGTAGAAACAAAAAAAGAAAGCACTTAAAAAGTTATGAGAAACACACACATCCACAGTAAGTACCTCACTGTAATATTTTATGATAATCAGCTAGATAGTCAAAGATACATACAATGATATGTATGAGATGCACATATTCTTATTAAAATTATAGAAATATAAAAATAAATAAATATTCAAGCATTTCTGGACTCTGGGGAAACTTCTGTGGACTTCCAGGTGCTTATTAACCTCAACTTGACAAATATAGCTATTATCTTGCTTTATGTAATATTTGTTAACTGTGGTGAATTTTGAGTCTAGTTGTAATGTTGAACACGACAATAAACAGGTATTGGAAGCTCATGAATACTGAATGAAATTGTGACCAGATAAAGTATATCCTGGATTTTTATGTGACAACACTTTTTCTCCTTCTGTTTTGAAATTTGAGAAGAAACATAAAAGTCTGAGTCTAAAAACTAGCAATAGTGATTAATCGACTCTTGAAATTAATCACTGAAATGGAAATGTTTAAAGGTACAGCACTGAGACAAAAAGATTCAGTAAATTGTGTGCATGTGCATTTTATGAGCATCTGTAAAGCAGATTCACTTCATATCTCTGTCATCCTTAGCTTGTTGCCTACATATCCTGAATTTTCTGACACAGCCCCAATTAAAATTTTTTAGAACCCACATAAGTTTTCCTTCAACAAAGTATTTTAAATTTGTGACCCGTTAGGTAAAACTATAGCAAATGCTCTAAGTTCTTAGAAAAACTTTAACTCAATAGTTAAAATAATCCTTCAACTAAATGCAGAATTTTCCCTGGGGGTACAAAAAATTTACTAAGGCTTTGTTCTGTAGGCAGAGGACAGAAATGCAGAGGATCAACAAGTTGTGTAAAAAAAGATATGCCTCAAAAAATGGTATCAAATAGATCAATGATCATCTAAATCTTTCAGTATGCAAAGTATTTGGTTATTTTGAATAATAACTAATATTAGTCCTCACATATCAAGTGTAAATCAATTACATTAACAACGACTTGATAATTTTTCATTAATTAGAGGCCTTGCTGTAAGAAATGAAATAAACACTTAATAAAATATTTTTCTTAGAGAACCTTTTAATGTGCAACCTAGCTTTAATGTTACCATCACTCAGAGTAAATTTATCTTGCAAACTGAACTATTATATTTATTTTGCATGATGATTGTAAAGCTATACATGTTAAATTAAGCTCTTAGATCACAAAAACACAATGTTTACCATAGATGTCCTCCCTGCCTACTAGTGCTTATATTATAAAGGTAACACATTCTACTTTTATAACTCTTCTGAAATCTAATATCAGGAAATAAGCATTTAAAGTGAAAGAATAAACCTCGGGACTCCATTTGATGCCATCATTTACTATAAAGTGTTTCTGAGGACAAAGGAGTTAGGGCCATTCCACTCTATGTATTCTTTATCTAAAATTAAAATTTTCATTGCTGGCTATGGATAATTTGCATTGCACCTGTTCCATATGAAATACAAGTTTTACGCTATAAAAGTGTATAATATTTCAGAAATAAAATCCATACAGATATCAGGGTTTCACTGACCTTGACTTTATTTTTGGAAGAAAATAATCACTGCATATTTCCAAGAAGGGTTAATGCAATGAGTCAGAAGCAGTACTATCTGGGAGGAATTAGAATCCAGATTATATTAATCGGTACCTACATCCTCTCGACTTCGTGACACAGAATTCAAGGACAAAAAATTAAGGCTGAGGATTAAAACAAAAACAATGTGCTAAAAGTATTTTCTGAAAACTGTTATTATAATTTATTTTAAATCAAATTATGATTTAAATGTTTTAACTACAGTACAGATAATCTTTCTGAAAAAAAAAAGTGAATTTAGGAAGAGATTTTAGACTACGTGGCCATTATTTGCAATCAATTTCAAAAGTAGCTAGATTTTAAAAGATTAACTCTTTTACAACAACTTTACAACAACTCTTTTACAACAACAATATTTTCTGAACAAATTAATGAATTAAAATACAATTTTCTGTGTTGGTTTGGTTATATATATAACAAGTATGGGATAGTTGTTATTGAGTAATATTATTTAATAGAATATTTTAGGAAGAATCATTGTTATATTTAGCATCGGGTGGTCATTTTGTGACTCGGAGGCATTTATCACTTTAATATTCATTTCCTCATATACAAATGATAGAACACATTTTATTAACATGCAAATGAATCTCTGATTTTTGAAAAAGTAATAATTTGACAATTTTTGAAATATTCTTCTTCAAACTATTGCTATTCCTTTCTTTTAACAGAACACATTTGGAGGATGATGGCCCTGAATTTAGAAACAAAAAATTACCCCATAGTGAGCACACCTCACAATTTTACTCCATGGTGGAACCTCACGCGTTCTGAGATTTCAGTTTGCTAATAATAAATATTTCATTTAAACCTTAAAAGTCCTGAAATGATCATTAATTTTACTATAAAATAAAACTAAACTCTTAGTCACTTAATACAATATTATATGGAAAAAAGTTTGTTTTTCTACATCATGTACAATGTAGGTTCTATTTATTACTTTCCCTTGTATAAAATGAATTTTATCACATTTCTTTTTCCTTAGGACACAAATAGAATCATTAACATACAATTGGAAATTTATTTCAAATATAATGCCATATCTACTACATTAACTGTAATTTTATTTTTTAAATTCTCTTCCTCTCTGTATCTTCCAATTTTTCATTCTCTTTCAGTTACAATTAGTTACTAGGAGATTGGCATTCCCGCTGTACTCAATTTTTAAAATAAAAAAATAACTTTGACTCTTCAAAGTTTTATGATGTGGGTTTAGATACAAAATTAATTATTTTGACTGTGTGTGAAAATATAACATTTATTTTTATGACAACAGTTGAAAAATCAATAGACAAAGTTAGCACTAAAAAATATGTTTAAATCAGTAACCCCACATATTGTTGTTGTTGTTTTCCCTAAAGGAAGCAGGACTATAAAACTTTAATCACAAAAGTATAAGTTAGTAGGTTTCAATTAATACCTAGCAAAAAGGTCATTGATTGTCTATTTCAAGAAGAAAATTTATAAAGGCAGAGCATTTTTTTAAACCATTTGTAAATAGTGTAAATATTTTTTTTTAATCAGCCCTGCAGGAATTGTAAGATGATTTTGAGATACACAAATTCACATAGACACACAAATATGAGTAAGCAATATTCTACAGTAGAGTACTATAAATAACTATTTTTTGTGCAACCAGGAATATTGAGAAATAAAAATTGGAAAATCTAACGTGGATTCCTTATGTATAACTTACAAGTTTGTTACTGAGGTGACAGTGTCATCTATACTCTCTATACTCAGTAAAGCAATTTAGATTTACTGTAATTTGTACAGCAATGTCAATTTATTTGTTTGATATTCAAATGTGATGCTATGCGCAGCTTGAAATACTATTTTTATATTTTCCCATCAGCCATTGTGGATGTGACTTCATATTCTTGTACATAAAATTTAATTCTCCACTATTTAGCTATAAATGAATAATTCATATAATTCAAATCTCTGCTTACAAAAAGTATAACCATATATGCATATAACTACATATATGTGGATATATATTAATAGAGAGAGAATAGATTTTTTCTAACACATGAAAACAAATGTGAATACAAGTCACCATTATTTTGACTTATATAATATGTAACTAAAACAGCATTAACATAAAATTATCCTCAGTATCTATAAATGATGAAGCAATAACCTCATTTTGCCCTTTGCAATGCCTTTTTACAAGTCTGAAACATCTGTGGATTCAACTGAGGAGCTAAGAAAGCTTTGAAAAACTCTGCTCTTATTAACACCCGAATTTTGACCTAGAGGTTCTCATCTGCTTTCTTTTCATAAATTCTGTACCACTTCCAGAGAATATTTCTTATATAATACTATCTTTTACATATCCTAATAAGAATAACACTAAAAAATTAGTCTCTTAAGTATTAAATAACATTCTTCCAAGATTGCTGCTAACGCTGCAATAATTGAAGCCATTAAAATAATAAGGTAGGAAAGTTGTTTTTAAAGTTAATTTCTAGCAATAAAATGTTATGTGTTTGTAAATTATTCTAGGATAAGAAATTTACATAAGGATAAATAAGTTCAAAGAAAAAATTCTAAAACGAAAATTATGAAATTAACATGTTTTCAAAAGCATTACTACTTATGTCTAATCATTATTTTCTATGGCTTTTTCTTCCACAAGTGGCTAAGGTCCCAAAATGGAAAGTCAGATAAAATGTGCAGTGATATGAAAAATTAAGTGTCAATTGTGCTTTTACAGATAAACTGAATCACTTTCTATCACTTATAATTTTAGGAAAAACTCAAATATAGTTCATCAATGAGTTCATCTTATTTTCACATGCTATCACATATCTTCTCTACTTTTTTAACCTTAATTTATTTAATTTGCTGTTTTGGATTTTTCATTAATTGTTAAAAATTTGATCTCAGTACACCAAAAGCAATTCCAATACTTTCTTCTCCTGACCTATCTTTTTACCTAATATTTATTTCCTTAAGTAGTATTGCAGTCTAAAATTTCCCTGAGGGCAGGATTCCGGTCAATCAATTTAGATGTTCAATGATTGATTTTTTAATGAATAAATATTTACATAGCTACTTAATATAACACACACATGTACAATATATTCAACTTAAGATCCTTTGCCACATATTTCCACTCTGACAAGCGGCTATTAAGAGGCATTACTAATCACCCAGTGGTTGCCTGGATATGGAGAGAACACTGTTAAAAAATATACTTTGAGACATCTTCCTTTTCAGTGTCTCTGCTTTTAGCTGCCTCAGTTAAATTTGCTGAAATATAAACAAGCTTTTCAAATATTTATTTGAAAACCATATAAAATTCAAGGGCATCCCAGTATGCTCACTGAAATCATTCTGAAGATAAAGTTCTCAGTCAGGTATTTTCTTTTTTCTTTTTTTTTTTTTTTTTTGAGATGAATCTCACTCTGTCACCCAGGAGGCAGTACAGTGGCACAATGATCACAGTTCAGTGCAGTCTCAACCTCCTCTTGGGCTCAAGTAATCCTCCCACCTCAGTCTACAAAGTAGCTGGGACTACAGCTGTGAACCAAAATGCCTGGCTAATTTTTGAATTTTTTGTAGAGACAGGGTCTCCCTGTATTTCCCAGTCTTGTCTGGAACTCATGGGCTCAAGATACCCACCTGCCTCAGCCTCCCAAAGTGCTGGGATTGCAGGTGTGAGTCACTATGCCTGACCTATTTTCTTAGATTCCATGGTAACTTCAAGTCTTGCTACTATGAAATAGTTTTCAATTCCAAATATGTATTTGTATATGCTATTTACACAGATAAGTTAATCTTTCTAACAGACAAAAGGCTTACCAAAATAAATTTTGACCACATTCATAGCTATCTCATACTCTCTCTTGACAAACGAACCCATATTTCTAAAAAATCTGCTGGATATTTCCAAATGGAACATGTGCAGGTATTTCAAGTTGTCCAATAAAAAATACATCCTGGTACTTCTAAAAACCAGTGTTTTTCTATTACCGTATTAACTTTACTTCATTTATTAAAACATGCTTTAGATTTTGCAAGAGTTTTATCAGGACAAAGGTCAATTTTTTAAAAGTCTTTTGGACATACTGGGCTTGAGTCTGATGGTCATATCTATGTAGAATGCACAGATATATGTTGAATCACATCAACTCATTGTCGGAAATAAAGATGGAACATAAGAATACTCCCCGACTCTTGATGTGGTAGATAATACTCATTTATAATGGTAAATTTTTAAAGCAATTATCGCAGAGTATTAAAAATGTCCTTTCATATTTAATAATGGATGGTATTGATACCATCTATTATTCCTTACTACAAAAAATACTATATCATCTAATTATCCTTCTTTCTTTCTCCTTTCCTTGTCTAGCCATCTGATTTACTGGCAGAGAATCTCCCATAGCAGCTTTCCAGGCCATGGGAACATAACTATGAGATCCACAGATTGCACCACATGTACTACCATCCAGAAGCTTCTTCCTGATAGACACCTGATAAGCACTATAAGAACCTCCTAAGGGCACAGCTAAGGTGCCAACTTGAAAATGAGGTTCTGAGGGAATCGGTTGCTATTCATTAGAATGTTTGCTATCTCCTATAGGAAAAGAACACATTCACCTCTTGCCTGGATTACTCGGCTGCAGAAATCTCACTAGCATTTACCCTCACTTTATTTGACTTCTGATCAAGGAAGTACCGAGGAATGACTCAGTAGGTCATTCGAGTACCAAAGTTATTTCTCCCTGCCCCATTGTGTAGTTCTACCTCGTTATTATGATCAGGTCTCATTATTTGTAAAAATTCTGGAAGTATTGTATATCTTTTCTGCCCCTACCAATGTACTCACATGAGTAGGCCTACGTGGCCAGGATGCAGATATAGTGTTATGTTTAATGGTATTCGTTAGTGTCTCTGTATAAAATGAGCCCTCTTCTGAGACCCAGTACCTTTATTCCCACAAAGTCTAAAGTGTAAAGGACAAAAGTATACATCCACCATTAGGTCTTTGGAAGTGCTTGTTAGCAGGGTCATTTCTACCTTCTACCTTGAAACTACCTCTAGTCCTTGGTTTTTGTACCCATGTATCTGCCTGTTAGGGCAACAGCATGAGATAATGATGCTTGGTGCATTCTATTTTCTAATGAAAAGCAACCTGTTCCCTCAGAACCTCATTTTCAAGTTGGCACCTTCAGGAGGTTATTATAGTTCTTATTAGGTGTTCTATGAGGAAGAAGTTTCTGGATGGTACTATATGTGGTACAATCTGTGGATCTCATAATTATGTGCCCATGGCCTTGGTCTGGTAAGCTGTTATGTGAGATTCTGCGCCAGTAAATCAGACACTTTGAAAATTCTCAGAAAATGTTGTTGGATGAGACACTATGACTGGAAAGGAGAAACTCTTACCCAAAAAAGTATGCCACCTGCTGTCAGGATGAAGCACTGCCTTTTCCATGAAAGATGGGGTCTGATGTAATTAACTTGCCATCTAGTGTATTTTATTTTACTTTTTTCTGTCCTCAAGGTAATGCATCATAGTTGGACCTAAGTGTTGTTCACTGAGAAGGCAGGTTGGACACTGCAGTGGCAGTGATTGGATGAGACTGGCTGAGAAGGAGCCTTCCTGTTGGGGGGCAAGCACTCTTTAAATAAGTTAATATTCAAGTAATAGGATCAGAAACTGGTTGGATAACATCTTTTAGGTGAGTTATCTTTCCATTTTTTTAAGCTTTTGTTTACTAAATGCTCTCTTGTGGGTATTAATGTATAATTAAAATATTCTCACACTTTGTGCCTAATGTAAGTCCAGTAACGTGTCTTTCCTTTGAGTCTCCTTAAATTTGTCCTTCTCGGCATTCTATATAATAAGCAAAGGCATTTACCACCGCCCACAAGTTCAAATATATCTCTACATTGGGTGATGTGTCTTTCCAAACAGAGTAGATGTCCAAGAACTGTGCCCAAAGCTCTGCCCAACAGGAAGATTGCTCATCACCACTGCCATTTAGGCCACCCGGTAAGTGAGGCTGTAATGATAACAATATATTTTCACCTTACACTCACAAACTTATCCAACCCATCCTTGAAACAAGCCTGGCCTTTTCTATCTCTGTCAGCTGTTCATAAGGAACTGTTTATAGAGGCATAGGTGTGAAAGTTACAAGGTATCGAGGGAATCTGAGCCAACTGTTCACGCAGCTTACTTTTACCCTCTCAATCTTCTCAAACCCAATCTTATATGTCCTGTATCCACTGTATAATGAATTGCTACTGGTGTCACCAACTGTTTGACATTTTAACTGTGTGGCATTTGCCAATCTGGACTCAGGATTGTCAGTTTTAACAGGATGAGATCTAAGTTCTGTGCCTGGTCTTCAAATCTGTCTGTCCTCTGGGTCTAGGAAATAATCTGTATCTGTAAAAACTGCCAAGGAGACTCACACTCTTTCCTTTCATTTCTGAGCAATCAATTTGAGCCTGACATGTTCCATTATTGGCCTATCAATGGTACTCGTCAACAAACACTTAATTCCTCAGTTCTTGCAGTTACTAGTTTCTCCACACGATTCAAAAGCTAGAAATGGTGCACCAGCTAGTATATCTCCTTCCTAGTCCACCACAGATTAAAGTCTTGACAATCACACTGCATAGCCTTCCAGAGACCAGCAAAATCTCACCTACCACTATAAGAAGAGCATGGATTTCAGTAATTTGACAAATTTAATTCGACTGTCTGTGAGGTGCCAAATCTTCCGTAAATTAATAAGATGAATTTTCTGTTTAGTGCTTGCTTTATTTTTAAGCTCTCAGAGAATCAGAAGAACACAGACATTCACTTGTCACTTGGGGCTGATAATCTCATTTGGATATATATGTTTTAATGTTCAGGCACAATGTTTTCAATGGTTATCAAGAACAAATTTGAACCTAAAACCTGTGTTCACATCATCATTCTCAACAAATATCAGCTTACTAACATGGGAAAAACAGAAACAAAAAGCCAGTTGGAAGTCTGAGATAAAACTTTATTTATATTTATTGAATAATGGCAGTAAAGTATCCTCAGACATAGAGGAATAAGTTCATGTAACTTGGGGACTTAAATGTTTCTGTATATAAATAGTTCCTGTTTCGTGGAAGTCAAATATATAGATTTAATATTTTGAATTTCTTGTATTTTTCACTCAACCTGACATACTATAACAGTTCATTTCTCATAAGAATAAATTTATAAAAATAAAACATTTATTATTACAATAAGGATTTTAAGTCTCGGAGATGTATTCTTGCTGGTACTTCAACATCAATGCAGTGTCACCACAGTGATGTACAATTCTGATAAATCATTTCAGAGATACCATTGTGATGATATATTATGACTCACACATACATTATCATGGTCATCATGATGCTTTATTAGTGTCATATGTCACCAAAATGATAGGGCTTTGATGATATAGAATTTCTCAGTAAAATAGTGATGACAAAAGTCATCTCTTTTGAAGAAATGCTTTGTAACTGCATTCCTGAAAGTTTATACATATGCCATCTACCTTTCTATACTATCTTGAAAAAAAAATACATTCAAAAATAGAAACAATGTGTGGTTCTTTTGATGCACAAAGCTGAATTTTGCAATGCGACATGCATGAGGCTTTCTTGTTATGACATTCTTCCACATTGATTAACTTGATTTTTTCCCATTCTAAATTGAAATATTTTTCTAATCTCCATATATCAGAAGGATGAAAGGAATCTATCACAGCCCATGTTACTATAAGGAAGAGATTCAAAATGCAGTAGCTTAAACAATACAGATATCCATTTCCTGTGTGGTAGTATAGAGATACCTGAATATTACGGGACAGCCATACGGTCCTACTCCTTTAGGTCATTTTGCATTCAGACTATTCTAACTTACTTCATTATCCTGTAGAGTATAGGCTTTATTTACATGGTTAAAACTGTCTCACCATGTATATGTACACTTTCCAGCACAATGGAAGGGGGAAAGAGACAGAGAGGGAGAGCAAATGAGCACTTTCCTTTGAAGACAGCAATGCAGAATTTCACAACACTAGCCTACATAGAGTAATATAATTCTATAGAACATAATACATTTCCTGCAATTTTTGTATTTCCATTACTCTATTAAATACTTCATGTATCATATTCCTTAGATAAATATATTTTATTAAAGTAAACTTATCAACAGCAAGTAGAATAATATATAAAACTCTAAGACTGATGTTTGTCACCCAGTTAGAAAATACCATGTTAATCTTAATGTTGCCCAACACCACCTTATCACATCCATAATTACATGATCTATTGTACAAATAAAACAACATATACAATCATAATTAAATAATTGACCATAGCAATAATATTGTTACAATAACCTGTGACAGTATTATTTCTTTCCTCTTCCACACTGCCATAAAACTTTTATTTATATAACTCTGTTATAATACTTAATCCACATCTTGTAAATGGTTATCCTATCTACCACTAGAATAAAAGTTTATTGAAAGTTTACATTTCGTTTTGATTTTTGCTATGACTTGCTCACAGTCCAGTGCCTGGCATAAGGAAGATTCTCTATACTTGTTTCAAAGGAGTAGTTTCCCTGATGTTGTCGATATTAACATTTAGAAAGAAAACTGTTAAATTATTATGTTACCTTAGCTATTTATGGACAACATCACTCATTTAAAATATATGCAAGCAGACTCCTTAACAGTAGTCAATTTTATATCATTTGTTTTCTTTTTAAAATGTATTTCCATTTCACTTATACCACAGAATTTGTTCTAGTTTATTATATTTTTGTGCTACAAAAACCTTTATTGATGACACTATACTTTTGGAATTAAAATAGGTATGTAGATAGATAAATAGATGGATAGATAGATAGGCATATAAATATATATACAGAGAGAGAAATTTATAACAATCTTATAATAAAAGATCTAAATAGTAAAAAAATCAGCTCTATTGAATTATTATATACATTATATTTATGTTATTAATACCTGAATACAAATAAAAGTATACTATGTGTCAATAATTATTAAACAATAAATACAATTTATTGGAACACAATCTTTCAATGAGATTAAGAGGGTCATTTTTCTAATTAGTTGATTATTACATTACTGTTAAAATTAGATAAGGTTCATAATCAAGTCTAATAGTGAGTTTCATTTTTATAAGTAGGTGGGGAATGTTAAAGAAAATATATTGGATTCTTTAAATTCCTCCCAGATTATAATTTAGACATAAAATAGTGATATATCATCAAAATGATATAATCATTGAAAAATCTATTAGCTTTTTCTTTTTTATTAGAGATAGAAAACTCCAAAATCAATTGACTGGCAGGGTGCAATGCTTTGTGCCTGTAATCCCAGTGCTTTAGGAGGCCAAGGTGAGAGGATGGCTTGAGTCCAGGGCCAGCCTGGGCAACATGGAGAAACCCCATCTCTACAATAAAAAAAAAAAATAATAATAATAATAATTTAGCCGGGCATAGTGGTGCACGCTTGTAGTTCCAGCTTCTCTGGAGGCCGAGATGGGAAGATCGCTTGAGGCTAGGAAGTCCTGGCTTCAGTGAGGTGTGATCGATTCTACCACTGCATGCCAGCCTGGGTGATGGGAGGAAGACCGTGTCTCAGAAAAAAATATCAATTGCCTAAAAAAGAACTGGGATGTACTTAGTAGAACTATGGCCTTTGTTAATTTCATGTTACAAAATGTTCCAGCAAGACTAGTAGTTATGCCTGTTATCATCATTTTTGTTTCAGTCCATGACAATTTCCTTGCCCACTTTTATCATAAAGAGCTGTAAATTTGTTTGTTTCAACCTATCTATTTCAACTTTTTTTTTTGGAGAAAACATGTCTGTCTTCCTTGGGTTTTACATATATTTTTGCACAACATTGTATGTGTGTATATTTATCTCATCCAGTCTAGTAATGGATATGTCTATCATATTAACTCATCAGCGTAATCAATGCCCAAACTTGTACCAATTGGTTAAATCTGATTTGCTTTCCATCGAACAGAAAGGGTCTTCATTTTTGAAGCAGATAAAGCTGTTTCTATACATGGAAATAAATATAAACACAATCAAAAACACATTTCAGTATATATATTTTAATTAGTATTATTAATAACATTCAAATCACAATTAACATGACCTAAGTCTAATATAGAAATAAGTTTTATAAAAGGACAAATCTATATGCTATGTCTTACTACTTAATTTTCAAAAAATACATAGCTAAAATTATAAGATACTTATGAAAAGATAATTGGCATAGAAAAGATGCTATCCCTTCAGGAAATGTGTTGGCATGAGTGTGCCTGGTATTCTGCTTGAAAAAAAAAACTAAGCTTCATATGTAAATATTTAGATATAACTCCATTAATTTTATTATACCTTAAGATCTATTTTTTCTATCTAGTTATGAAAGACAAAGATCTATATTATTTACAATAAATAGCTTTAGCAACTAGTATGTGAATTTAGAGATTTTTAAATTAGAAGATAGACTATAGTAAACAGAGATAAAACAAGAATGGAATAGGTTGTAATTATAAAAAATATGTTATAATTTGATTTGGTCATATAGTTTGTAAGTACCTTTGCAAATAAGAAATATGCTACACATGAAAGAAATTGTATAAAATAGTTAATTAGAGACATGTCTATATCCACATAACTTTTAAAAATATGATACTTTTGAAAACTTCATATGATTGTGTCAGTGTCACTAACCTGAATTGCTTTTGCTGCTTGAGATATGTTTCATTTCAGCAGTCTATGAGAAGAATATAGGTAAGAAAAATTTCTTATGTTTAAATTTGTGGAAAAAAATATTACTTTTTTGTTTTGTTTTTTGAGAGGGAGTTTCACTCTTTGTTGCCTGGAGTGCAGTGGCGTGATCTTGGCTCACAGCAACCTCCGCCTCCCAGGTTCAAGAGATTCTCCTGTCTCAGCCTCCCGAGTAGCTGGGATCACAGGTGCCCGCCACCATGCCTGGCTAATTTTTGTATTTTTAATATAAATATAATAGGGTTTATATATATATTTACATATATATAAATATAAAAATAATATAAATAGGGTTTCACCATATAGGCCAGGCTGATCTCAAACTCCTGTCCTTGGGTGATCCGCCGGCCTTGGCCTTCCAAAGTGCTGGGATTAGAGGCACAAGCCACGGCACCCAGCCAATATCACTTGTTTTTATCAATGCTTTCTTCGCTTTGTTCTCACAACATTCTCTAAGGGCCATATATTACTTGAAAATATTTAGAAAATTGAAGATGTAAAGTCTCTCCTTGCTTATATTCTGGAAATAGTCAATTTAACAATATTCTATCAGGCCAAAATACCCCGTTTCTAACACCATGCTTATGTAGAGAAAGACGGGTTGCCTCAATGTGGTTTGCTGTGCTTTGATTCACCATAAAAACAGTCTTCATTGAAAATAATATTTCCTGTTACCCTTTTGTTTGGTTCCCTGGAAGTTTTTATTCATGAGGTAATATGCTATAATAACATGTCAGGTAAGGGGAATGCCTTTGTTTCGTAAAGTGGGAGAGGTCATTTTGCAAAAGGGGAAGTAACAAAGGAGTGTTAGGATTCAGTAAATATGGAAAAGTATTAGTACACTCTTACTACCTTAGTTTGGTCTGTGCTACTATAACAGGATACCACAGACTGGGTAATTCATGATAAACAGAAATTCATTTGCTCATGATTCTGGAGGATGGGGAGTCCAATATCAATATGCTAGCATCTGGTGTAAGAATTAAGGAAAGAGGAAAGAAACACAAAAGGCGGCTTGCCAGTCAAGACAGATTTATTTTGGAGAAAACAAACCTGAGAGGCTCCTTCTGGCCCAGTTAGGTCAGGGGCACACTCTCTTACAGACTAAGAGTTTTTAAGGATGGGAGAGTTTGTTAGAGGCTCCAATGACAGGCAGAGACACATGTTCAGAAAGACCCACGTGTTATTTTTTGTTACTAACTGTAATTCCTGCTATGAGGATAATAATTAAGCAAAATGCTACAACAATTGAGATTCTCTGTCTGATATTCCACCCTGAGGGCGCTACAATATATAGTCCTACTGCAAATAGTAGAGTGAGTAAAGCAATTCCTGCATGGGTAGCATAGTAAATAATTTCCTTTAAAAAGGGTTTTAATATTTGGCTTAAAAGGAGAGGTAGAAACAACAAAAAGTAGTTGGTGAGGTGGGGTTGAGACTGAGTAAGATGAGTAATTTTTACTTAGTTACTTATCTTTTAGGATTTTCAGCTTAAGATTTCTTTTTTTATTTTATGTATTTATATTTATTTATTTATTTATTTATTTATTTATTTACGTATTTTTGAGACAGAGTCTTGCTCTGTCGCCCAGGCTGGAGTGCAATGGTGCAATCTTGGCTTACTGCAATCTCTACCTCCTGGACTCAAGCGATTCTCCTGCCTCAACCTCCCAAGCAGCTGGGATTATAGGTGCCTGCCACCACGCCCGGCTAATTTTTGTATTTGTTTTTAGTACAGATGGGTTTTCACTACTTTGGCTGGTCTGGAACTCCTGACCTCGTGATCCACCCACCTTAGCCTCCTAAAGTGCTGGGACTACAGGTGTGAGCCACCGCGCCTGGCCTTTATTTTATTTTTTTATATTGATAGGACATTTTCCTGGGCTGTTAGGGGTTTCTTTCTCCACTCTTTAGGCTTTGAGTTGAGTGTGATGTATTCAGGAGTTGACTTCTGTAACAGATATAATTTAAACTCCAGAAGATAATAAAAATTGAAAAACATTAGGCCAGACTAAAATTTAAAACAATTGTGCTATAGCTTTTGCAACATAATTTTCACTCTTCAGTTTCCCGTTTTTATTGGAAGACAAACATGGTAGGATTGGTTTGCTTTATTATTCTTTGCTTAATTATTTGTATACAGTGAAGCAATAATAATAATTTGCTACATAGGCCTTTTAAATCAGCTTTGATGGAACTTCCTTATGTCGAAGGAATTTGAGATAAGACTTGTTAAAGCCAAGTCCAGCCATGGGTTTGTACCATAAAATACCTATGAGTTGGGTGAATTCCTCTCCTCTTGAGGTTTTAAGATAACGTGGGGTTCCTGGCCTGTTGGAAAGTGACATTCTTTACTCACCACAGATCAGAAACCCTGTGTACACAAAATATGAGGCCAGTTTTCCAAGGGCTTTATTGCTTTGTAAGTCAAGTTTGATTTCTTAAAGGAGAGCACATCATTCCAGTTAAAGATGTGGTAAAATAACCAGTTTTTCCAACTGTGTTCTGTTACAAAAGAAAGTAAATTTCTATTGCACTGATGCAAGCAACTATATTGTTGTAATTTAAGAATACTTATAACTAGTTTTTAAATTCTGGAAGAACTAGGCAGAGAGAAACAAACACGATTTAGATTCTATTTATAGGAGTATACTTAGTTGTTAAAGGCTGTAGCTAGTTTAAGACAAGTTCTCTTGAATGAAAAATAAGATAAAGATTAGCAGTGTTCTAAGCAAGAGGTAAAAACTTGTTTTTGTTTTTTTATTAGTTTAGCCAATTTTATTAACTTTTGCTTGATATTTACAAACATTTTAGCTTTTCATGAGTTCTGTACGTTTTGTTGTGCTGTTGCTGTTGTGGGAAACCTGCATTTGAGAGCACTTGCTGAGGTTTCACAGCCTGAATATAAACCATGTTTTGAAGAGAATTAAAACAAAATAACATAGTGTGTAAATAACAAAATGTCCAGTTTGGATACAGTTAGAAACACAATTGACAAAGAAAGTTGGTTATTTTTGTGGTTTACAATAACCCAACATCTGGTAAGAAACTTCTTTCTGTTTCATTACACTGTGGAAGGTGAAGTGGAGAGAGAGAGGGCAAGAGGGGACTGAATTCACTCTTTTGTAATGGCACCAATCCCACTCCTGAGAATAGGGCGCTCATGGCCTAACCATCTCCTGAAGGTCTCACCAGTTAGTACTGTTAAAATGGCACTTAAATTTCAACAGGAGTTTTGGAGGAAATAAACATTCAAACCACAGCACTTCATTTTGAAAAATTTTGCTGTATATATATATCTACCTGTTTGAACACCAATGTTCAAGCAATCTGTACTTAACTTGGTAGTGGTGGAGTTTGTTTGATTTATTTCTTATTGAATAATTCATTAACTATTTAATGAATTAACTTGCAATAATTATCCAATTAATTAACTCAATTCTATTTATTTTCACAAAGTAGAAAACAAGGTTGATCTGTATGTAAGCCTAGGACAAGGTAAATTGATTTTGACAAGAGAATGGGTCAAAGTAAGAAGCTGAAAACATAGGACTAAGTACAAGTACTGATTATTTTCCATTTGACAATTCATTAATCCACTCTTGGTTTTATAAGCTCTCTTAAGGGTGAATATCTTTTCTCTATGAATGGCAAAGGAGTAGAAAAAACAAGCTATAAATATGATATGAATCAAAGAGTGCTGGAAAAGTTACTTTGCCCAATGTCTTCAGTTATAAAAATCTTTGACTTTTTTGTTGTTATAAATTTAGTGAGTACTAGTCACTTAAAGACACAATCTAGAAAAATCCCTTTTCTTCATTAAAATAATCATATTTTCATTCTTTTCATAATTCTTAACATGTTAACAAATTTTTTCACCACTAAGTAATAAGATTGACATGCAGGAAATAAACTCTGAAATCTAGACGATAAAAGTTATCATCTAAGAAGCAGATTCTGTAAGGTTTAGTTTATCTCTAACATAGCTTAAAAAAGTGTATATTAAATATTCTACAACTTTTGGAATATTATAATTAAAGCATAAAATGATAAGCTAAATATTATCATATGTCTACATATATGCATCAGTAAATTTGGTATAACTTGCATGTGCTATACAATAGTCTATAAATTAAAACATTTATTGAACTTTTGTGCCCAAAGGGCTATGTCCTTAAGAACCCTTATTTCAGGAAGGTTCTCACTAATGTAAAATGGTTAGAAATCAGGTCAAAAACTGACCAAACTAAAATTTATCCCATTTGTTCATTGAGCTAAGATGGCTAAAATTAGTCTAGCCTTCTCGGATTTACATTGTACTAATTAATTTAGTGATAATTTCACAACAGATTATTTATTCAGAAGCCACTGGTTGACCCCATCTTGAATAACAGTCACAGACCTCACTCAAAGCTCTGGGCGTCTATTCATTCATTGAGTATATACTCTACCACAGGCATCCACCTTTTTTGGTATCTTGGCTTTATGTATGTGTAATGCTTTTGAAAATGTACCTCATACTTTATTTCTAAAGTGTCATGATCTTAAGATACACTGCGTTGTCAATATTATAATAAAAATTCACAGGTGACCTGATATAATGGATTGGACCAGAATGTCAACACATTTGACACTAGACAAATATGAAAAATAGCCAACTAGACTTACGCTAATTGATAACTATATTTCAAAATTTTTTTCTGTACCTTAAGAATCACCATTACAGTGAGTAAACATTTTGGTCAAACTTAAGTTTATTTTAATGTGAAATATTTTTCTTCCCTTTTTCAGCTATTTTTAATTATAAAGCTAACCCACCAGTAAAAGTGGTTTTGCAACCCACTTGATCTCTAAGTGGATTAGTTACCCAGAAACAAAAGGCATATGATACAATATACATGCTAAAAATAGCTACATAATAGCAGGAGTCTACAAGGTAAGCAATACTATCATTTTTATCAAAAAAGCAAGGTTATATAAAATATTGGAATTTTATTTCTAATTCCAGTACTTCAAGATAGTTACCTGCCCTAATGCTGTCAATTGCCCTCTGTTATCACTATAATTGTATTGGCTCCATGAAATGACAGCAAGAATTTACAATGGTTCTTTTTTTTATATAAGACATGTGCAAAAATAAAGTTGTTGAATCTACTCAAGACCAAGAGCTAACCAAAATCCAAAATCATTTTAATTTATCAAAATTGATGAGAGGGCTTCACTGCCAAAGTCACTGCTGGGTTTTCACAACTCATTGCAATCTGCCACCCCCATTTACATTGAAAAGATAGGAGATTCATAATCAGTGAAGAAAGTGAGATTAATACTTGTAATTATTATGGTGAGATTAATACTTGTAATTATTATGGAATTATTTAGCCTGCTATAGGATTATTATTATTATTAGTGTCATTTGACAATTCTTTCTCATTTTATTAAACACAACTATGAGTAATTTTCCTGCCTAATATCATTCTGTATCAGCTGACCTGCTAGCATATATTCATGGAAATATCCATTAACCACACAGGTAAAATGTTATATTATGATGCTATTGATTCAGTACATGTCACTACCTGATTCTTTAGCTCTCTGGAAATTTAAGTATCAATTAACTGTGTGTTTTCTGGATTCTTTTCAGTATCCAGTATAATATGAAAATATTATTATACTCTTAGAGTTATTATTTTCACCATATTGCACCAGCAATTGCACTTTAATTTTACAACAAAAATATAAATATAAGAGTATATGAATTTTGATCATTTTTATATTACTCTGTCCAGACTCTAAAATTCTATTTTTAGGTGAATATACATCAAATATTTTGATTGAACAACGAATGAGATAGTTCCCAGACATTCTGTTCAGTGTTCCCAAAAGGACTATACAACTCACTTCTTATATTGTTACAGTGTCTTATACCGATCTTATATAGTGTCTTATACATATATTAACATTTTAAATCATCAATAAATGTTATTAAACCTGAGTAAAATGTAAAGTTTTCTCCTTTATGCTTTTATAGCCTCTGTTTGCAGTTTATTTATAGCCTTCTGATAAGTAGAGTCCCTTTGTTTGTGAGAATCTGGACAGCAGTGTCTCCAAGAGCATGTTTAGACCTAGATGTAAGGTTATTGATACCTCTTTTTGCTTGGTTTGTCTTGTCACCAAAGACTGGGACGAGGATTTGAGTAGGGATAACTTATTTGGGAGATTATCTAAGGTAGAAAATGTGAGAAACTAGGAAGAGTGAAACAGAGAAGAAGCAAATCAATCATAGAGGTACGTTATTGATGTTATTGTAATGGGAAAACAATAGGGGCATGCTTCATTGGAATCTTCTGAGTAACCTCCCAACATTATCTCCATGAAGATCTGGAAGCTGACATGTTTATCAATGGTTCCTATTTTCTATTTACTGGGAGTTGTCCTCAGAGGATATTAACTCCTTGTACTTCTGGGCAGTGCTTAGGTTATCCTTCACAAACTTATGTTTTGGAGAAGTCCTAAGATGAGAAATAAGAGTTGGGATGCTACTAGTGTGAAGTAAGCATAATTTCCCACGGTACTGTCACCACAGGTATAGCCAAAGTCAAAGGTTAGGATGTGACATTATAGGTGTTTGCGTTGGTATCATTTTAGGATAATTACTGTATTTGAAATTTTTAAAGATCTCAAGAAATAAAGCTTTACTTACAAATCTATAAATAGAAAAGTTTTATTTTTTATTCGTGTATTTTATGGCAAATGTGCAAAAAGCTACATCAATTGACTTAATATTTAATTGTCAGAGAAAAATTTAAGTGAAAGAACTCTCTGCTAGACTTTTGGAGCAAAAGAAGCTTACATACTCATTTAGAAAAAGAGTGAGAAGTAAGAACTCATGTTGTAATGGGGATTTTCTGAAATGAGTAGATACCTGAACATCTTTAAAGATTTGCTAAAAAATCATTGACTTTCGGTCCTCTGATGATTAGGCAGGAATTTTAAAGATTTTCCAAGAAACTATTATATCTGATTATATAATGGCTGTAAAGGGTGGATGGGGGTAAATAACGTACAAATCCACAAGGACAGAGAATATGAGAGAGAAAGCAATAATCGAATAAGAGGAATCAATACCTTTGAGGAAGATGGTAATTGAACTAGGCAGTGATAATTGAACTAGACAGTGTTTACTGAACTTTGAGACAGAAAAAACAAGACATTAGTTCACAAGGTCTTAAATACATGATAAGCCATGATACCATATGGAATCCTGGGAAGACAGAAACTTGGAATGGGCAGGAGGAACTGTGTATTGAGACATTTGGAGGCAGATGAATTAGAAGACAGCTTGATGAATGTTGTTTGATGACTTCTCTTCCTTAACTTATTCAAGGAATAAAATATCTTTTCACTTCCCCTTCAGGAGACCAGTGGTTTGAAAATAGGTATTTCAGTTAGGATTTACATTTTGCTGCATGCAAGATAAACTGACTACAGTGGTTTAACTATATTTTCTAATTTAACAAGAGGGCTGGAGAGAATAATTTCTGATGTTGCTTCAGACACTTAAGGAAATCAAGTAAAATGTCTTGGGGATTTTTATGGCCTTTTACTTATGGCTGCAAAAATGGCTGCTAGAATTTTAACTAAGCCCAGATTCTGGAAGAAAGAGAGAGATATCAGAGAATGATATATTTTATTGATTAATGCTATATCATAGGGCCATGATCTAATCACAAGGAGTAAGGAAAACATTTGCTCTTGTTTTAGGCCTGTCTGTTGCCAATCTCCCACTGGGTTCTAATATTAAGGAAAAAGGAGACTAATATTGGCCTGATGACTATCAATATCTGCCAGTTCCTCTTTAGTAGCCAAAATCTCTACATGCCATCTTCCCAGGAAAATAAGATAATCCCAACATACACAATGTCATCTCCAGTTTGTATCAAGATAAAATCACAATGAAGTTTGTTTCTCTCCATATGGACAACTGTCTTTCTTTATCATCTGGTTACCTGTAAAACGAAAGATAGTTTGCCTGCCTCTAATATACCCAGATAAAATTGCAGAAGAGATACAAGGAAAAAAATTATAATATTTATTCAGAAAAAGGAAACATCAAAAATACCTAAAAATAGTGGTTTATAGTAATTCTTAAATTCTTTTAGTAAGGAGTAGCATAGAATATGTGCCCATTAGCCAGACAATATGGCAACCCTGACTCTCACTGCTGAAGATTCATTCTTTCTCTGGTACCTGAATGCTACAGCTGAGAATTACAGTAGATGATGCCTTCCCTTGGGGTGATCCTGTTTTCACAGACACATTACTACTGAAGGAAATGTGGGGGCACTGGATTGCTTTAAGGATTCATTTACTATATCAGTTTTTAATTAATTTGAAGTGGGTTTCAATTTGTACAAAAATTAGTAGAACTCTAACTTAGTTTCCATTGCTAATTGCCATGTGCTAATAATCAAAGCCACTGATCTCGACTGTTGGAACTCTGGAATACTAATGATTCTCTAATTTTTTGTTTAACCTAAGAGCCTCATGTTTTACTCATGCTGCTTTAAAGTAATCGAAAAAAAAAAATAAGCTGCAATGGGACAGTAACACCCTTAAGATCAGCTTATTTTAATGTACAAAATTCCTTTTACTGGGAAATAATACTTAAGGAAAGACCTTTGAGACAGTTCTGGAGAATCAACTTAAATTTAAGTGGCAAAAATTTATGACTTGCCTAAATGCACAGGGAACCAAATAATGGTACACTCTCAGTCAATTTACATTGAGAGGCCACTGAGTGAGAGTACTCCTCTAAGCACTATTTTATTTTCTTCTCTGTTGGCTAATTCTAATTCAAGTTTTTCTCTTTTTAAATAGTGTGTAGTGCAAATTGGCAGTAGACAACAATCACATGCTAATAGTCTACCTTTTTCTACCATTTTCCCCAAAAGTATTAGCACCCCTATGCTATTAAGGCTGCTCCCGTGATAAAATTGGTGAAGATGATGATTTCATTCTATGGTTATGCTAAAATGTATTTGGTTTTCCAAAATTATAAATACATGATTATCATAAAAATATAAAATACTCAACTGTCAAGAATTTTTATGCAACTCTTTAATTAATGAGATAACCAGTAAGATGTTAAAATTGATTCACATAAAACTTTGACTTGCAGAAATTTATGTTTTCTAGTGGAAATAATTTAATAGCATTATCATTAACAGGAATTAGTTGCATTGCAATCAGTTTTTATAACTGCTATCTCTGCAGGGTTGTAAATAGCCTTGTCAATAGCAAGCCAATAAACAGCGCACCCTATAGAATCAGATAATCCCCAGATATCCTGCTAGACAATGCCCTGGGCTTCCCAAAGAGAAAACCCCAGAATTTATTTTGCCCAAGTGTTGGAATCTAAAAAAAAAATTCATAGTCTGTACCCATTTTCTAAGCCTAGTCCTTCAGTCCATCCCTTGAGTTGACGAGCAACCCGGTATCTGACTAATTGGTTATTTCTGTGAGTGGTTCTCAGGTTAATTTGCCAGTTAGTGCTTCTTGTTAACCCCCGAAAACCCTAACTGGTTAAGACAACATTATTAACATTTTCAAAGCTCTCTATGATCATCACTACATTGTAATTCATAATAATAATTTATTATAAATAATTCTGACAAAAATACACAATAGCTGCCCAGCAGTAGAGAAAGCACATTTGAATACATCAAATTTGAAAATGGTAAATGAGACAGAAAATATGGCAAAGCATTTAAATCATCTGTTAACATACTGAAGTATTACATATATTTGCTTTATTTCTAGTAATGTTAATGCAACATCATTAAATGAGGTGTTTTCATGAACCATACTTTTTTTCTAATGCATTGCTTGTGCTAATTAATTCCATTTTACCAAAAAACTGCAAGTATATTGTGAGATTATAGTCTATATTTTGCAGATGAGAAAACTGAGATTTAGGAAAACAGAGAATATGAGCTAAAATTCCTCTGTTAGCAAGATATAACAGTAGAAATATCTGTTTTTCTTCTCATTTGGTCAAAAGAATATTTAAAATTAGTTCTACAATGCCTTTAAGGGCTTGGGGAGGTAGTTTAGAATTATGTTTAAGTATTCAGTCTATGATGTCAATACCTTGGCTTAAGATCTTCCTAACTCTGTTATTTAGAACAAGTTATTTAACCTTTTTAAGCCTGAAAATCCTCATCAGTAAAATAGGAACAATGATAGTTTCTAAACAAGAGAAATGTTTTGGAAGTTAAATAAGATGATGAATGCAAGGCTAAGTATAATGCATTTGTAAGCCCTCAAGAAATGATTACAACATCATTTTATAAAAGATTATTTCTAGCAGACAATATTGCTTCAAAATATTTTCTTTATAACAACAGGAATTTCTTTCAGCCAGTCAATACCAATATTACTCTTCATTCTTTTCTCAGTTTATCCCTTCCTAACATGAGTAAAGAGGTTACTTAGGTTCTTTAGAGGTTATGAGGTTAAGATGCAAGAGGTCTGATTAGTTTTTCAAGGGCAATTTGATCACTCGCATCATAAAGAAACTCTTTTTATTATCACACTCTAGTTCCAAGTACTTTGAATTTACAAAATAGATTACCGGGTGTGTCATTAGTGAGAACTCTATCCTCGTTTTGAAATCTTAGGGAATTGAGCTGAGGATGCAAAGAAGATTTGGGTATACGGCATAAAAACTTAAGAAACTTCATGGGAGTTACAATGAGCAGACTATCAGGTGATTTCTGCTGTTAAGACAGGGGATTCTAGGTATCCTGATTTCAGAGACAGGTCAAGGTAAGTAAGTAAAGTGATGAGATTTCGGAAATTGGAGGTCAGTGATAATTTTGAGATCTAAAGGGTGCATGCATCTCGAGCTATCTTTGTGCCTAATGGCTAAGGTTGTTCCTGGTTCCACTGGAGGGAAAAATTACCACAACACTAGAGGAATGGTAAGGTCTACGTTGGAGCCAAATCTCAGTGGTTTCTTCAATACCCACATCCTACAGCTTCCTCTAAAAGTCAGAATGTGCTGTTACTCTTTCAAATATGAATACATTGTGACACGTGCATCTTTAAAAATAACAAAACACTCTGCAAAGTCATCTACTTTATTTTCCTGTTTCCATAAGTTTCCAACACAAACAAAGCCGACGGTCTCAACATTTTAATATGGTCACAGTTCTGGAAAGATGGAGGATGATTAGAGTCATCAAAATGTGGGGTGCTAAAATGTATGACAGGGAAGTGGCTACTATCAGGAATCAGTGCTTTGATCAGGTGGCTTTGAAGAGGAAAGAATGGAATGAATGCCACATCCCAAGTGGAAAAATACAAGGCAGTCATAGGAGTTCTGTAAGATATCTGCAGCACCCAATAACTTGCTTGATTCAAAAGACAAGGAGTCATGGTTAAATATCCACTTATGATTCGATTGGCATCACAATATCAGTTTGCATCAGATATGTACTATTGTTCTGACTATTACTGGAAGCTTCTGATTGTACTCGGGATATGTGTACCTTGTGAACATATGCTATTTTTAGCTAATAAATTTCCCCCTCTCTGCCCCTGGGATTTTTATTATGGTTTGTTTGCTTTTGTTTGCTTCTTTTTTGTAATGTTTCAGACTATCTGAAAACTGTAAAATGACTATAAAAAAGCCACTGTAGGCCGGGCACGGTGGCTCACACCTGTAATCCCAGCAGTTTGGGAGGCCAAGGCGGGCGGATCGCAAGGTCAGGAGTTCAAGACCAGCCTTGCCAACATGGTGAAACCCTGTGTCTACTAAAAATACAAAAATTTGCCGTGCATGGTAGCGCGCGCCTATAATCCCAGCTACTCGGGAGGCTGAGGCAGGAGAATTGCTTGAACCTGGGAGGTGGAGTTTGCAGTGATCCGAGATCACACCACTGCACTCCAACCTGGGTGACAGAGCAAGACTACATCTTAGGGAAAAGAAAAAAAAAGCCATTGTAAAGGACTATAGAAAATAATTCCTTGTTAAATATCACATTTACTTGTATATTCCTTGTTTGAATTTATTTTTTCTCAAAATGTCTTTATCAATTTGAATTTTTTTCCATTATAAAATTTATTCTTGAGTCTGTCAAGGTTTTCATCACCAGTAGCCCTCTGAAGCGTTTGTCAAAAGAATTGAAAAATAAGAAAGATGTGAATGAAGCTGTTTGCCAAATACAAAAGGAAGACACTGAAGCATCACTCATACTCTTACTTCCACTTCTAAGCCTTTAGATGTTAGATCTTTGAACATTTTGCTTCTAGCAAAAATCCCTAGGTAATTCTCACTGTGAGAAACAACTTACTTTTATAATTTTCCATCACTGTAACATATGATGTTTTCATTTAAAGTCTAATTTTTTTAATTAATAAAAAATACATTTTTTAAACTTCTGAACTGTACCAATGTTAGGAAGTTTCATAACGTTGAATCTATATAATTTTTTAATAGTTTTAAACCTTTGTTTCTAGTATATTTCTTATCAATAACATGTTGAGTGACTATAATATAATAGCCATTGAGGATAAAATAGAACCTAGCAGGCACTTCTTACCTCCAGGAAGTTGAGAATCTATTGAGGGAGTCAAACAATTCACTCATTTAGCGAATGCCTGGTCTGGGTTGAGCACAATTCTAGTTAAGCAAAATTCTAGATATTGGGAATAAAAATGGAAGATGAGGCAAGCTAATTGCCAGCCCTGATAAAGAATCATTTTCATGGGAGGAACATATAATAGAGAAGCCAAGTGTGAAAAAAAAAATGCAGTTTTTAAAATAGTGATGCATATTTTGAAATAAAGCAGATAAAAAGGATAGTAGTGATTGAGGAGGGGTCTTTTAACTGAGTGGTCAAAAAAAGCCTCGCTGACGAAGTCAGCTTTGAACAGATTTTTGAATGATATCACATATAAAGCGACACAAAGATCTCTGCGAGGGGTAGCGGGGAGGCGGTTAGTGAAACTCCGTCTCTACCAAAAATACAAAAAATTAGCCTGGTGCGGCAGTGGGCGCCTGCAATCCCAGCTACTCGGGAGGCTGAGGCAGGAGAATCGCTTGAACACAGGAGGTGGAGGTTGCAGTGAGCTGAGATCGCGCCGTTGCACTCCAGCCCGGGCAACAGCGCGACACTCCGTCTCAAAAAAAAAAAAAAACAAAACAAAAAAACAAAGAATTGTAAAGGCTCTGAAGTCACAATACAGACTGAAAGTTTCCATAACAAGGAAAATTCTAACCAAGAACAAAGAGACATAACTAACTGAGGCTTGAGAAAAAGTGACGGACTCCCTGTGGAATTGATACTTAATTTATTAACTCTAAAGAATAAGTTGGACTTAGTCTCCACAGTCCCAGACCTCAAGAACCTCATATTCCACAAGACAAACAAACATATAGACAGATGCACATGCAACAAAAATTAACAAAAAGTACAACATAGCATAATTGTGATGACAATGATACACATAGTAAATAAGTGGTTTATATGAAGGGAAGGATCATAAACAGTAGGCAGTTAGCCACGACTTCACAGGCGTGTCACTAAAATCGTGGAGAAAGAGCAATCCATGAACATCTTAAATGAAAATTCTGGAGCTGTGTTTTAAAGCATGAGTCGGAGTTTTCCAAACTAATTAAAGAAGATGCCTGGACTATATGAGGCACAAAGCTGACAAGGTGTGGAAAAAAAAAAAACAAAAAACTGCAAAAGTTTTGATGTGTATTGGCTGCTGCTTCCAGTAATGGTGATTTAAATACTTAGCGCAAAACCTCTTGCTGAGGACAATTAAAAAGCTACTAAAAATCGAGCAAAAAATAATTTCAAATAAAAAAATTCTACATGTTAATAAAAATAAGTGAAGCATTATTGGGCCAAGATACAGAAACTAATAAGAACTTAGAGGTTTATGCCCTAAAAGCTACTTTTGCTGTGAGAGCACTTGTCCTTCCTGAAGAACCAGCTGAGACACTCTGATCTGTGCCTTTGATAGATTCTTCAGAGGCAAAACTCAAAACTCAGAAGCAATCAAATTTGAGGACTTTGGTTTAACCCAAATTTAAGTGGAGATCCCAAAAGCAGAACCAGATGCAAAAGTAAAGAAATCCACACAGTCTAGCTTGTTTCCTGTGTGATCTGAGGAAGTCAAGTGTTGAACTTATAATGTGATTGCAAAGTAGAGTCCCAGGTGCAAAAGAAAAAAACATTTCAGGAGGCTGAAAACATTACTGTAGGCCATAGTGATTTCTAACGACAACAAAATCATTTCCTATATGTCTTAGGCCCAGCCAAGGGAAACAAGGTTCCTAAGGAAAGAAGATGCTGTTAGTAAAATCCAGAGGAGGCAATAAAATTAAGATATTAAAATAATCTGGCACAGATTATAAAGTAGAATACACTTACTATACACAAAGCAATGAAGGTATGGTATGAAAATATTAGCAGAAAACTGAAAACTAAAAATGATGTCAAAGTCAAATTTTTGTAAAAGGACCAGACAGATATTCTAGAAGCTAAAGATATGATAGCTGATTTTAAAACTAAACCAAACACAAAGCGAATTATAAAAATAAATGCGGAAAGTTTGAAACAAAAAACACATATAAACGTAAAACAGAGAAGGCCTACAAAGCAAAAAGTTCACTCAGAAAGTACAAGGACCTCTTAAAATTAAAAAAAAAAAATAAAGACAACACTATACTAAAATGTCAAGAGATTTGGACATATACTTCACAGGAAGGGTAATCCAACTGCCTCCTCAAACATAAAAATTATCTTAACTAGAAATCTGGAAATATAAATTAAAACCTACTATTAGATACTACTATATATCCATGATATTGGCCAAGAGTAAACAGTCTAAGAAGAATGTGGAATAACTGACAGTGCTCTTATTTTGCTGGTGGGAGTACATACTGATACAAGTGTCTTAGGTAAATTGGAAATACTTAGAAAACATGAAGATGCTTATAACCTCTGGCCCACTCCTAAAAATATACCTTAAAATGGAACATATTTTTACAACTGAGTATGCATAAGGATGATGACTATAGCAGCTTTGTTCATAACAGCCAAATAAATTGTGATATATTTATACAATTGTATATTAAACAGTGATGCACATTAACAAATTGGGAGAAGGGATTAGATTTATTTCAGGAAGAGGTCTTCTATAGTGCTATGCTGTATTTCTCAAGATGTCAGTTATATGAGCTTTCAATTTATTTTTGAAATATATATGTCATATATGAAGTATATATGAAATATAATTATAGAAAATAAATATATAAATGCATATATATATCAGATTACGCATCAGTGTTCAAGTTTCCATTTTTTCCTCAGTTTTGTAACATTTTGTTAAACTGACCTGATCTAGAATTGTTGATCATTTTTGTCTAAATTATTCAATTTTACCAAAGTCCCTTTCAAAACTTACTCCCTAAAACTTGATAAAATAATCTGTTGTTATCTCACCAGAATTGAGCAGAGTTGTACCCATCAACTAATTATATCAACCTCTACCCTATTAGATGCATGTCTGTTTTAATTCTTGTGGAGCTCTTGGTTGAATAAATTTTCTACAGCTTTATTTTTATGATGTTTAAAGCTATTGCCTCATGAACCCAATTAAAAATGAAAACAAGCCAAGAATTTACATTCTATTATAGAATATGCAGTGTAAACAGTAATGTCCTGAAGTTCTAAAGCCTAGTGTTACGTGTTGAATGTGCCTTTTGCTAGCCATGTAACCATAAACCAGTTATCTAAATGCCGTTAATCTCAGTTTTCTGACTCATGAAATGGTGCTAATAATACTATGCAGAGTTGTATTAATTTAATGAACCATAGAACATAAAAGTTTCACATTTGATGCTAAAACAATAGCTAACATTATACATACACCTAAGTATTTAAATAATGGTAATTCAGTTGTTCAAAATAAATTGTCATATTTATGGGACACTTGGTTGACTATAAGCATACATTTACCAAAATATATTTCATTCTAGTTTACTCTCTTTAAGAATATAAATTCCATAATTCAATACAGACCACATTATGAATAATAAGAGATATAGTAAATACTCTGATTTTTTTCTTACATTTATTTTTAAGGCAAAATCCTTTACTGTTGAATATAAAGAAGCTTTAATAAGCCTGCCTTGTTCCAAATTAGTGTGATGCTTTCTTATAAAATTAGATTATAGAACTGTGTGAAATAAATTCATACAGTTAATACATTTATCTTTAAGAGACCAGATGGTCAATTTAGCGTTTTTTAAAAAGATTTAAAATTTAAACCTTAAAGCCAAGTTCTTTCAGCATTATTTACAGTCTGTCTCTCATGCACCATAAATATTGCTTTAACTTAAATTAAATAATATGTGCATTCACAGTATACATAACTTAAATGAATTTTATACCATAGTTTTTCATGGTTAGTTGCTGTTTCTTCTTCACTTACTTTTTTTGAAAATAATAAATGTAATTTTACAAAAACAAATATTTATTAAACTTTGCTTCGGCTTATACTGGATCATATTGTATTTTATATCTGCTGATACTGTCAGTTTGTTTTTAAGATTTCATTTCTCTTTAACACAATAATTATTAATATCTATTTCCTTTTCAATTTTATAAATGCCACTACATTTGTGACGTCAACTACAAAGTCAATTTAAAAATCTAGAACATAAACTCCATGATGGCAAGGATTTGTCTTGTTCATGACACAAATAATTGGCACTAAATGGATCTTTGTTGATTGAATGAATGAATTATGTGTCTGACAGTAGCGGAGCTGACAGAAGCAGAGATGAAGGAGAAAATGTAATGACTGTCAAACGGGTGAACCCGAAGATGAAAAGACACTTTTAGCTTAGTTACTTTGATATTCACTCTAAATAACAGTCCGATTTTGCATGAGTTTTTGGAATGAAAACAGCTCTACTCCTAAATAATAAATGCATTAATTGCGCTCCTTATGAGTCCTGACAGCAGTCAGCTTTGTGGGTTTCTGATTTGATTCCAAGGAGTTGAGTGTCTCTCTGATTTATGTAATAGGCAGCAGTGTCATGAGGAAAGGCTTATAGGATAAAACTTCTTGAAGACAGGGACACAGATGGCTGCCTGTGAGTGTGTGGTGAGTGTTAATGAAAATGCACTGAACGGTGAAGGAAGGCCAGCAAACAACCACAGAAAGGTGCCCAGAGTATTTTTTTAAAGATATACTAGATACTTTTTTTTCCCTTCATGGACAGTTTTGCTCTGGCTATCTGCAAACACTTAAGGAAATTATGAACACAAGGTGGGCATTAAAGGATTAAAAACAACAACAACAAAAGAATTGATTAAATTATAAGGGTTCTTCATTGGTTTCAGCCATGCTTCTTTATGCGTAACTGCTTACCAATAAAATTATACAGGTGATTTTTTTCAAAGCGACCCTTTCAGACCAGGCTGTTAAACCAATACAAAGGGCCTGATGCAATGCTTTATATTGTCATCCAGATTTTCTACACTGATTATCCTGAAAACCATCCGTTCATAAATGTTCATACATTGAACTACCATATGCTAATTATAACCATACTCACTATATAATTAGTTTACTACTCTATTTTTATCCTACCAATTATTCCATCTCTTCAGTGTTTTGTGTCTCTTGTTTCTCACAGAAGTCAATTCATCACATATTAGGCAAAATGAAACAAAGAGCCATGGTCGTTCAGAAGGTGATTTGGTAAGTGTTTTTCAGAGAACATATTATGTCACAGACAAGGTATTTCTATAACATCATTCTAACACTTTCGTGTAATACTGCATACTTAGTAAGCTTTCATTCAACAGCCTGTCTTTACACATTTTTCTAATTCAAGAGTCAACCCTTCATAGCCCAGGCAAAGCCCACTCATTTTATGTGAAAATTGCTTTGACTGCCCAGTCCAATTTTGCTTTTAATTCACTGTTCCGGAAATCTAAAAGGACTTTTGGAATATTTTATAAAACGACATTTTGTCCCCCTAACCTATGGAGTCTGTATAAGTATTTGTTCAGAGATCTAAGCAGGAGTTTCAAACTGACAAAGAGCAAACAAACAAACAAACATATTGCTTGCTCCTTGTTATTCATCATTATTTTATCTACAGGAACCGCAAAAGCCAAGTCACAAAAGTTTGTTTTTTTCATTTTTTTTATTGGACTGTGCTCTTTTAAACTCATCTGGTGCCATGGACATAAATCCAAAGCAATTCATATAACACAACAATTCAAGGTGCTGCCCTTCAGAAATTTCACTGGTGGGGAGTCTTAGTCTCTAAAGCAGGTGAGTTTTGGAATCAAAACTGTGATCCCAGGCTTTGTTAACTGTTAAGGGCAGTCATCTCCAATCTACATAGTATCTGGCTTCCCATGCCCAATCATCTAATGCATCTTATTTTTATGTCCGTAACTCATAAAAAGCCACCCCTGTATTCCAGACACTCAGTCAAACCACCTTAAGAAACATTTTTTTAAGTATACACATAGTCCAAAAAAACTTAGTGTGCTAGAAACGTAGCAATTCCATAGCGGGAGCTGCATATTGCAGTACCTCTGCTTCCCTGTCTTTAGCTCCGTAACAACATGGCTATTACCAAGGAGGCAATGCTTTTCCTTTCAAAGAATTCTCTTAGCAGATCCTTAGCCAAAAAGCCAGAGAGCTGGCCTTCTGTTGATACATTGTTCTGCAACAGCTTTCAAAATTATTATTTTCAGTTGTTTTAGTACTTGTATCTATTAACTAAGATCTTTGTTGATTATGCCTGTTGCACTATATCAGGGACAAAATGTCAGAAGATAGAACATGAGCCAATCTTCCTTTCTACTGTACTTGTCCTGTTCCTGAATATATGAGCTCGCTTTTATTAGTGCTTCCTTGTGAAGTTCTGTAGTAGAAACGATAACGCCAACTATTTTTTTCCCTCAAAGTCAGAACAACTGATAGATGTGATTTATACTCAGTATAATCCAAAACAGTAGAATTTGGCACTCTAGTGAATTTTGGTAAATAAAACATCGCATGGGGCCTATGTCAATTATTTGGTAGTTTGGGCCAATTAACGTCTCTAAATGTTGGATACAATTTCTTCAAACGTCAAAAGCCTCACAAAATATTGAGCTTCTCACAATTTCTGGTGGGTGCAAGGCAAGAAATTCAGTTGATTCTTGAACAACGTAAGTTTGAATTGCCTGTGTCCCCTTATACATATATTTTTTTCAACAAAAAATAGTATTCATGGGATTTGAAACCAATGTATATGAGAATGGTTGACTTTAGTATACATAGGTTCCACAGGGGTGACTGAAGATCTTGATTATGCACTGATTTAGGTATATGTGGGGATCCTAGAACCACATATATCTGTGCATACCACAGGACAACTGTACATCACTTACTGAAAGGACGGAGTCCAGGTTGGCCACAGACCAAGAAAAATCCTGAATTCACTCTTTGGTGAGGACTTTGCGCTTTGCAACAATTATATTTCTTTCTAAACTAAATATTATAAATAGTTTTAAAATATTTTAGTAAAAAGTAAAACAGTTAATTTTCTCATCAGTAATAATACAGCATCATTTACAACAAGCTACCCTTCTCTTATGGATTAAACTGTGCTGGCACCACAAAACCAATAGAGAAAAATCACTTTTTTTCTGATCTTAATAAGCTTCTGTCAGTCTCCATGAGCCATCTGCTTTTCAAACCTGCCAAATCAGGCCCTTTTAAAAAGAATTAGTTAATTATTAATTCAATTTTATCTTTTTCTAAAACCACTTTAAGTTTTCACTGAAATATGCCTTTTTGCCTTCACATGTGCTTTATACTGATGGATCCTTAAGTGGTTGATACTAGCTCTGGCATCATCTAGAAAATAAAAATTCTAGAAAATAAATTATCTTTGTTGCATAAGTATTATATATGTATTATATTGTCCATTGGATTTCATCGATCTTATGCTTATTCATTAAAAATATTTCGAGTAAAGTTATTTATATATTTATATAAAATACGCTTTATAATTATGTGAACTAGTTAAATTTGTATTTTGCTATTGGGAAAGTTTTTGAGATATACACTGGATTGTTGAAGTAGGATTTAAGAATTGAGTTGGGAATCATTAATTTACAATTCATTCTGCACATTATAAAAGCTGATAAATTGGTAAATTCAGTTCACGGAGGTAGCTTACTTAATGAAATGCAGGCCCCTTAACCTTTTTGTAATTTAAATTACAACTGGGGATAAAATAATACCTATAATTAATTAATAATAAGGTACAAACTGAGTTTAATCAGGGAACTACCACACCTTTATCTTTATAAGTTCTTACAGTAATTTGCAAAGTAGCTTATTATTATGTCACTTTTACAGATGGGGAGATTTGAAGTTCAAAAATTAGTTTCTAATACTTGCAACTGCTTTATTATCTACATTTTTAATTATTCTCAAAATTATATGGGAAAAAATTTCAGATATGTAATCACATCTTAAATAATTACTTTTTTTTTTTTTCAGTTCGCTGGAGCAGAACAATGAAGGATTCAAAGATGAGACTGTTCTCCATTCTTAAGAATACAAGCACAGGGAGTTAACCAAAAGCCTCCACAAGGGCAAATTAGTAAGGACGGGAGGTTTTACTATACACTGCATAACCAAGTGACTGCTGAGTCAGCTGTGTAGATGAAAAAAGGCTTCAATGAGCAACTACTACTGCTGTTGAATTTTGTAATGTGAACAGTCTCATCTACCTGTTATTTCCTCAGAACTCTTATGTTTGGGTGCGAGTTTCCTAAACACTAGAATAAGAATATTGTGGGAAGAATAATTTAGTAAAAACAATTTTATTTATTATCCAGATATTGAGCAGACTATTTATGTATTCACTTGACGTATGAATTACCTGGAAATGCAAAGTATATTGAAGTCAACAGCATTTGTGTTTTTTTGTTCACTGCTATATATTTAGTACCAACTTCTTATGGGAAATTTAAAAAAATATTTGTTGGGTGAAGCAATTATTTTGTACTTAAGTATAGTTTTCTGAATTTCTACCTACACGTCCAGCACCAGTAGACACTCTGGGGTGGTAAAGTATGAAATTTAGCCTTCAATATCCTATAATTTAGGTCCTCATAATTATTTTGGAAGACAAATTCTAAAATCTAATGTGAAAGAATGTTTATAACCTGTACAGTGCCCATAGCCAGTGCTGTGGGAATTTACTTCAACAATCACAGTGATCATTTTAAATGCAAGCGAGATCATGTTACTCCGCAAAACCCTGGGATCCACAATTAATTCAATGTCAGAAACAAAGTCCTTTGGTAATGCTGGCATGATCTGAATCCCTTATTGACTCTTCAATCTCATTCGCTATTCCCCCACCACACATTTAACTCCCATCCACACCTACTGTCCTATTTTCAATTCCTGAAACATCGGAGATATTCTTGAGCCTCAGAACTGTTGCGCTGATGTTTTTCTTTTTCTAGAACACTGTTTCCCTAGACATCCACGTGGCTATTTCACTTTTTTCAAGTATTTTCACAACTAAGTTCTCAATGAGACATAACTGTTATCACTCAATATTAAATTGCTTATCGCCTCCCACAGAAATCTAGTTCTTTCTTTTTCTGATCTCTGTCTCCTTCCAATAACCATAACTTCTAATGCATTATAAGATTTATTCATTTCTTATTCTGTCTCTTCCACTAGTGTGTAAGCTCTATAAATTTAGGTACCTTTCTTTTTTTTTTTTTTTTTAGGTCTTCTAAGCATTCAGACCAGAGTCTAACTTTTAGATGGTACTTAGTAAACTTAAAATTATTTTTAATTTTGTCATTATATGGGATAAAATTGTGTTAAATGGCAACAAATGTTTGAAAGTACATTATATCTCATTTGTAAAAATGCACATCAGTATACTCACAATATTTGGAATATATAATTCAGCTATAAGCACCTGCCTATCAGTAACCTTATCTTATATTTCTTTGGGATTATTTTGCTAAGTACATTACCATCTGCCAAGTAAGTGCTCACAAAATACATGTCACATTCACTGAATAAACATGAGCCTTATTATTTCTAACAACTTCCATAAAACAAGCATAGTGTAAAATGTCGGATTTGATTGAGCCAGTCTTTCCTCATACTCCCATCTAATACAATGACAGCATAGCAAAGCACTCGGTAACAGACAGATGGTTTAAGTTCCTTAGATGTTAGCAGCATTGCTAATTATGCCTATTCAAATCTTTGCACATTTTCAGATAATATTACAACTCAATGACTTTCTCTTAAACCATTGGAACTAACTTATACAACTTTGGGTAGAATTTTGTTAAGTGTATGAGAGATTTTCTGGGGCATCATTTTTTTTAAAAAAAAGTCTGTTCATTATAAGCCACATACAGAATCTTCACATAGATATCTTCGTGTAGAGAAGGTACGGAATCTTCAGTGCCTGAGATAACCCTGGAGTTTCCTGGCAAATATCCTACATTGGTAAACTTGCAGTGCAAAGATAATGGTGGAGTGGAAAAATCATTTTCCGAAAAGTAACTTTATTCACCAGCAAATAATCAGTAAAAAGTGAAAATATTTTAAGAATGGGAATTTATTTTTTATTTTGTTTTTATATAGAAAGAAAAGCTGTTATACATGTTTAATATTAAATTTATCATATAATCCTTTCCTTTTATTTCAAAGAAATGTCTATTTAGTCAACTTTGTATATTTTTTTAAATAGAAGCATTTCTTTTTCATCCTGATTTTTGTAAGAAAGATCACTGTAACTTTACAGAAAAACCTTTAATTTCATACTATAAAGCTTTGGACTTCTTGCTACATTTAGTTCTTCTACTGGAAAAAAAGATAAACAATATCAGGGGCTTCCAAATCACAACTATATCTTCTGGCTCTGTAGTTAATGAAATAATAAATTATAGGCTACAGTTATGAATTACTGCATCAAATACCAAAGACACCTATTAAAATAAGATTTAAACATTTTCCATATTTGTATACCTTCAAACAGAAAGAACAATTTATTAAAGTGGGGTATATTCTGGAAACATTGTTATGTTGTTTTTCTTCAAATGTGATATTTCTTTGGGGAAAATTACTGCTTTTTGCTATTTCTCTAAAATTTGGTTTATTTGATTTAATTGACAAAGATCTTTCCTGTGGTAAAAGAATAAAGAAGGATGTATGGCTTATTTGATCTGATCATTATCAGATTGTGTTTTAAAGTGAAACAAAAAAATTAATATATTAAATCATATGAGCCATGCAGCCTTCAATTATTGAGAAAAATTTTAGTGACAGAAAATTAATTTCTCCAATTTTTTTCTAACCACTCTTCACTTTTTCACATATTGATTTTTCTGGGATTTGTTTTACTATATCATGATAGGTTGTACTCACATATCACCTTACAACAGAAATGTATCCCAAACATCACATGCAAAACAGAGCCCTCATTGCCAGTTTTTCTCCTTATCATGCTTTATTCTCTTTCAAGGAACTTGTAACCAAATGAAATGTTATTTTGTCTATTTGTTAATGATCTACGTTCCTTGTTTTCTCTATCCCATCCCCATTCATAAGCTCTTAGAGAACAGGGGCTTTGTTTTGTAACATATATCTAACATGTAGAATTTTCTGAGGCATGTAGAAGATGATCAAATGACTGTTGAATGAAACAAGTGTGCAGATACCAAGTAAAAATATTAAATCAATATGAACTTGCTCATTTTTCTGATTTTGTAAAGAATCATTTTACAACAATATTGTAATATAGTCAGTACCTATGACAGGAAAAACAATAGTCAATAAATTATTGTTTATATTGAACTGTTTATCATTATGCAATTCCCTTCTTTGTCTTTTTTAATCTCTGTTGGTTTAAAGTTTGTTTTGTCTGAAATTAGAATTACAACCCCTGCTGATTTCTCTTTGCCATTTGCTTAGTAGATTTTTCTCCATCCCTTTATTTTGAGCCTATAGATGTCATTGCATGTGAAATGGGTCTTTTGAAGACTGCATACCATTAGGTCTTACTTCTTTATCAAGCTTGCACTTTGTGCTTTTTAATTGCGACATTTAACCCATTTACATTCAAAGTTAGTATTGATACGTATGAATTTGATCCTGTCATCATGTTAACTGCTTATTACATAAGCTTGTTTGTGTGGTTGCATTGGTAACAAATGTCCTTAACA
The DNA here is from genome assembly GCF_000001405.40 of Homo sapiens. NCBI lineage: Eukaryota > Metazoa > Chordata > Mammalia > Primates > Hominidae > Homo > Homo sapiens. The sequence goes on along the minus strand of NC_000004.12, from coordinate 32,433,428 downwards.
TTTGCTTGTCTGAAAAGAATCTTATGTCTCCTTTGCTTATGAAGTTTAGTTTGGCTGGATATGAAATTATTGGTTGGGATTTCTTTTCTTTAGTAATGTTGAATCTCTTCCGTGATGTAGAGTTTCTGCTGAGAGGTCCACTTTTAGTCTAATTGGCTTCCCTTTGTAGGTGATCTGTCCTTTCTCTCTAACTGCCCTTAACATGTTTCATTCACTTTGACTTTGAAGAATCTAATGATTATGTGTCTTGGGGATGACCTTATTGTGAAGTATTTTGCAGGGGTTCTTTGCATTTCCTGAATTTGAATGTTGGCCTCTCTAGCTAAGTTGGGGAAGCTCTCATAGATGATATCTTAAAACGTGTTTTTCAAGTTGTTTCTATTCTACCCATCTCTTTCAGAGATGCCAGTGACTCATAGATTTTGTCTGTTTACATAATCCCATATTTCACAGAAGTTTTGTTCGTTCTTTTTAATACTGTTTTATTAACTCTTGTCTGATTGTCTTATTTCAGAAAGCCATTCTTCAAGATCTGAGGTTCTTTCCTCAGCTTGATCTATTCCTACGTTAATACTTGCAATTTCATTATAAAATTCTTGTAGTAAGTTTTTCACCTCTATCATGTCAGTTACACTCTTTTCTATACTGGCTATTTTGTCTGTTGAATCCTGTATCATTTTATTGTGATTCTTAGCTTCTTTAGATTAGGTTTCAATGTTCTCTTGAATCTCCATAATCTTTGTTCCTATCCATATTCTGAGTTCTATTCCTGTCATTTCAGATATCTCAGCTGGGTTAAGAACCTTGCTGGAGAACTACTGTGGTCATTTGGAGGAAAGAACACATTATGGCTTTTTGAATTGTTAGAGATCTTGTGCTGGTTTTCTCTCATCTTTGTGGGCTGATATTCCATCAATCTTTGAAGTTGCTGTCTTTGGCTGTTTTTTTTTTTTTTTCATCCTATTTAATGACCTTGAGGGTTTGAGTGCAGTATAAGGTGAGTTTAGTCAACTGGCTTCAATTCTGGAAGATTTTAGGGACCCAAGCTCAGAACTCCTGGACTACATGCTCTATCTAACTCTGGGGGACTGATATTAAGTTCCTGCTTTGTTCTTTGGCTTCTTGAGGTTGGGGACCTACTGCACCAGTATGGCTGAGGTGTTCCTGGACCGCTGGTCACAACATTCCAAGGGGTGGTGCCAGCACTTCATAGGGTGGTAGCAGTGGGATCCATCCTCATTTGCGTGTGCCAGTAGCAAATGTAGCTGCAGTATGGTAGGATGTACACTTGTCAGCTGCAGCAGGATGTAGGGGCCCACCTAAAGGTAAAGGGTGGAAAGAGAGAGAGGAGGGGAAAAAATAACAATTGGGTAGTAGGCTTAGTACCTGAGTCATGAAATAATCTGTACAACACACCTTCATGACACTAATTTACCTATATGAAAAACCTACACGTGTATCCTTGAACCTAAAATGTTTTAAAAAATAATAAAAACATAAAACATACTATTGCTAAAAAATTATTGTTCATAATATTGTGAACAATTGAAGTAAAAAACAAGTGAAAATGTAGGCGAATACATGACACTATGTAAAAATATTTTTAGAATTTAGGCCTCATATACAAATATCTCCATATATACACATATAAATATATATCATATATAAAACATATAAATATATGGAAATATATACATATAAATATATATCATATATAAAACATATTTTTAAAATTTGACATATACATGTAAAGATAACCATAACTATTTACTAATTTACTGATATTAGGAAATTATATGTTTAAAATATGTATAGATTCAAAATTTAGACTTTCTTAGAAAATTTAGTTATAGGAACAGGTGTGTGTAGATGTACAAATGTAGGGATATCGATATAGGTACGCAGAGTTAAGTACTAACATATACAAGAAATATAACTCTTTAAAAAAATATTTAATTATGCTTTTAGTTCTCGTTTAATGGGGTTAGTAAAAAATTTGATCTGGAGCCTCTCTGCATCCCCTAGAAATCTAGTGGTTATTGCAGTTCTAGAGCTATGCTTTCATAAGAAAATTTTTAAAAAAATGTTTAGAATACCATTTGTCTATATGCATCAAGTAGCTATTACTCTTTGGGGTTTTATCACATTGTTAAGGCAGAGCAAAGTATGAATACAAAGCTCTCACAGTTCTTTTGCCTCTCTCCCAACATGGCACAATCACTATTATTGGAGAAAAACACACTGTGATGGTTAATACTGAGTGTCAACTTGATTGGATTGAAGGATGCAAAGTATTGCTCCTGGGTGTGTCTGTGAGGGTGTTGCCAAAGGAGATTAACATTTGAATGGGTGGACTGGGAGAGGCAGACCCACCCTCAATCTGAGTGGACACCATCTAATCAGCTGCCAGCTCAGCTAGAATAAAGCAAGCAGAAGAAGGTGGGATAAACCGACTTGCTGAGTCTTCTGGCCTTCATCTTTCTTCCATGCTAGATACTTCCTGCCCTCAAACATCAGACTCCAAGTTCTTCAGCTTTTGGACTCTTGGACCTACACCAGTGGTTTGCCAAGGGCTCTCGAGCCTTCAACTGCAGAGTGAAGGCTGAACTGTCGGCTTCCCTACTTTTGAGGTTTTGGTTTTGGGACTGGCTTCCTTGCTCCTCAGCTTGCAGACCGTCTATTGTGAGGCCTCACCTTGTGATCATGTGAGTCAATACTTCTTAATAAACTACCCTCATATATACATCTATCCTACTAGTTCTGTCCCTCTAGAGAACCCTGAAAAATACACACGTTACCTGCTTTCAAACTGTTCTGCTTATTCCAAGAAAATTATCACTACTTGCCATGCCTTCTGCAATACAATGACTTTCTTCAGAGTCTTAGGTGTTGAGAAAACAGAATATTTTGAATGAAATTTTGCTTTCAGACATATTACCTTGCCTGAACCAACATCTTACAGAAATAACTACTTTCTTGAATGGAGTATGGTGGAATGAAACTACAATGCAGAGAGAGAATATACATATACATATACATATACATATACATATACATATACACATATTTCAAAACACCTTCCAATCATATGCAAGGATAAAAATATTTGTAATATAAATATATTTGTAAAATTCATTTGTTACTTCTTTAAACCTAGTAAAGGAAGCATATAACTCTAGTTAAAGCTTAGCTCTCATTAAAGGTTAGATTAGTGTTAAAAGATATTTAATCAAAGTTGAAAATTTTGAAGATTTTAATTTTACAGCAATATTTTCCTGAACTAACATACGAAATTTCAAGACGATGGGCTTTCCTTCACATAAAAAGCACTTTGTAAGCTTCCATGTGTTCTCAGACTATATTCTGACTTCTACATTACACAAAAATGTTCGTAAGCATGTTGAATGCTCATGGAAGCTTGAGTTAATTTCTTTCTTTGTCATGCATCAGCTGGCCAGCTTGAGTTGGTTACTAAAACTACCTAAATAATGTGCTCTGCATTGGTAAAATATATTTGTCCTTATTCCTGAGACTAAGTAAATAAACGCATAAAGCATATATAAAAATATAAATATAAAATAAATGTAACATATTTGTTGATGAAACTAAATAAAACACCTTTAATTCATAAATAATACATGCAAATAAATTAGCTCAATGCCCTATATAAAATATGTATATACTAAATATTTGTGTAAATAAACTTTTCTTTTATAAGCCTATTTTATATTTATTAATATATATATGAATTAAAGTATGGTTGTGTGTGTGTTTATATGTCACTACCTAATTTATGCATGTTTTATCTGTCAGGTTATTTTCCTGAGATCTATTTCCTGGCCGAGAGATTTTTCCTGTCTCAGAGAAGTTAAGAATAAGTTGTGTTCTTGACAAGAGATTCTTATTTTGCTATAATTATGCAATACAACAATACAGTTTAACCTGTTTCCAGCTCATGTTAATTCAAACAAGGAATCCATTATCCATTTTCAAAGACAGTTAGGATAAATGTGTTAGTTTTGCATGATTTACGTTGGATCAAGGCAGAGTCTTTATCTACATAGTTTATTTTATTCTTTGTTGGACAATGATAACCATTTCCTGTTGGCAAAAGCACAACATTCTGCTTCTCTTTCTTAATGCAATTATCTTACATTCATTGGAGACAAGAGGCATAACTATTTGAAAACTCCATTATTTTCTCTTGCTTTATGCCCAAAGCATATAATGTAATCCATACAATAGAAAAGAATTACAGCAGTGACGATTACATAAGCTTAACTGCAGATCATGGGATGAGTAAAAATGAGAAGAAATTACATATCTGTATAAACAATAAAAATATTAAATGACTGTATTCCTGTAAACATCTGATTAAACATCAAAAATTAAAATTACTATTACCATACCATGAAATGCTATTTGGATTCTGCATATCAAATCTTACATTTATTATTGCAGTAACTGGATACATGTAAAATAGATATGATTAGCAACCCTGCCACTCTTAAGTCATTATCCAAATAATGCTTTGATTGTACTTTTTAAGGACCTTGTACAGAAAGAGTTTTTATATCTGCCAACCAGTATGGTATTTGTAACAACAAATCTATAGTCTGTTGTTTTTTATTTAATCAGTGAAAAAATATAATAAAAAAACTCACATATTCTATTTAGATATAGCAATTAGATTTATTCAGTAGTACTGTTGGATTTCATTTGGTTGTGTTATATTTAATACTTGAATGGGAATACTTAATTATACTAAATAAATGTTGTATTTCTGATCCAGATGGTATTATAAGTCACCATTTTTGCCTCTTCCACCACTGTTGCACACTGCCATGACAAAACCATAGCAATGGTAGATAAACTAATATTTTAATATTTAAAAATTATTATGCACAAAATGATTTCCTCAAAGAAACTATACATAACAGTGAATGGTGCTGAAGCTACTTTTCTTTGAGTTGTACGTTCATACAAAGTAAAATATCACCTGAGGATCCACTTTAACTGAATAGTGGAAAAAAAAATGCCCCATGTTAATTAAAGCAATGAAGTCCATATATACACACACACAGACACACACACACACACACACACACACACACACACATATATATATGTCACAGGCTTAATGACGATGTGGCTTAAACAGATCAGCATGCCCCTCACAATCAGGTCCTGTATTAGACCTTAGAATTTTTTTTTTTTTTTGAGACAGAGTCTCACTCTGTTGTCCAGACTGGAGTGCAGTGGGAAGATCTCAGTTCACTGCAACCTCCTCCTCATGGGTTCAAGTGATTCTCCTGCCTCAGCCTCCCGAGTAGCTGGGATTATAGGTGTCTGCCACCACATCTGGCTAATTTTTGTATTTTAGTAGTGATTGGGTTTCACCTTCTTGGCCACGCTGGCCTCGAACTCCTAACCTCAAGTGATCCACCCACCTCGGCCTTCCAAAGTGCTGGGATTACAGACGTAAGCCACGGGGCCCGGCCAAACTTTAGACTCTTTAATAATTGTATTTGCTGTATTCCAAGGTTTCTGAAGAACATTTTTTATGATAGATGGATACAAACCCTTCTCACCAAGGTTGTTCAAGTTAAAATTATGAAACACATGTAGTTCTTCAATACAAAGCTCTTAATGTTACACTGGGGATTACTCTGGACGTATTTCTCATTCTAGCTGTCAAGAGGAGGGGGAGGAAAGCTCACGGAGGAGAGGTTATAGAAAGTTTTTATGAACATAGTGCCAATTTTCCGTCTATAATCTATTGACTAGAATCGAGTGACAAATAACAAGAAAGGCAGACAAATGTAATCTAGCTGTATAAAGGAAAGGATGTGAATTTCAGGGAGCAGCAGCCAGCAGTTTCTATGACCTGCTAAAAAACATTACCACTAATAAGGATTGCTCACAAAATCTGTCATCAACACGTGAATTGAATCCAGATGAAATGAACATAATGAAGTGCCCTGAGAAATGACTTTACATAAGTAAATAGGCATCTCATATTCTATCTTGAAAATCAGATATTCTATACAAAAATATGCAATTGAAAGGTTTTTAGTATCTTATGGGAAGAAAATAATGTGTTGTACAACAACCTAAAAAGTCTAACCAATTTTATAAAATTTGACTGGAACACAATAATATTCTTTATATAAATAATAAATTATAATGTCAGAAACTAATCTTTACATTTTTGCACCTGATTATCAGGCAATGAATACAGTTTTTGAAATATTTACCCAATAATGTGTTATCTGAACAATTGTGATTTGAATAATAATTTGATACTATTTTTTGCTCTGTTTTGCTAATATTTTCCACACAATGAATGTAATCGCTATATTTTCATGATGTAAGTTTTCTTCTATATACAACTGATTATTAACATAGTGAAGGAATTCAATTCTACAAATTAAAAAAAGTCATAATTACAGATGAGAATATTACACTTTACTCTGGAATATGGTTACTTAACAGCACATTTTTTTCGAATGTTTCTTTTGTACTGTATGAGCTACCCTGAGAGTGTTGCTCTATCACTTAGAATGACCTGAGAAACACTCATTAAGAAATAACCAGTGAAATCAACAAGATGTCAGACTAGCAGGCCAGCAGGTTCCCGTGCTTATCTCCCCCATAAGAACAACAAAAACAACAAAGAAATAACTACCTGTTGATGAATGTAACTGTGAAATATAAGAGAGAGCTCCAGAGTACAGCAGAGAAATAGCAGAAATGCTATGGAGTGCAGAAACAAAGGCCGACCAAATAGAAGAGTAAGAAACCTTTTGTCTGCAGCAAACACTCCACTCTCCAGTCAGGATCAACAAGGATCCAAGAATGATTCACCCATCCAAGAAAAAGGTAAGCAAGAAGGCCTTAGTAGCCCTCAACACCACTGTGGGGGAACGAATCATAATTTCCAAAGCACACAATGCCAAACATCATAATCCCAAATGTTGAAATCCTAAAAGATTCAACTCCCTGAAGTCTAAAACCCTGAAAATCACAATTTCAAATGATCAAATTATTGAAAACATAATTCTGGAAAGTGCAATTAAGAAAAAAATTTAAAGATATTTTTATTTTTACAACAAGAAACTTAAAACATAGGAGAACATAGGCCACTTTACACAATTCTGTTAGTCCATTTTCACACTGCTACAAAGAACAATCCGAGACTGAGTAATTTAAAAAGAAAAGAGGTTTAATTGACTCACAGTTCTGCAAGGCTGCGAAGGCCTCAGGAAACTTACAATCATGGCGGAAGGCAAAGGGGAAGTAACGCACGTCTTACCTGGTGGCAGGAAAGAGAGAGCAATGGGGTAAGTGTCACACTTTTAAACCATCAGATCTCATGAGATCTCACTCACTATCACGAGTACAGCATGGAAGAAATCACCGCCATGATCCATTCACCTTCCACCAGATCTCTACCCTGACACATGGGGATTACAATTTAAGATGAGATTTTAGTGAGGAAACACAGCCGAACCATATCAATAATAAAATAGGCAAAATAACATATATTTTTGCATAAATAAACATTTAGGTATACCAATGACAGTTATATGGGTATAACAGTTATGAGTAGACAAGCCATATTCATAAAGACATAAGTCAAAATTCAAAGTGCATAAACAAGTATCACTATGGTTGTTAGTTGTGTGTGCCCATCTTTATGGCAGCAGTCATCTGAAATACTGAAATACAGTGATGGACAACCTAAGCATTTGGAAAAGATTGATAAAAAACCATGATGGATCACCACTGCATAGCCACACCAGTTGCCCAAAGACCCAAGATTTTTAAAAATTTTATTTTTCACAAAAGCGGATATACAACAAAAAAGCCTCCTCAGCTAATCGAGGAAGTTTCAATGTCTTTATGTACATGCAAAATACATGGTCACAAAGTAAACATTGTGATAATATGCTTTTATAAAATCACCTTGTAAAAAAATACATAAAATGTGTCAGAACTCTGTAAAAGTCTTTACATGATTCATACCTTTACTATTAGAAATGACAAAAATATAAACCACAGAGCATAGCAAATGGCAAAAAATAATGCTGACAATATAAAATATTTTTTTAAAAACTAAAAAAAACTAAAAAGAAAATTTGTCATGTAAAAACGTGTATTACAGAGATAATCCATAAGAAATGAACAACTTTCATGATCATTAACTATGTTTTGTAGTCTTGCATTCATCATGATGAATAGCTGCTTTATTTGCTTAAGACATGTCTCTCCTCAGAGCATACGTTTACATTCATTTTCTGTGTGACACTACTCTTTTTGCAGTTCTTCTATGATTTAACATACACTGACATGAACCTTCCTGTCAAATTTTTCCATCTTACGTGCCATGGTTCTTTGTTGTTTGGGGTATGCAGAAATCCACACCCCATGCACATGTAGACCACAGATTTGGTGGAAACAATACGGTGATCTAACAGCAAACACCATTGCCTAAGTGTCTTCTTATCCTACCATGTACACAATTATTTACAAAACAGTAACTTCAGTCGCTTCTTCAGGCAAATGCACCTTTAATTCATTAAGAGCTCCTGGAATGTCATCAGCTGAGAGGAATGTCAATGCAGGCAAATGACGCATTTTTAATCTGAAGTTTTCATATCACATGGCTAAACCATTTATCTGAATGTTCTACCAAATGCATCAGAATAAATGGAAAAAACGATCTTTATTAGTAACACTTTGAAATTTACTTTAGAAGACTTGGTAGCACCTAATTCCAAATCTGTTGTTATATTTTGGGTATTGAATTGAAATTTATTTTCCTCTGCATGAAGACAATAACAAGGTACTACTAGTCCAGCCTAACATGATGCAACTATCTTGTGATTATGATTTTCAATCTATTAGACATTAGAGATTTAGAATTTAAAGACTTTGCTCTTTAGGGACTATGATTTTTCCAGATTTCAACATCAGAGAATATGGCATTCAGTATTATGTCTTTCAAGATTATGATCCAAACTCCAACTGAGGATACCTGTAGCATTTTGCCACTGGGAACTCTTCAAGAGCTCTTCAAGTGCAGTCTTCAAGAGCACTGAGCCCAACTGAGGGAGCTTTCCAGAACCTGCTGGAAAAAGTAGCACTGCTGGAAAAACTAGCACTGCTGATGTACTGTGCTGTGCTGGACTCCCCGGACCAGGGTAGATTTTGCACCCTTCCATCCCTGGGGCCTCGTTGCCACTGCACTCCTCCCTACCTGTCTGGGGTGCATGATATCCCTCCATCCCTGGCATGAGTAGCTGCTGTACCCCACCCCTATGGTCTTGGGTCAATGCATGCCCTTCCCTTTCTGGAGCCTGAGTTGTGATGGAGCCTGTAGTCCCAGGACGGGAGTCCTCACTGTGTTACGCTGCCCCATCCAGGGAGGCCTGAGCTGCTGCAGCATCAGCATTCCCAGGAACCGATATAATTGCTGCACTGCACCCTGCTACTCAGGTCTGTAGTGCCCCACTTACCCAAGGACCAGAATTGCTGCTGAGCTGTGCCCCACCCTCCAGGGCCTGCATTGCAGTTTCACCCTTACTCCTGAAACTGAGCTGCTACAAAGTCACATTAATCTTGGAGCCACACCCCTCAGAGGCAGAGTCACAACTGTGCCCTGCTATTACTGGGGGCTTAATCATGCTGTACCTCACACCCTGGAAACTGAGCCACAGCTGTGCCTCAACATTCCTAGGGCCTTACTGCCACTTTATTCTCCCACTGTGGCCTAAGCTACTGTGGTGTCTGGTATCCCAGGAAATGAAATCACCACTGTGCAGGGCCCTGCCTACTGGGGCTCCAATTACCACTGTGTCACAATCCCAGGGCTGCGCTGCTGTGGAGCCGTATCAACCCTAAGGCCCAAGTCACTTTGATAGCCCACCAACCTTGGGGCCTCAAGGCTGAGGCATCATACCCACCAGAGTCTGAATGACCAGAGTGCTGCAGCACCACAGGGATCGAAGTGCTGCCTCCTGCCCTTCAGGGCCTCAGTCACAGGTACACTTATACATCCCTGGGAACTAAGTTGCCCCTGCTGTCTTCCTCTGAAGGCTGAACCACCAAACTATCCCTTAACCCTAGGGCCATGCCACTGCTGTATCCTGCTCCCTGAAGTCTGACCACAGCTATACCTTTTTGGACTCTAACCAGTGGGTCTGAGCCACCAGGGTATGCCTCAGAGTCTCAGACCATGAATTCATGGATGACCTGTACATGTCCATGTGTCAATGAGTATGCCCACATCCCAGGACTCAGGTGCTACAGTAGTCTAAAAAGGGTGACTACTTCATCAAATGAACAGATACAAAGCAACAAGAAACAAAAAAATCAAGAAATTATGACATTACCAAAGTAACACAATAATTATCTAGTACTTAACTCCTCAAAATGCGTATCTACAAATTGCCTAAAAAGAAATTCAAAATAATTATTTTGAAAAAGTCGCTTAGATACAAGAGCACACAAATAAACTAAATGAAATCAGAAACACACTACATGAATAAAATGGGAAGTTTAACAAAGAGATAGAAGTTATAAATAAGAACCCAATGGGAATCCTAGAGCTGAAGAATATAATCAGTAAAATGAAAAAAAAAATGCAATAGAGATCTTCAACAGTAGACTTGATCAAGCAGAAGGAAAATAATTGCAAACTCAACAAGTTTTGAAATTACCCACTCAGAAGAAAAAAGAGAAAACAAATGAAGAAAGCCTATAGGACTTATGGGACACCATTAAGTGAACCCATTATGCATTATGGAAGTTCCAAAAGGAGAATGACATGAGAAAGAAGTAGAAAGTATGTATCAAAAAATAATGGCTGAAAACTTCCCAAATCTTAGGAGACATATGAAGTACAAATATTTCTAAACAACTTCAATCCAAAGATTTCTGTCCTGAGGCACATTATAATCAAACTGTCTAATATCAAGAAAATGAGACAAGAGAAAATCAATATTTTACATACTTGGGAATCTCCATAAAGCAGTCAGTAGATTTCAAAGGAGAAACTTGCAGGCTCAGAGCAAATGGAATGATACAGTACTCCCCGCTTATCTGCAGGGAATATGTTCTAAGACCCTTCAGTGAATACCTAAAGCTCCAGATAGTATGAAACTGTATATATACTATCTTTTGTCCATACATCCATACTTATAATAAAGTTTAACTTATAAATTAGGCACAGCAAGAGATTAACAATAATAAAATAGAAACAATATAATAATATACTGTAATAAAAGTTACATAAATGTGGTCCCTCTCTCTCAAAATATCCTTTTATTCTGCTAACACATTTAAGGCCCTTTTCATCTGAACAAGTAAGCACTTGTTTGCTGTGGCTGCAACTTTGCAGTTTCAGGTGGGAAAACAAAACTAGCACAATAGATTTTCCTTCTTCAAAATTTGACAGATAGAACATTGATTTTTTTAATCATAGATTTTTGCAACTTCCAACATAACATTGTTATTATTTTTTTACTAAGTGGAGAACTTTCATCTTTTCACTTAACAGCATTTTATGGCTTCTCTTTGGCATACCCAACTTCTAGCATTACCACTATTGCACTTTTAGGCCATTGTTAAGTAGAATTAGTGTTACTCAAATACAAGCACTGCAATATTGTGACAGTCTGTCTTGATAACTGAGATGGCTACAAAGTGACTGAAAGATGGGTAGTGTATAGAGGATGGATCCACTGAACAAAGTGATGATCGCATTCAAGGTGGAACAGAGCAAGCTTTTATCACATTACTCAGAATGGTGTGCGATTTAAAATTTATGAATTGTTTATTTCTGGAATTTTCCATTTAATATTTTCTGACTACAGTTGACTACAGATAACTGAAACCACAAAAAGTGAAACCACAGATAAGGAGGGACTAATGTATATACAAAGTCTTGAAAGAAAAAAAAAGTATATGTCAAATAAGAATACTTTACCTGACAAAGTAGTCCTTTAAAAACAAAAGAGAAATACAGTCCTAGACAACAATAACAACACAAAATAAAAAAAGATAAAGGAGTTATTCAGTACTAGACTTGCCTTACAAGAAATATTAAAGGGAGTTCTTCAAGTTGAAATGAAATAATGTGAATTACTAACTTGAAAAATGTGACAGTATGAAATTCACTAGTAGAGGAAAATATACTCCTAAGTTTAGAATAATATTGTAATAGTGATGTGCAAATCATTTTAAACTACAGAATAAAGACTAAAAGACAAACGCATTACTAGTAACAAAAGATATAACATTTCCTTAGTGGGTACATAATATAAAAATATTTTAAGTTGTTACATCAAAAAAATATTTTAAGTTTAATGTAATAACGTAAAGGAAGAAAGGAAGGAACACTTGAAGTATAGAATTTTAGTATAAAATCAAAGTTGCTATTCAGGTGAAATACACTGTTATATTTACATCATATGTTATGTAATCATCATCATAACTAATATGATTTGGCTCTGTGTTCCCACCCAAATCTATCTTGTAGCTCCCCTAATTCCCATGTGTTGTGGGAGGTACCTGGTGAAAAATGATTGAATCATGGGGGCAGGTTTTTCCCATGTTGTTCTCATTATAGTGAATGGGGCTCATGAGATCTGATGGCTTTAAAAACAGGAGTTTCTCTGCACATGGTCTCTCTCTTTGCCTGCTGCCATCTATGTAAGATGTGACTTGCTCCTCCTTGTCTTCCACCATGATTGTGAGGCCTCCCCAGCCATGTGGAACTGTAAATCCAGTAAACCTCTTTCTTTTGTAAATTGACCAGTCTCATTTATGTCTTTAACAGTAGCCTGAAAAATGGACTAATACAATAATAGAGAAAGTAATCAAAGCATATCAGTCAGAAAAAGAAGAGAAAAGAAGAAAGTGTCTACAAAACAAACAGAAAACAATAAACAAAATGGCACTATTAATCCTTTCTCATCAATAATTACGTTGAATGTAAATTGATTAAATTATCTACTCAAATGTGATAGAATGGCTGAATAAATAAAAACCATGATCTAACAATATCTTGCCTACAAGATACTCACTTCTTCAGGATAAACCATGTATTAGGACACCAAACATGTCTTACAATTTAAGAAGATTGAAATCATACCAAGTACCAAGTATCTTTTCTGACCACAGTGGTATGAAATTAGAAATCAATGATAGAAGGAATACTATGAAATGAACAACTATGTAGAAATTAAACAACATGTTTCTGAATTGTCAATGGGTCAAAAATCAAAAAAGAAGCTCGAAATATCTGAAGACAACTGAAAATAGAAACACAGCATTTTAAATCCTATGGGATACAGCAAAAGCAGTTCTAAGAGGGAATTTTGTGGTGCTAAATGTCTGCATTAAAAAAGAAGAGAGATCTGAAATAAACAACATAATATTACATCCCAAGAAGCTAAAAAAAAAACAAATTAAACTCAAAGTTATGAGAATGAAGATAATGATAAAGATTAGGGTAGAAATAAATCAAATAGAGAATAGAAAAACTGCGAAAAAAACAACAAAACTCAATTATTTTTAAGACCAAACAAATGTGACAAACCCTTATCTAGATTGAGAGAAAAAAATATTAAATAAATAAAGTCATAAATGAAAGAAGGCACATTATAATGGAAGCCTCAGAAATAAAAAAGAACATAAGGGACTAATATAAACAATTATATCCCAACAAACTGAATAAACTAGAAGAAATGGATAAATTTCTGGAAACATACAACTGAACAAGATTAAAACATGGAAAAGTAGAAAGCCTGAAAAGACAACAAATAAAGATTGTGAAATAGTTATTAAAAACCTCCCAACAACATTTTAAAAATCTAGTATCAGATGACTTCACAGGTGAGTTCTACCAAACATTTAGAAGATGAGTACTAGTCCTGCTTAAACTCTTCCAAATATATAGCAGAGAAACAATCACTTCTAAACTCATGTTATGAAGCAAGTATCAACTTGATATCAAAGCTAAACAAACACACCACAGAGGAAAAAGATTACAGCCCAATATCTCTGAAAAAAAGATTTACAAAAACCTTCAATTAAATTCTAGCAAACTGATTCAACAAAACATTAGTGATTATATATTATGACCAATTGAAATTTATTCCTGTAATGCAAGGTTGTATTAACATGTAAATCAATCAATGTGATACTCTACATTAACAGAATAAAAGATACAAATCACATGATCATCTTAAGAGATACAAAAAAATCATTTGACAAATGTCAACATGCTTTTATGTTAAAAACTCTAAGCAATTTCAGTATAGAAGTAAATTTTCTCAACCATGATAAATGACATTTATAAAAATATCACAGCTTTTTACTCCCACAAAGGTAAAACTAAACACCTTTTTTCTGACATTTAGTAGTACAAGGCAAAGATGCCCATTCTCACCAGTTCTATTCAGCATAGTACTGGAGGTAATAGCAAGCACAATCAGAGAAAAAAAAAAAAAGAAAGCGAGAGAGAAAGATAGAAGAAAGAAAAAGAAAGAAAGAAAGAAAGAAAGGAAAGAAAGAAAGAGAGATCAGACAAAATGTAAAGGAAGAAATAGAATTATTTCTATTTGCAAATGGCATGATTTTACACGTAGAAAACCCTAAAGAATCCACAAAAACATTTATAATTAGTAAATGATTTCAGTAAAGTTGCAGTATGCAAAATCAACATACAAAAATCAGTTGCATTTATTGTTATACCAATAACGGAAAAAATACATCACCGTAATATACTGAAAAGAAATCAACCAACAATGCTACTTATAATGTCATCAAAAGACTAAAATTCTTAAAAAAGAATTTATCCAAAAGGTAAAATGTCTGTACATTGAAAAATATAAAATACCAGTGAAAGTAATTGAAATGGACACAAATAAATGAGAAGATTCCTATGTTTGTGGATTGAAATAATTGTTAAAATATCTATATTACCCAAAGCAATATACAGATTCAATGGAATCCCAATCAAAATTCTAATGACCTTGTTCAGTGAAATAGACAAAATTCTAAAATTTGTATAAAACCTCAAGAGATTTCAAATAGCCAGAGAGCAAACTTGAAAAAGAGAAATAGTTGGAGGCGTCAGACTTCCTAATTTTAAATGGTATTATAAAGCTGTAATAATCAAAACAGTATAATAATGGCATAAAAACAAACACATAGACTGATGGAACAGAATAGAGAGCCCCAAAATAAATCCATGCATGTACAGTCAACTAATTTTTGAGAAGGACACCAAGAAGACACATGGGGAAAGGATAATCTTTTTCAATAAATGATATTAGTATACTGGATATCCACATGCAAAAGAATAAAGTTGGATCTTTAATGCCACAAATGTCAACTCAAAATAAATTGAAGACCTACACATAAGGCCTGAAACCATATAATTTCTAGAAGTAAACATCAGAGAAAATTTTCTTGACATTGGCTTTGTCAATGATGTTTTGGATGTGATAACAAAAGCTCAGATAACAGAAGAAAAAAATAAACAAATGGAATTACATCAAACTACAAAGCTCCCCACAAGAAAGTAAACAAACAACAGAGTGAAAATGAAGTTTATGTATTGGGAGAAAATATTTGCTAACCATATGTCTGATAAGTGGTTAATATTCAAAATATATAAAGAAGTTGTACAACTCAATAGCAGTTAATTGATTAATTAATTAAACAAAAAACTCATTTTAAAAATGTGCAAAGGACTTGAATAGACATCCCCTGAAAGAAGACATATAATTACCAATACGTACATGGAAAGGTTCTCTAAATCATTGGAGAAATACAAGTCAAAACTGCAATGATATATCACCACACATCTGTTAGGATGGCTATTACTTCAAAAACAAGAAATATCAATTTTTGAGAGTCAGCAGAAAAGAAAACCCTCGAACATTTTTAGTAGGTATGTAAATTGGTACAACTATTATGAAAACAGTATGGAGGTTCCACCAAAACAACTAAAAATGAAGCTATCAGGTGACCCAGCAACCCCTCTGGAAATAAAAATTTTGCTCAAAATAAATAAAAATCAGCACCTCATAGGGGTATCTGCCCTCTCATGGTCATTATTGTATTGCAGTTGCAAAGATAGAGAAACAACATAAATAGTCATCGATGGATGAATGGTTGAAGAAATGTGGTATATACCTACAAGGAAATATTATTCAGCCTAAAAGAAAAAAAAGAGGAGACTCTACCATTTGCAACAACATGGGTGAACTTATGTTCAGTGAAATAAGCCAGATAGAAAAAAAAATTACTGCATGTTCTCATACATATATGAAATTTAAATAGTAAGTCAAATACATAGAAACAAGAGGATAGAATAGTGGTTACTATAGATGGGGTGGGGAGAGAAAAGAAATGGTGAGATGCAAGTCAAAGAGTAAAAAGTTGCAAGTTATGTAGGGAGAATAATTCTTAGAGCTCTAATGTACAGCACAAGAACTATAGTTAGTAATATTATACTGTAATTGGAAATTTGTTAAGAAAGTAGATTTAGGTGCTCTTATGATTTAAAAAAATGGGTAATTATGTAAGATGATAGATACGTCAATTTGCTTGACTATAGGAACTAATTCACTATGTATATTAAAACATCATGTTGTATACTTTAGTATATACTATAAAATAAATAAATTTTTACAAAACAATCAAATGAGGATTATTGAAGTGCAGACATATCAAAAAAGAATGAAATAGAAGCCAAATAAGGTAATTTCTTGTAAAGATTTATAATTTAGGTTTGCACTACTTTTCACAAGGATATTGAAGCCTACGATATTTAAGATGATAAAAACATTTTATAGGTCTGGAAAAATCATCATTTAAAAATAACTAAATATTTGATATTAGTACAAGAAACAGCTTTCACAACTCATCAAAGAGCTTGGAACTACAAGGTAACAAAATTGCATGGTACCATAAAATATTTAAAATTCATCTCATTTGTCAGCTACTTTTGCTTTTAATAATTAATTTGAAATTCACCATTTAAGTTTAGTGGGTATTTTATACAGACATCTCCATAAAGCACTTTGAGACTCTATCTTCCCAGAAATGTGGATGAAAATTTAAGCGTTATTTTTATTTTTATTACAACTTCTAAAATAGCATAAAATAATATACTGAACACACATGCACACATAAACCCTATATTAAAATTGTAATATATTATGCATCTTTAAGATCTTTTTAAATGAATTAAATATTGCAGATAACATTTCAGCTCCATTATATCTCTACCAGACACCATTATCTAATTGTTCTACTTCTCACTAGAAGTTACTGCCCAAGGTTTAGAGAGTTATTATAGTTCCATAGTTAAAAATAGTTTTTATGTGTTCATTTTTAAATTTATATAAATGTATTATAGGCCCTCCACCATTCAATGTCTTTTTGTTAACATTCAATATAGTGTTTTAAGATAGTTTTACATTGAATTACATAGATTTGCTTAGTTTATTCTAAAGTATGATGTACAGTATTTTAATGTATGAGAAGTCACACTTTATATATCCATGTTCCTACTTGTAGGCAATAAGCTTTTGCCACTCTTGTGTTTTCATTAAGTCATTCTATAGTGTATGGCCAAATGCATGTATATTCAAGAGCTAACTGGCCGGGTGTGGTGGCTCACAACTGTAATCCCAACACTTTGGGAGGCTGAGACGGGTGGATCACCTGAGGTCAGGAGTTTGAGACCAGCCTGGCTGGCATGGTGAAACCCCATCTCTACTAAACATACAAAAATTAGCTGGCCGTGGTGGCAGGCACCTATAATCCCAGCTACTAGGGAGACTGAGGCAGGAGACTTGAATGAACCCGGAGATGGATGTTGCAGTGAGCCGAGATCACACCATTGCACTCCAGCCTGGGCAAAAAGAGCAAGACTCCCTTTCAAAAAAAAAAAAAAAAAAAAAGCTAACAGCTAACTTGGGGTATGCCTTACATTTACTAAATATTTTCCAATTTTTCCCAAGCATTTTTACTACTTGACACATCTACCATCATTATATAAGGTTTCATGTAGGCAATAGTGCATATATTAAAACTACATTTTTGCCAATATCATGACTGTGAAATTATATCTTTCAAAATTTATTTAATCGAACTAGCTTAAATTTATTTCTCCATAAACCTGCTTATTTTTAAAAGTCACTCTTCTATGCATTGTCTTTCTGGTAATTTTTACATAGGATCAGTTGGTGGCTATCCATGTATTCACTATTATTGATTGGAATGTGGATTGCATTTTTTTATTATTATATGTTCAGTTCTGAAATACATGTGCAAAACGTGCAGGTTTGTTACATAAGTATACACGTGCCATGGTGGTTTGCTGCACCCATCAACCCATCATCCACATTAGGCATTTCTCCTAATACTCCCTCTCCTATCCCCCCACCCCCACAAAAGGCCCCATTGTGTGATGTTCCCCTCCCTGTGTCCATGTGTTCTCATTTTTCAACTCCCACTTACGAGCGAGAACATGTGGTGGTGGTTTTCTGTTCCTGTGTTAGTTTGCTGAGAATGATGATTTTCAGCTTCATCCATGTCCCTGCAAAGGACATAAACTCATCTTTTTTTATGGCTGCATAGTATTCCATGGTGTATATATGCCACATTTTCTTTATCCAGTCTATCACTGGTGGAAATTTGGGTTGGTTCCAAGTTTTTGCTATTGTGAATAGTGCTGCAATAAATATACATGTGCATGTGTCTTTATAGTAGAATGATTTATAATCCTTTGGGTATATACCCAGAAATGGGATTTCTGAGTCAAATGATATTTCTGATTCTAGGTCCTTGAGGAATCACCACACTGTCTTCCACAATGGTTTAACTAAATTACACTCCCACCAACAGTGTAAAAGCATTCCTATTTCTCCACATCTTCTCTGAATTGTTTCCTGAATTTTTAATGATCGCCATTCTAACTGGCATGAGATGGTATCTCACTGTGGTTTTGATCTGCATTTCTCTAATGACCATTGATGATGAACTTTTTTTTCATATGTTTGTTGGCCACATAAATGTCTTCTTTTGAGAAGTGTCTGTTCATATCCTTTGCTCACTTTTTAATGGGGTTGTCAGTTTTATTCTTGTAAATTTGTTTAAGTTCCTTGTAGATCCTGGATATTAGCCCATTGTCAGATGGATAGATTGCAAAAATTTTCTCCCACTCTGTAGGTTGTCTGTTCACTCTGATGATAGTTTCTTTTGCTGTGCAGAAGCTCTTTAGTTTAATTAGATCCCATTTGTCAATTTTGGCTTGTATTGCCATTGCTTTTGATGTTTTAGTTATAAAGTCTTTGCCCATGCCTGTGTCCTGAATGGTATTGCCTAGGTTTTCTTCTAGAGTTTTTATAGTTTTAGGTCTTACGTTTAAGTCTTTAATCCATCTTGAGTTAATTTTTTTTGTCAGGTGTAAGGAAGAGGTCCAGTTCCATTTTGTGCATATGGCTAGCCAGTTTTCACACCGTTTATTAAATAGGGAATCCTTTTGCCATTGCTTGTTTTTGTCAGGTTTGTCAAAGATCAGATAGTTGTAGATGTGTGGCATTATTTCTGAGGCCTCTTTTCTATTCCATTGGTCTACGTATGTTTTGGTACCAGTACGATGCTATTTTGGTTACTGTAGCCTTGTAGTATAGTTTGAAGTTAGGTAGCATGATGCCTCCAGCTTTCTTTTTGCTTAGGATCATCTTGGCTTTATGGGCTTTTTTTTGGTTCCATAAGAAATTTATAGTATTTTTTTCTAATTTTGTGAAGAAAGTCAATGGTAGCTTGATGGGGACAGCATTGAATCTATAAATTACTTCGTCTCTTCCTATTTGAATACACTTTTTTTTTGTCTTGTCTGAGTGCCCTGACCAGAACTTCCAATACTGTGTTTAATAGGAGTGGTGAGAGAGGGCATCCTTGTCTTGTGCCAGTTTTCAAAGGGAATGCTTTCAGCTTTTTCCCATTAAGTATGATATTGGCTGTGGGTTTGTCATAAATAGCTCTTATTATTTTGAGATATGTTCCATCAATACCTAGTTTATTGAGAGTTTTTAGCATGAAAGGGTGTTGAATTTTATCAAGGGCCTTTTCTGCATCTATTTAGATAATCATGTGGTTTTTGTAATTGGTCCTGTTTATGTGATAGATTACGTTTACTGATTTGTACATGTTGAACCAACCTTTCATCCCAGGGATGAAGCCGACTTGATTGTGGTGGATAAGCTTTTGGATATGCTGCTGGATTCAGTTTACCAGTATTTTACTGAGGATTTTCACATCGATGTTAATCAGGGATATTGGCCTGAATTTTTCCTTTTTTGTTGTGTCTCTGCCAGGCTTTGGTATCAGGATGATGCTGGCTTCATAAAATGAATTAGGGAGGATTCTCTCTTTTTCCATTGTTGGAATAGTTTCAGAAGGAATGCTACCAGCTCCTCTTTGTACCTCTGGTAGTATTAAGCTGTGAATCCATCTGGTCCTGGGCTTTTTTTGTTGGTAGGCTATTAACTATTGCCTGAATTTCAGAACTTGTTATTGATCAATTCAAGGATTCAACTTCTTCCTGGTTTAGTCTTGGGAGAGTGTATGTGCCCAGGAATTTATCCATTTCTTCCAGATTTTCTAGTTTATTTGTGTAGAGGTATTTATAGTATTCTCTGATGGTAGTTTGTATTTCTGTGGGATCAGTGGTAATATCCCATTTATCATTTTTTATTGTTTCTATTTTTTTCTTCTCTCTTTTCTTCTTTATTAGTCTGGCTAGTGGTCTATCTATTTTGTTAATCTTTTCAAAAACCAGTTCCTGGATTCACTGACTTTTTGAAGGGTCTTTCATGTCTCTATCTCCTTCAGCTGTGCTCTGACCTTAGTTATTTCTTGTCTTCTGCTAGCTTTTGAATTTGTTTGTTTCTGCTTCTCTAGTTATTTTAATTGTGATGTGAGGGTGTCGAGTTTAGATCTTTCCCACTTTCTCCTGTGGGCATTTAGTGCTATAAATTTCCATCTAAATACTGCATTAGCTGTGTCCCAGAGATTTGGTACGTCGTCTTTGTTCTCAATGTTTCAAATAACTTATTTATTTCTGCCTTCATTTAGTTATTTACCCAGTAGTCATTTAGGAGCAAGTTGTTCAGTTTCCATGTAGTTGTGCAGTTTTGAGTGAGTTTCTTAATCTTGAGTTCTAATTTGATTGCACTGTGGTCTGAGAGACTGTTTGTTATCATATCAATGTTTTTTTTGCATTTGCTGAGGAGTGTTTTACTTCCATTTATGTGGTCAATTTTAGAATAAGTGGGATGTGGTGCTGAGAGGAATATATATTCTGTTGATTTGGAGTGGAGAGTTCTATAGATGTTTATTAGGTCTGCTTGGTCCAGAGCTTGTTCAAGTCCTGAATATCCTTGTTGATTTTCTGTCTCATATCTGTCTAATATTCACAGTTGGGTGTTAAAATCTCCCACTATTATTGTGTGGGAGTCTAAGTGTCTTTGTAGGTCTCAAAGAGCTTGCTATATGAATCTGGGTGCTCCTGTATTAGGTGCACATATATCAAAAATAGCTCTTCTTGTTGCATTTATCTCTTTACTACTTTGTAATGCCTTTCTTTGTCTTTTTTGATCTTTGTTGTTTTAAAGTCTGTTTTATCAGAGACTAGGATTGCAACCCCTGTTGCTTTTTTTTTATTTTTTGCTTTCCATTTGCTTGGTAAATATTCCTCCATCCCTTTATTTTGAGACTATGTGTATCTTTGCATGGGAGATGGGTCTCCTGAATACAGCACACTGATGGGTCTTTACTCTTTATCCAATTTGCTAGTCTGTGTCTTTTAATTGAGGGCATTTAGCCCATTTACGTTTAAGGTTAATATTGTTATGTGTGAATTTGATCCTGTCATTATGATGCTAGCTGGTTATTTTGCCCGTTAGTTGATACAGCTTCTTCAAAGTGTCAATGGTCTTTACAATTTTGTATGTGTTTGCAGAGGCTGGAACCGGTTTTTCCTTTCCATATTTAGTACTTCCTTCAGGATCTCTTGTAAGGCAGGCCTAGTGGTGACAACATCTCTCAGCATTTGCTTGTCTTAAAGGATTTTATTTCTCCTTCACTTATGAAGCTTAGTTTGGCTGGATATGAAATTCTGGGTTGAAAATTCTTTTCTTTAAGAATGTTGAATATTGGCCCCCACTCTCTTCTGGCTTGTAGGGTTTCTGCCAAGAGATCTGCTGTTAGTCTGAGGGGCTTCCCCTTGTGGGTAACCCGACTTTTCTCTCTGGCTACCCTTAACATTTTTTCCTTCATTTCAACTTCAGTGAATCTTACGATTATGTGTCTTGGGGTTGCTCTTCTTGAGGAGTGCCTTTGTGGTGTTCTCTGTATTTCTTGAATTTGAATGTTGGCCTGTCTTGTCAGGTTGGTGAAGTCCTCATGGATAGTATCCTGAAGAGTGTTTTCCAGCTTGGTTCTATTCTCCCTGTCACTTTCAGGTACACCAATCAAATATAGGTTTGGTCTTTTCACATTGTCCCAAATTTCTTGGAGGCTTTGTTCATTCCTTTTGATTCTTTATGGTTTATTTCATTAAGCTGATCTTCAATCCCTGATATCCTTTCTCCCACTTGATTGATTTGGCTATCGATACTTGTGTATGCTTCATAAAGTTCTTGTGCTGTGTTTTTCAGCTCATTTATGTTCTTCTCTAAACTGGTTATTCTAGTTAGCAATTCCTTTAACATTTTTTTCAAAGTTCTTAGCATCCTTGTATTGGATTAAGACATGATCCTTTAGCTCAGAAGAGTTTGTTATTACCCACCTTCTGAAGCCTTCTTCTGTCAATTTGCCAAACTCATTCTTTGTTCAGTTTTATTCCCTTGCTGGTGAGGAGGTGTGATCCTTTGGAGAAGAAGCATTCTGGTTTTGGTAAATCTTCAGCCTTTTTGCACTGGTTTTTCCTCATCTTCGTGGATTTATCTACCTTTGATCTTTGACATAGGTGACCTTCGGATGGGGATTTTGTATGGATGTCATTTTTGTTGATGTTGCTGCTATTCCTTTCTATTTGTTACTTTTCCATCTAACAGTCAGGCCCCTCTGCTGCAGGTCTGCTGGAGTTTGCTAGAGGTCCACTCCAGACCCTGTTTGCCTAGTTTTCACCAGCAGAGGATGCAGAACAGCAAAGATTGCTGCCTGTTCCTTCCTCTGGAAGCTTCATCTGAGAGGGGCACCCACCAGATGCCAGCCAGGGCTGTCCTCTATGAGGTATCTGTCGACCCTTGCTGGGAGGTATCTCCCAGTGAGGAGCCACTGGGGTCAGGTACCCACTTGATGAGGCAGTCTGTTCCTTAGTGGATCTCCAGCACTGTGCTGAGAGATCCGCTGCTCTCTTCGGAGCTGGCAGGCAGGAACATTTAAGCCTGCCGAAGCTGCGCCCACAGCCACCCCTTCCCCTAGGTGCTCTGTCCCAGGAAGATGGGAGTTTTATCTGTAAGCCCCCGACTAGGGCTGCTGCCTTTCTTTCACAGATGTCCTTCCCAATGAGGAGGAATCTAGAGAGGCAGTCTGGCTACAGTGGCTTTGCTGAGCTGTGGTGGGCTCCACCCAGTTCAAACTTCCCTGTGGCTTTGTTTGCTCTATCAGGGGAAAACTGCCTACTCAAGCCTCAGGAATGGTGTACGCCCCTCCCAGGTTGACTTCAGACTGCTGTATGGGCATCAATAATTTCAGGCCTGTGGATTTTAGCTTGCTGGGCTCCATGGGGGTGTGATCCACTGAGCTAGATCACTTGGCTCCCTGGCTTCAGCCCCCTTTCCAGGGCAGTGAAGGGTTGTGTCTCACTGGCGTTCCAGGCACCACTGGGGTATGAAAAAAAAAACTCCTGCAGCTATCTCGGTGTCTGTCCAAATGGCCACCCAGTTTTGTGCTTGAAACCCAGGGCTCTGGTGGTGTAGGCACCCGAGGGAATCTCCAGGTCTGTGGGTTGTGAAGTCCTTGGGAAAAGTGTAGTATCTGGACTGGAGTGCACCGCTCCTCACAGCACAGTCCCTACAGCATCCCATGTTTAGGGGAGGGAGTTTCCCGACCCCTTGTGCTTCCCAGGTGAGGCAATGCCCCACCCTGCTTTGGCTCACCCTCTGCGGGCTGCACCCACTGTCTAACCAGTCTAAATGAGAAGAACTGGGTACCTCAGTTGGAAATGCAAAAATCACCCACCTTCTGTGTTGATCTCACTGAGAGCTGCAAACCGGAGCTGTTCCTATTTGGCCATCTTGCCAGGCACCCCAATTGCATTATATTTTATTCAATTTTTGTTACACAAGTTATTTTTATGTGGTCAAATTAATAAAAATGCTTTCATTAATTTTGTATCATTTATTCTACTAATTATAATATGCAGTTAGGTTTATTTGTTTCAGTTTTACATAAGTGTTGTGGTTTGATTTTCACTTATCTTTATTTATGAGTTTATTATGTAGAATTTTAACATGTTCTAAAGATTGGCAGGCCTTTTATTTTAATCCATTTGATAGTTGTTTCTCAGTGTACTAAAATTTACCCTTCTCTTATTATGAGTATGCTTAGTATTTAATATTTTTACCTAATTTATATTAACTTTATTTCTCTAAAGTGTTTGTTTACTTATTATGCTCAGGTTTTTGTTTGTGTATTATTTTTCCCTCCTATTTTTGACAAATTCTTTATATTTTATGATTTGTCATTTTTTTACACATTGCACATCCCCAAAAATTATTTATTTTGCATTTTCCTCTGTGGGTTGCTTTTTTTTTTCTTTTTTACCCATTTTCTGTTAACATGAAACTGCTTCTCTCTTCAAAGGTAGTATAAATAATTAGCATTTTTATTATTATAAATTAAAGTGTGAAAGGCTTTATTAACTCCCTTGTTTTTTAACATTCTATTCATGTTTTCTTTATGCTTTCATTTTTGTTTTTATTTGCTTTCATATTTTGAATTAATAAATATTTAGAATTATTTTCTGCATTATTTGCACTGTGCATTTATTTAACCTTTATTCAAATGCTAATCTAGATGTATTTTAATTTTGAAAAAGCTTTGTGATTTGTTGAGAGGTTTTGAGTTACCTATAGATAGAGATTATATAATTTTCATACCTAGACCTATTTGTAGGAGAATTTAATTCTATATTCTTATTGATTTTTAGAGATGCATATTATGTTTAATTACGTTTATAAATAAATATTTTAAACAATCTACTGATAAACATTGAGATTTTCCCCAGATTTTAAAAACAATGAAATAAAAGTAATTTCATGCATAGAGCATTTTATTTCTATGTGAGTATTTTGGTACTAAAAAATTGTGTAAGTACAGCTACTGAGTCAATATTTCCCTGTTTGAAATATTGACAGATAATATCAAATAGTTTATTTTTCTGGAACTTCAAAACTGAATTTTTGCCAATATGATAGGAGGTAAATAGTAGTGCACTATAATTTTAATTTATATATATTTTTCTTTAATTGAGGCTCAGAACATTTTCCCATGATAAGAAGATTTGCACAAATTTTAGGTGTTTTCTTTGAAATATCTGTTCATATTGTTTGCAAAAGTTTCTATTGAATTGTTATTTTATTTTTACTTATTTTTAATTTTTCCAACTTTATTGAGGTACAATTGATAATCAAATATATATGAAACGTATAGATATATAAATTTAACATATGTGTACAACATATAAATAGATACATAAATTTAACATATACATGAGTTGTACAACTTGATTTGACATAAGTATAAATTGTTAAACATCACTTAAGATATCTATTGCTTCACATAGTTTGAGTGTGTGTGTGTGTGTGTGTGTGTGTGTGTTAAGATCTACCCTCTAAACAAAAGGTATTACAAGACACAATGGGAGAATAATAGTCTTTTCAATAAATTGTACTTACAAAACAAGATATACACATGCAGAAAAAAGTAATTGAACCCATATCTCACACTACATACAAAAATTAATTCAACATAAAGACTTAAATATAATACCCGACACCATTTAAAAACTGGAATAAAACATAGGGGAAATATTTGTGACATTGGTTTTGGCAATGAATTTTTGGATGTATCACCAAAACCACAAGCAGAAAAGGCCAAAATTAACAAATGGATTATGATATTAAAAATATTTTGCACAAATTAAGAGAGTGAAAAGACAACCCACATAATGGGAAAAAAATTCTGTAAACCACATCTCTGATAATGAGTTAATAGCCAAAATAGGTAAGGAACTAATGCAACTCAATAGCAAGGGGGAAGTCTACCCCAATGATTCAGTCACCACCCACCAGGTCACTCCTCCAACACCTGTGGATTACAATTTCACATGAAATTTGGATGAGGACACGGAACCAAACTATAACAACATGGTTTGACAAATATATACTAAGTTAGATAGATAGGTAGAGATAGATAGATAGATAGATAGATAGATAGATAGATAGATAGACAGACAAAAATAAATTAATTTACTCCATGGTGTGTGAATGCCAAATCGGAAACAAAGAATGGGCTCCATAAGTACCATCCTTTTTGTTGGTTTTGTCACGAGTTAAACATAATTGAAAAGAAAATGATTAGGCATAGGACATATATGGCTGTAATGTGGTGAAATGTGTTAACTAGCCTGATTAAGTTTCTGAACATGCAATGTTGCATGTTTTATTGTCTTTGGAATTATTTATTCCTATTTCGAATTTTAAAAATAAGCATATGTATATATATGTATAACCACACACACTTCTATGTATAGACACATACATAAATGCACAGAAATATATATTTATATACATATTCTTGGAAACTACATATATATTTGTGTGTGTGTATATATATATATATATACACACACACAAATTACTTGAGAATATAAGAGACAAGTAATTTTTTTTCCCAGACTGGAAAAAGAAAAAAGAAGTATAACCAAAGTTGGATAGAGTCAGCCAGTTAGTCTACCAATGAACTCCAAGTGTCTGCTATCTTACAGGCATTGCAATAAGGACTGGGGATATAATAACCAAAATAAACAAACCCTCACAACTATTACATAAAGTAAAAAATATCAAGAGCGGGATATGAGTTACACAGAATAAATATGAGATTGTTAATATGACATTAAAGATAAACAAAAAACTCTTCGTTGCTGGAAGATAAAGAAAACTAATATTTCCTCACTGCAGAATTTGCAGTAGCGGACAAGAAGGGCAGGGTGAGCATAAAGCTTCAAATTTTTTATTAGGTTTCACAATGCATTTCTAGATAGAAATTAAAATATAACATGCCATAGAGATTATAATGTAAACAGATATTTGTTTACTTAGCACTTCATTGCAATTTCTTTATATAACAAATCCAATTTACCAACATATTAACGTATGGGTGTATGCAATCATGATTATATTGGTTCTGCTCCAATGTTCGGAAAGAGAAGGAAGGATGCATGCCTTCATACATACATATCTATATGTATGCATAAACATATGTACATGTAAACTATATACAATAAGTCCTCATCTAATGTTGCTGAAAAGTTCTTGAAAATTGCAACTTGAAGTGAAACAATGTACAGCAGGTCCACAAATAACATTGTCTCATTCAATGTCATATGGTTAAAGCATAGATGTAAAGAAGAATGGTTTTGTTATACATTGTTTCACTTAAAGTCACAGTTTCCAAGAATCTTTATATATGTTAAGTGAGGACCTACTGTAATGATAATCATGGTTGTTATTAATAAAGGATGTGGAAGATGAATGACGGCAGTGAGGGACACTAACTCAGTTGATCCAAATCAGATTACTTAACTACGCTGAGACAGAATGTCCTCACCTGTAAAACAATGAATACCTCACGGTTTTGCTATAAAGCTTAAATAGATAATACTTAATGTTATCAGAGCTTGTTACAAGGCTACACTTTAACAACTCAAAAAAATTGAGTTAGTATTAGAATGTATGCTTGTGTTAGTAAATTTTTTAAATTTTAAATCATGATACAGTCTTAGAAGGGGAGTCCAAAATTTGTAAATCACATTCACGAAAAAATTCATAGAATTCTAAGAATAATAGAGATATACCGTAGCACTCTACAGTGATGATTATGACCTGAAAACTTCAGAATGTTTGGGTGAAACCAAGTGATGGCTGGGTGCAGGTGATTTAACTCAATGTCCCTTCTAGAAAATTTTGCCAAGTTGTTTATTTTATGCAAAGGTCTAGTTACTGTTTTTACGGATGTTTTAAAATGTCATGGAAAGCTGAACACCAAAAAGTAATTTTACATAAAATCATTGTATTGATCAACACAAAAAAGCCAAAACGACTCACCAAAAAATATTTTTTTCTGAAGTAGGTTTAATAGCACAAACTCATCTGTGGAAATTAAGCACATTCCAACCCTGAAAGGTTAAGCACAATTATATTTTGATTTTGAATACAAAGCTAAACTTGTTTTCAAATACTTGTAATCTTGTATTTTTGTTTAAATATTCTAAAGGTCTAAAATTTGAATGACTAGGTCAAAATAATTGGTTAGAAGACCTCACTGTACCTTTTAAGAAAGCCCCTTTCTTCCCTCATACGTATTCTCTTTACGACTACAAAAGACAAACACCAAAAAACAACCAAAATTTGAACTGGAGAGGTTTGGCCCTGGGCATTTGGGTTAAATGAAAGGAAGAATTGTCTTCCCTCTTCAAAACCTGTATCAATTCCTCATTTCAATGCCTTGAGTTATTCATTATTTGAAACTTGCATCCCTTTATAATAAACAATGTACCAACTTTCAAAATCTCATTTTGTTACATAGGATGCACCTTCTAGTTTTGATTACTCATCACACACAACTCCAGTTTCTTATTGAAAATAAAGAAGTTAGAGTATATAGTCTTCATTTATTTTTCAAATCCAAAATTCTGTCATTATATATCAATGACATTAAAAAATTGTAAGTGTGTAACTCACATGTGTTTCTCTAATATATGGAATCTCTCTCTCTCTGCCTCTCTGTCTCTCTCTGTCTCTCTGTCTCTGTCTCTCTCACACACACACACACAGAAACACACACGCTGCATTACTTTATAAATTTTTTCATCGCAGGGGAAATAAATAATTTAAACTATTTTATTGTTTTTGAAATTAGTAAGATAATTACCTTCCTCATTTTAAAAGGTAAACTGTTCCAGTTTGGGGATAATTTCCTTATTTTGTAGCATGGATATATTTGAGTAGTACCCATTTCTCTTTACATTATTCCATAGAAAATAAGATTGCAAAACTGAAAATGATAGTCCATTTATCAATGAGTTTTACTCTATTATTTCATATTTTATGAGAAAAAAATGAATAAAATTATTACCAGAAGTAGAAATATGATTTATTATCTAATTCAGAGCAAAATAATGCTTTATGGAGGTTGAACATGCATTTTATATTGTTATATCCTTGAAAAGTAAAAAGCTTTAAAAATCATGAACTACTAAATCAAATCAATTTATTAAATGCAATTATCCACTGCCCTTTTTTGCTTCATTGCTGATTCTGTTCAATTAAACATTAGCAGTATTTTATTATTTTATAATAAAAAGCCACTTTAATGTCTAAATTCATATAGTTTCCTATGAAACAGTGATATTGGAATGCATTCATCAACAATAAATTGAACTTTGTTTGAATACATGTATAAACTACATTACTAGAAAGACTTTTAAAGGACATTTGCCACAACCATCTATTTGATATTTTAATACCATCAATAATAATAAGTTAGAAAATATCTTACTTGATTAAAAATTAACTAAGTAGTCAGAAACCAATGCTGTCCATTTCCTCAGGAAAAGTATACTGAAAAAAGAAAAGTGTACTGAAAAAAGGCTTGCTGACTAATCAGCACTGGTTAGTCTTGCATATATTCACACATCTGCTACAACAATTGGGTTGGAAACTCACTAATGTTGATCAACATTTGTTCTTAAGCATATTTATGCCAATTGTAGCTGTCATTGTAATCATCTGGTTTATTTACTATCTGATATTTTTAATGCTGGTGTAAAATGAGTTTTTTTAATGAAAACTAAGATGGATAATTGCAAAGAGCTATTAATGGTGAATTATTGACAATATTCTCTTAAATCACTTATTACAAAAAGTGTACGCATTTGAGGGAAACTTTAAAAGATAGAAGGATTTTATATGAGATTGCTTTGCAAATATATTTAAGATAGAAGACACAAATTCAAATCTATAAATGCATTATGAGTGTGGTTTTTCCAAGAAAGGCTAATTAAAACTCAGTCAGATGCCAAAAGAGACAGAAAGAAAATCTAAATACCATTGGCCTTACATGATATAATAAGTCATAAAATATTGTTTGTATGATACATGGAAGGTTGAAGCAACTAAGAGACTGTCTGAATAATAGGGAAAGGGGTATAGAAAATTTATCTTGAGAGACAAAGTGCCAAAAATTGTATAATTTAAAAAATATTTCCACTCCACTTGCAATATATGCAATATACAGTTTATTTTAATTTTAAAGGCTTTCACAGCAGAATTTATGTATGCCAAATTGGATATATGAAAAGTATTCAATTATACAAGCTTTGAATATACAGATACTTGATATATCTCTATATCATATACAGATATGTGTATACATAGCTCTCCAAAAATATATATATATATAATGAATACATTACCACATACAATAGTTTATGCCACTTCCCGGCCCTTCTCAACAGATACTTACAGGCTTTCTTTCACTAAAGATTATTTTGTACTTTCTAAAAAGTAATTATTTGTTTGGATTTTCCACTCTGAATATTATTTTGAAAATTTTTGTTTTGCTTCTTCCGGTTAATGTGCCATTTGCATGTTACTGCAATATGTATTGTGTTATCATTGGATTGAATATTCCAAAAATGTCAATTAGGCATATTTAGCTGATAGTGTTATTCAAAATATCTACATTTTACTATATTTTTACCGCTTTTTAAAATCAATTACCAACAGATCACTAAGACTGTTGATTTATTTCCTACTTCATTTCTATTAGTTTTTGCTTCAAATATTATAAAACACTAGTATATAAGAGCATAAATATTAAGGGTGTTTATGTTCTTCTTATGAATTAAACCTTTCACCAGTATAAATGACTCTTTTTTTCCAGGTAATATTTTTTGCTCTTAAATCTACTTTATCTGATGTTAACATAGCCCTTTCAGTTTTCTTTGATTAGTTTTAGGATGGTATATATTTACTCACAGATTTACTGTAACCTATTTGTGTATTTATATTAATGTAGTATTTCTGAAGGCAATATAGAGTTAAACCTCATGTTTCTTATCAAATATGAACAGGCTTGATTTTGATGTTTAGACAACATACATTAATGTGAATATTTATGTGATTAGGTATAAACCATCTTTCTGCTGGTTTTTTATTGTGTAACTTTGTTCTTTTTTCCTAATTTGTATCTACTATTTTATTGAGCATTTTTATTCAATTTTAACCTGCTTTTAGATTATTTCTAAATATTTAAAAAGCACTTGATTTATTGTTAATTGTATAAAGCATTATTCACAGTCTAATTTGAAATAACAATATACATAATTGCATCAATTATAATCATTTACAGCAGAATGATTAATTATATTTTCCTTCCTCTGCTATTTTTGCCATTTATGTTACCTATACATATGTTAAAACCACATAGTACATTACTATCATTTTGCTTAATAGTAATCCATTTTTTATAAAAAGCATTTTATATTCACCCACAAATTTGCTAGTTCCAAACATCTTCATTACTTTCTGTAGGTCCAGATTATCATACAGTAACTTTTTTCTACTCCTGAAAATACTTCATTTTATATTCCTTTATTGCATTCCTACTGGTGATGTTTCCATTGTCTTTTGTATGTCTAAACAATTTTATTTTACTTTTATTTTTGAAAGATTTTTCACACTGAATAAATAATTCTATGTTGACAGTTTTCTTATTTCTTGCCTTTTAAAGAAATATTTCTTAAAAATTGCATTCTTCTGCCTTGAATTTTTCTAATGAGAAATATCTATCAATCTTCTCTTTGTTCTTCCGCATGTAACACATAATTTTTTAAGAGACTTAAAATTTCTCCTTATCACTGATTTTAACAAATAGCATTTTGATGTGAGTGGTGCAATATTTTGCAGTTTATTATACTTAGATTCTGTTGAGCTTCTTGGAATACTGGGTTTATATTTTTTACCAATTTTTTTTTTACCAATTTTGCCAACATGGCAAATTTTAACTATTATTTCTTCTAGTATTTTTCACTCTCATCTCTCCTTCAGGAACTCAAATTACACAAATATTAGATTGTCTAAAATTGTGCTACAGATCTCTGATATTTTTTATTTTTTATCAGTATCTATTTTCATTTGTTTCACATTGAAAAATGTTTATTGCTATGATTTCAGTTAACTAATATTCATCTACAGAGTCTAATCTGTTTTTAATTCCATTTAATTCATTTTTATCTCCGATATTATAGTTTTCACTGTTAAAGTTTTATTTGAGTTTTTATTCCATCTTCTATGTGTCTGCTTGACAGGATCTAGATTTAGCTTCTTGGTTTGTGAAATATGGCTATAATAACCATTATAATGTCATTTCCTTGGGAAGTTTTTTCCTGTTTTTTTGTTTTGTTTTGTTTTCTCACTCATGTGCCAACCAGTCCTCAGCTGAAGATTCAAAGGGAACTCTTGCACATCTCAAGAGCTCTCTACGTGAAGCTTTCCAAATCTGACATACTGCCATTCCTAGACTTTCCAGTCTTTCCAAACTTCCAAACCATCTTTTCAGCTTAACAAGACTAGTAAGCCATTTAGCCTACAATTGAATAATTTTAGGGCTGACCTCGTTTACTTCTCTGCTTTCATGAATCCCTGCTCTATATTTCCTGACATTCAATGACTAAAACGATTGTTGAATATATTTCTTTCAAATTTTTAATTGCTACTGAGAAAAAAGTAATTCTACTCCAGTCACTCCATTTTAGTTGCAATAAAAAGCTTCAATGCATTTATACAAGTGTTTGAATGTTTGTGGTATTTTTATTGATAGGTAATAATGTCATTGGATACATATAAAATTATTTTCAGAAAGAAAAAGAAAAACTGTCTTATTTAAATAGCTCTAGCTCTCATTGTAAGTAAATATAAAATATGTAATAGTAAATATAAAATAACAAAAATATGAAAGAATAATTTTTAAAGTAGATTATAAAATAACATGAGTTTATAAGAATAAAATTTAATTTTAGTGCTTTATATATGTTTAAAATAATCAATTATGTGACTAATATAGAATGCAACAAAAGCAAATTGGTGTAAATATTAGAAATAAAATCTCCCTATTTGATATTTACTGAAGTAATTATACATGTAATGGCAGAATTCCAGAAAAGACAAAATCAAACCCAATAATCACTATTTCCTATTGAGAAACAAAACCAGTATATATATATGTGTATATATGTGTATATATATGTGTATATATGTGTATATATGTGTACATATGTGTATATATGTGTATATATGTGTGTGTATATATGTATATATATGTATATATGTGTATATATATAGTGTGTGTGTATATATATGTGTGTGTGTGTGTATATATATACACACTGGTATATGTATATATATATGTGTGTGTGTGTGTATATATATATACACACACATATACCGGTATATGTGTGTATATATATATGTGTGTGTGTGTGTGTGTGTGTGTGTGTGTATATATATATAGATATACCAGTATATGTATATATATATACCAGTATATGTATGTATATATACCAGTATATGTATATATATATATACACCAGTATATGTATATATATATACCAGTATATGTATATATATACCAGTATATGTATATATATATACCAGTATATGTATATATATATACCAGTATATGTATATATATACCAGTATATGTATATATATATACCAGTATATGTATATATATATACCAGTATATGTATATATATATATACCAGTATATGTGTGTATATATATATATATACCAGTATATGTATATATATACACACACACATACACACACACACACACACACACACACACACATATATATATATACACACACACACATACTTCTGGTTTCTCAATATGAAACACAGAGAAAATATTTATTGTTGAATCATGATAATGTACATATTGTTTTCTACTACTCTGTTTTCATCCATTTTAAGTCTTTCATAATAATTTATGTTTAAATAGGTGAAACAGAAATAAGAATAAAATATATGAATTAAAACAGAGAATCACTGGGCTGCTTGAATGTGACTAGGACCTTGTTTCAAATTGGGAGATTCGTATCAACATTGGGCTAGGAAGATAATATTATCACATGTAACTGATAATTTTAGCTCAGTAACTAAAAAATGTACAGTTAAATGAAAATAAATGATTTATACAGTTGAAAGACAAAGTTTAAAATATTTCAACATTTAAACTTTGGATGATATAAGTAATGCTTGAGGCATAGAAATTTAATGATTGACTGGTGAAGTCAATTGAATGATAATTTGCAACACCTGTTAGTATCTGAGGGCTAACTTTTAAAACTGAATTCTGCATTGGAAGTTTGTTCGGTGTGACAGGTAAAGGACCAGTAAAATACCATAGAACAGAAGCCAAGCATGAAAGTGAAGACAAAAGAGATCTTGAACCAAATGAAGCTCAATTAATAGACTCAATTAAAACTTGAAAGATGCCAGTGAATTTGAAAATTAAAAGGTTATTTTTTGCTTTAAGCATTTAGTTTAGTGGCTTTGAAATCATAATATAGAAGGATTAAAAGAAAGTAATTGGGAATAGCATTTGTAATTTATTATTTTGAGATATTTAGCTATAATAAGAAAAAGTGAAAATGGTGTTTTGAAGGAGCATAAAACTAGATTGATTGTTCTTCCCCTTTTGACAGAAGAGATTCTGTTACAGGTTTGCAAAGGTCAGAGAGCTAGTAAGAGAAGAGAGATTTGTAACTTGTGATGAAATATCTGTGTCTGATTCTTGGAAGGAGGATGTGATATAATTAGGATGGATTAGAAAGTGTGCATAGTTTTGAAAGATGGACAAGGATGAGCATAGGAGAAAACTAAGGGATGCCATTAGAAATATTCTTAAACCTACAATTGAAGTGATTTACATTGGATAATGTTGGTATTATAAAAATATGCTAACATTCATCTATTGAAAGTAAAATGTTTATAGGTAGCTAGTTTTAAGATTGGAGGATGTGGACTTAGGATAGAAACAGAACATAAAGGAAAATCTTAAAATAGAATTCAAAATCTATATCTAGAGGGCAAAAAGATCTGTCAAGGCTTGAGGTCATAGCTGCCAGAACAATTGTATTTCTGGTATGGAGGTCAGGAATATCTCTATTTGGTTAGTGTATTTAATTTGAAGAAAATGTTGTCATCCACACAATTTGTCATTTTTATTTAACACTTATATATGACCATACCATTAACTGGATGGCTTATTTAAACTGTTAGAAGAATACAAGGATACAAACAATCTAATAATTTGAGGTGATATGGCTGCATGTCACATAATAATAGCCTTTAAAAATATCCATGTTTTCAAAATGTACCTAGAGGTCCTCATGGAATTTAAATTACTAAGTGCTGTGAGAAAGCAGATATAAAGTGCATTTTGATAGCAAGACTCATTTGCAGAGAGGCCTGAAAGAGAAAAAATGGAGTTCTTTCAGGTTACTACTTACCCACGACAGTGATTACTGATTTTATAATATGAGGTCTATAACTGAGATAAAAGCAATGGTAGAGCTTCTATATCTCATTCATTGGTTTGTTTGTCTATTATGTAATATAAGAAGATAAGACATTTTTCAAAGATATCTCAATATGCTTAAAATAATCTCTTAATGGTGGAATAGGTGGCTGGTTTTATAATTGGCTTTAAATGAACAAGCATAAACAAATAACCAAATTAACACTTTTTAGAAAGTCAGAAACAGAGGAAATACTACATTTTTAAACTTTAATATTTCATAACACTGAATCCCTTTTTATATGTCTAGGTAGACACTTGACTATATGTTATACTTAAATTTTGTTTAAAATTATTTATGTCTTTTCCCATTAGTATTGGAAAATGCTAAATTCTAATGATTAATTGAGATCAATTAGTAAAATATAATTAATGAAATGAAGATGTGAGAAAAATGTTGTTGACCCTTGTCACAGGTTGCTTTCGAGGACAGAAACACACTGTGGTGGAGTCTAGTGGGCTAAGTGATATTGACGGTATTAATTGAAGTCAATGCCTTTGGAAGGGAGGGGATGGAAGCATAACCAGGGAGAGAGAGAAGTTGATCTATGATGCTGTCCTGATGCCTGCCTTAGCTGACACAAAAGAGAGCTCCACAGCTTGAATGGTCGATCAGAATCATATTGCGTTACCTTAAAATGTCTCATCGTTTTTATGGCCACCTCAATCAGTCATTGGACATCAGCTGCCCTGGGAGGAGACTGACCTTGGACAATGTGGCTCTTGAAAGGTTAGGCAATCCCTAAATCGGCTGACAGCTGGATCCCAATTGTCTGACAATGGCAATCTCATCAGCATTCACACGTCCTTTCTTAAAGGTGGAGCTGGGTGACACATCATGATTTCAGCCATAGACATTAAAGGTGGGATCAGTGCACATTCTTGTGTATTCTTTCTCAATTCAAAGGGGTCTTAGGGTTTTTCAATACATTTTATTTTATATAATAAAATGAAATTTGACAAATCCATTATAATATTAAATTAGGATTTTCAATGTTTGGGTGGTTTTTTATATATTCAGTGTATTTTTCTATGGCTCAAAATATCAAAATATAATTAGTTTAAAAAATATGAGACATTGGTTGTCTTCTTCATGCTTTCAATATCGTGCTGTGTTTATCTGGCTCATGGTTTATGCCAATCTTACTGCATTTTTAAATTTCATTTTATAAACGTATCATTATTCTCTAAATTTCCACAAAGACATTCTCCCTCAGTTTAAACTTTGGACATAACAAAATGCCAGGAACATAGTATCAAATCCACCAAATTTTTTTTTTTGAATTTTTTTTGAATGAAGGAGAATTGCTTCATGTCGGACTACAAAGATGCTGGTTGAATGGAAGCTTGACACATGAATCTTCCACATGCCTTGCCTATGAACCATGAAGTTTGCAAATTCATGAAGTCTAGTCTACTCCACAGAATCCTTATCTTGACTTCATAATTTAAACATTACAAGGTCATCAGTGAGCAAGTATCATCCATGAGCATGAGTAATGGGAGGAAGATAAAATCATTGACAGCTGATAGTGGATACTGAAGAGCTTTATTGCCAGAACTGACCTATCAGACATCCTGGTTTAAATTTTCTATTGAAATAATTTACAATCAATTTAATATAGCCAAGTTTTTTTTTCCTGGAGTGTCTGTGGTTCCATATTGGGGTAAGAACATCATTAAATGTCCAAAGGAAAACCTACACACTGTAATAGCTAAGTCTTAAAACTATTTGCAAAATTGAAGCTGTTTTTGTACTGTATTCACATAAGACTGTTCCAATTATTAAGTATTTTATATAAATTGTTTCATTTTTGTTACCTCTATAAAGTTTTTATAGAAAATATGTAGCTGCCATAGAATATTAAATAAATCATTGCCATCAATATAAATTAGCAAATACTTAATTGTATTTATTAAATTACATTTTACTCAATTTTACCTTATATATTATCAAGATAGTATGTCCTATATTTTGAAAGTACTGTCCTAAGGAATAGTTCAGTTATTCCTTTTTCCTCAGCCAATCACATCCCTCTGATTTTTTTTTTAAACCTAGAGATATAACTAGTTTGAAAGGATTGAAACTAAAACTACATTTAAAAATTGATTATTATCTTAACTTCAATGAGCAGGATTTCTGTTTTTCAGTGAGGTTCATTAGTAAAAATACTAAAAAGCATTGGGTTTAAACTTAATCAGAAAATGTTTTATCATCCTGGGTAATATTTAAATCTGCCACCTTGCTTGGAATAAGATTTAGAATGGGGGAATTAGAAAGATGAAAACTCTTATTTTCTCATAAAACTATATGGTTGATAGAAACTTTGAGATGTCATGTAACTTCACCATCAAACTTTGTTATTATTATGTTTTAATAATTTCAACTTTTATTTTAGATTCAGCGGGTATAGCTGCAGGTTTGTTATATGAGTATATTGTGTGATGCTGAGGCTTAGAGTATGAATGATGCCATCGCCCAGGTTAGGAGCAGAGTACACAACAGGTGGATCCATCTTCACCTTCTCTTTTCTAAAATAAAGTCTTAATTTACATTTTAATAACCTAGTACATTCTGAAAGTTTCTAAAAATGTTATGTTTTATAAAATGTGGAATTTCAAACTAAAATAATTTGCATACATTAATTTGCAATTACGTCAAGAAGCTTTCACATTTCTAATTTTCCACACTGTAATTCCTATGCTATTATTATTATTTGTATTACTCCTAATTTCATAAGCTGTCATTAGAAAATATTGGCCAATGATATATCCCTGACTTTACGGCTTTGTCATTATTTAGATCATTAGTATGAATAGTTGCATTTAAGGTAGACCGTATACTTGTTTGCTAATATTTCCTCTTCTTTTTTTGTCTGTTGTTTTGCTAATCTTCTTTAATTGACCTATTTTAAACATTGTTAGCAAATAAGATGGTTTATGGGATAAATAGCTAATGACATATGACATTGAAAAATAGTAAATCTTTTAGTATAAAATACTGCTGATATTGCAAAACAGTTGTACAAATTGTAAGACAAGTTTGTTATTCATGTTGTTTCATGGAAATGGGTATTTCCAATATTTGCATTGCTTGTAGTATTTTATATTTTTAAGGG
Organism: Homo sapiens; assembly: GCF_000001405.40. Taxonomy (NCBI): domain Eukaryota; kingdom Metazoa; phylum Chordata; class Mammalia; order Primates; family Hominidae; genus Homo; species Homo sapiens. The sequence continues at coordinate 32,394,340 of NC_000004.12, read as the reverse complement.
ATAAAATCAGTGTAGTGAGGAAAGCTTCTCAAAGAGTAGCCAGCCTCCATATCCCCACAAGGAGTCCTTCCACCTAGGATCCACATCATTGTGGAGTTCCCTCCCAAACCCAGTAGGGTTCACTTTTATATAAAATAGTATACTGTAGAAATGATGAACTGTGACTTCCCAGGCTAGGTGTTAAAAGACATTGTTGCTTCCACCTTGCTTTCTCTTGAATCACTAGCTCTGAGAAAAATTAAAAGTCAACCCATAAACAAACTTGAACAGCCTTATTTAAAAGTTCACATGGCAAGGAACGGCACCTCCTACCAGCAACCAGTGCTAACTTGCCAAGCATTTCAGTGAGCACGTTTAGAAGCAGACTATTCAGCCCTAGTTAAGCTTTCAGATGACATAAACATACTAACTATACTCTCAGGACACTGAGCCAGACACACACAGATATCCACCCAACTGAAACTACGTGAGACTATACAAATGTATATTGTTTTAAGATGCTAGATTTGGGGATAATTTGTTGAGAAGCAGTAGATAACTAATGCATTACCCTAATGGCTCTTAATAAACAGGAGGAAACCATTGCTTCATTTTCTTTCCTGATTACAAAAGAAATGCAATTAGAAATCTTGTTTTTAAATATCAGTTTTATGTTTGCAACATTACAAATTGGGTAATACAGAAAATGTTTTTAAACATCCACAAACTCTCAGCTAGACACAGATGTCTTCTTTTAATGATCAGATCAATGCTTTTATTGTTTTACTGATGAATATGTAAAATGATAAAAATGTGATCCTATTAATCAATCAAAACATGAATAACCGAAATTATATGACTGTAAAACCTTTTCTCTAATTATATAAATTTAGGGTGTACAACAGAATTACATATACATAGTAAAGTGATTATGATTACTACGGTCAAGCAAATTAACATATCCATCCCCTCTCACGATTACCTTTTGTGTTTGTGTTTGTGTGTGATGAAAATACCTGAAATTATTATTTGCAAATTTCCAGTATACAATATTACTAACTACAGTCCTCATGGTCTACATTTGACCTCTAGACTTATTCATGCTGTATAACTATTACATACAATATATCTTTGGTGTAAATAACTATGTTTCTCTAGGGACATGGATAGATATTTTCTGAGCAAATATATATAGGGATTTTTGAGTGGATGAGGAGGGTTACACAAAACCCTCAAGCCTCTGGTATTTAGAAATCTCAAATTTGAAGATTGGTTTGATAAACTACACAGAATCACAGATACAAAAATAGGTACATAAACATACATAACACATTATTTTTCATAAGACATACATTTGGTGTACAAGTCACTTAGAGAATAAATAACGTCATCACTCTACACCAATCACAACTAACTTAGTAACTCAGATCAGTGAACCTGAGATCTAAAAATATAGTCTGTTTACTAAAGTACAAAACGCTAATGCCATGTTCCTTACAGTAAAGGCTATACATTGATGCTACCAGGGAAAGGATTTTAAAATAAGCAAGACTTGGCATAGTCCACTTAATTTTTTGTTGTTATTATCCTTATTATTTTGTTTTAAGATTATAGTTTTTTTTATCTTTCCAACTTTTATTTTAGGTTCGAGGGTACTTGTACAGGTTCATTATATGGATAAATTGTGTGTCATAGGAATTTGGTGTACAGACTATTTCATTACCCAGGTAATGAGCATCGTACTGATTTGGTAGGTTTTTGGTCCTCCCCCTCTACCCTCAAGTAGGCCCCAGTGTGTGTTGTTCCCTCCTTTGCATCCTTGTTTACTCAGTATTTAGCTCCCACTTATAAGTGAGAACATGCAGTATTTGCTTTTCTGTTCCTGTATTAATTCACTTAGGACAATGGTCTCCAGGACTATCCAGGTGGCTGCAAAGAACATGATTTCATTCTTTTATGGTTGCATAGTATTCCATGGTGTATATGTACCACATTTGCTTTATTATCCAGACCACCACTGATTGGCATCTAGGTTGATTCCATGTATTTGCAATTGTAAATAGTACTGCAGTGAACATGTGTGTGCATGTGTTATCATGGTAGAATAATTTATATTCCTTTGGATATATATATCCAGTAATGAGATTGCTGGGATGAATAGCAGTTCTCATACATTCTTTGAGAAATCTCCAAATTGCTTTCCACAGTGTCTGAACTTTTAAGAATTCTCTCTGGTAAGCTTCCTATGTTAAAATTTCTTCTAATTCACTCTTCCATTTTCCATGATGAGGTAAACCAGAGAATTTGCTCAAGAAAATTTTCTCAGGATTTTTGTGGTTTTATCACAAATCTGTATTTACTTTGTAAAAGATTTGTAGTTTATTTTAGAATAATTTATAATGCAGACATAATCATGTTGGACATTCTACAGTTAGAGAGAAAACCATTTAAATAGATGGTAATAGAAATAGCAACTCTGGAGGTTCATAGCAAAGAACTTGTGTGAGTTTATCTGCAGTCCCTGCAGTCTTTTTTTTTTTTTTTTTTTTTTTTTTGAGACGGAGTCTCGATCTGTCACCCAGGCTGGAGTGCAGTGGCGGGATCTCGGCTCACTGCAAGCTCTGCCTCCCGGGTTCACGCCATTCTCCTGCCTCAGCCTCCCCAGTAGCTGGGACCACAGGTGCCCGCCACCATGCCCGGCTGACTTTTTTTGTATTTTTAGTAGAGACGGGGTTTCACCGTGGTCTCCATCTCCTGACCTCATGATCCGTTCGCCTCGGCCTCCCAAAGTGCTGGGATTACAGGCGTGAGCCACCGCACCCGGCCCAGGCTGGACTGCTGAGGCAAGATCTCAGCTCACTGCAACCTCTGCCTCCTGGGCTTAAAAGATCCCCTCACCTCAGCCTCCTGAGTAGCTGAGATTACAGGCCTGTGTCATCTCACCCAGCTCAATTTTATTGTATTTTTTTGTGTGTTTTTTTTTTCATCATGTTGCCCAGGCTGGTCTCAAACTTCTGAGCTCAAGCCATTCACTTGCCTTGGGTTCCCAAAGTGCTGGGATTGCAGGCATGAGCCACCACAGCGGGCCAGACATTGTTCTTTAAATGTAGTTATTCATTTATAATAAATTAACATATTGAGCTAGATTTTTTTTATCATTGACATAAAAAGGCACTTTTTAAGTTTTTACCGCTATAATTTTGTTTCTGGATTATTTTCTCAGTACATTGATCTGTCTTCTATTTCTTGTCACTTCTATCATGCTAAAAATGTTATCTTCAATTGAAGCTGTACAGGTTTTCTCTGTCTTTAAGCCTTTCGATTCCCATATTTTTTAGGCTTTCAGATGATATTTTGTATCATTTTATAAAATTGCAGATACTACTTAACAAGATTGAGTTTTCCAACCACAAATAAAAAAAGAATCTTTTCATACTTTTAATTTTTGACAGTTTACTATAAGCTTTACTGGTTTTCTTCAAGCAGGCTTTACTTTTTTGCTGCTATGTTTACAACAGTTTTGGAAATTTGATTTTAAAAATTCTCATGTGTACGTGTCTGTGTGTGTGTGTCTGTGTCTACATGTATGTTCTTTTGGTAAATTACTGATTAAGTTAATTTTCTAAGATTTTAGTTCCACCTTGTGATGATAGTTTTTAAAGTTCTTACAAATATTATCATTTTCTAAATATAAAGCACTTTAAGTATCATACGATTTTGCTACTGAAAGAAAATTCAAGCACAAGTAACACTGAAATTATCTGGGCATTTATTAAAACACAGATTCTTCAACCATATTCAAGATGTAGTGATAAAGAATCTGCATTTTCCAAATTATCCAATAGTATAAATGTATATTAAAGTCTAAGAAACAGGACCACAGAAGGTAACTCTTCTTTAAAACTAAATCATCAGTAAAATCGTTAGTGAAAGTAGTTTTTGACAGCATTTTTAACTTTATTATTAATTTATTCAGATTTTACTTTTTTCTGCTACTATCTTTGAAAGTTTCTGATAGTCTTATGAAGTCACACACATGAACACACACACAGAAACGTATATATATACTTTAAAGAACAAATTTTAAAGAATTTTCAAATTTGTGTGGATTGTGTTAAAAAACCTATTTTATATGTTTTTAATTATAAATGCTATATACCTGAATTTTCTCTCTTCACTCTTTGTTAGGTACGCCAGATGTTTGTCTATTAATTTTAATATTGTCATTAAAACTCATTCAGTTTTATTTTTTGTCTGGTGGATTGAGAAATAATTAGGTATTCGGAAATTAATTCTACTTAGATGCACAAGTTGATGATTTTGACAAACACATATAGTCTGTCACAGAGTCAGGATATCAAAGATTTCCATCACCTCAAAAACTTATTTAATGCAACTTTTTTGTCACTCTCCTGCCTATGCCCCACCCCAAGCACCTGACAATGACTGACTGTTTTCTGCCTCAATTGTTTTTGCGTTTAGAGAATATTGCATAAATGGGATAATATAGGGGAAACAAAGGCCTAAAAGTTTTCATATGATGCAGTGCAACTCTGATTGGTAATTTTAGTTCCAGAGCTCCCTGTGGAGTGAACCAAGGCAGCACTGCAGCTCAACTTCTCTCTCTGGCCAGGCTTGCTTCCTTCTTCCTTCCACAGATTTTGTTTCTCTAATAAATATTCTTCCCACTAAACCATCTCCCTCTGCCTCCCCAAGAAAGAGATCTAGGATATTGGTCAATAGAAATTTTTGATGAGAAGGTGACACCTAAATAGAAAGTTGAAAATGACTATATTTCCTCATAAGAAGCCTTTATAATGTTGTTTCCAGCAATGAAAACAATGCCTTGGAAACACCCAGCAGCAAATAATGGAATGAAAATTTAAATGTTTAGATAAATAATTGTATGTGAGAATGTATAACTGCAGAGAGGAAATCAAAGTGAAAGTTTAGAAAAAAAATTATTTTGTTGGAATGCAATCATGCAATCATGATGGAGAAGAGGGAAAAATGAATGAAATCAAGAGAAATTCAATTTAGTAGAATGAAGAGTTGAAGATATTACAAGATAATACCGAGTATCATGCTTCATAGGAGAAGTGAATGGAATTTTATCTTCAGTTTTTCCTCGTTTTAGAAGGAAATAATTCAGTCTTGTACCACTAAGTGTAGCATGGGTTGTAGATTTTTCTTTGATTCTGTTTCTTAGCTTTCTGAGTTTTTATTATAATTAGACATTGTATTTTGTTAAACATGTTTATGTGTCTATTAAAATAATGTTATTCTTTTTTAGTCTGGTCTGTTGAGAATGGGAAATTAAATGATTGGTTTTTGAATGTTAAACCAACCTTGTAATTCCAGGAAGAGCATCATTTGGTCATGATGTGTTACTCATGTAATCTATTGATAGATTTAATTTGCTGTGCTGATGACCACAATGACACACACGACAACAACAACAAAAAAAAAAAAAGAGGAAAGAATGGAAATACTTGTAAAAGGTTTCTGCTAGAAGTAAGAAGTTATATAATGTTATTTCAAATAGTACTGAGACAATTCAAAACCATTATAATGTAAATCCCAGGACAATCACTTAAAAATTAGAGATATAAATACAAGACAATAATAAAAATACAATTAAATTATAACATTTTCTCCATTTAAAAGCAGACAGACAACAGAAAAAATAAAGTAATAAAAAATAGGAAAAATAGAATACAATAAAAAATGGTAGATTTAAATCTGTCATATGTATAATTACATTAAATATAGATGTTGAAAACACCTCAATGAAAGACAGAAAGCACTTGATTGAATTAAATAAAAACCTCTCAAATACAGGCTGCACTCAAGAATCTTACTTAAAGTATTAAGACATTTGGGATAAAGAAAAAACTGTGGAAAGATATAACACACTCACCCTAATCAAAAGCAAATTGAAATAGCTACATGAAATTGCTAAATAAAATTGAAATTTCACAAAAAATAGACTCAGAGAAAGTAATATTACCAACAACACGGGATGATATTTCAAATTAATAAAACACTCACAAAACAGCATAAGAATAAAAAGTGTAAATACTCAAAGGATACTTTTCTCTCATTATTAGAAGGGGAAAAATAGACAAAGGATCAGTAAAAAAGTTGAGGCACTGACATTATTAACCACCTTGAGCTAATTAACATTGACTGATAGAACACACTGAACTAAACCGACAGTATGTTCTTTGCAGGTTCATGCGGCACCTTCACTGAGCTAGTCCATATCCTTCACCATAATACAAATGGTGGTTGGAAACTAGTATGGAAGAATTAACATCTTACAAAGTCTTTTCTTAGACCACAACATAATTCAATTAATATTAAATAACATAAGGATGTCTGAAATATCTCAAAATAATTGAAAATTACACACCACATTTCTAACTACCAAATAAGTTAAAGTGGAAGCCAAAATAGATACTAGAAAACATATAAAAATAAATAAAAATGTTAACATGTATGAAGCGCTCCTAAAGGAATGTTTGTTTACAAGAAAATTTAGAGCATTAAATTCTTACATTAAAAAAAAATTGTCTCAAATCAATGATCTTACCTTCTGATACATGACACAGCATATCTTCAAAGCTATAACTAAAAAGTCAAGGTATTGAAAATTGTCAAGATTTTTTCTGTATTTATCAACAATCTTGAAAAACCTTATAAAAGAACTTTTAAAAAATTTTATCTGAACATCAGGCAGAAAGTTTGATAATTAAAAGATGTAATGAAGAGATTAAAATTTTTGTATATGTGTTCATTTTGTATTTTTCTGTAAAGTCCATCAGTCTAAATACCAGGTTCAAAAAATAAATATATTATGATGACTTTTTTAGTTTTTAGTTACTGAATTACCACTATTACTTTAAAAAAAAACTTTTAATTAAGTTTTTATAAGATTTTACATCATGAATTTACTTTAATCTGCATTATATCTAACAAGTTTGGGGACTTATCCAACATGTATTTTTTATATGTTGCTAATATTCTTTCAAGGTATGCCTAAGATACAATTTTTTGCCATTAAAATATAATATAGCGTCTTTTTGCCTTTATTTTATGTACATATACTAAATGTTTAAGGAGTCCTCTTTGTTTTTCATTATTGTGTAACATTTACATGCAATTTCAGTAAGTATTTCAATTTTTAAAATTTTAATTTCAGAGAGCAAATTATACTCTTTGCCCACAATTATCCTGACCCTGAATTTTCTTCTTTTTCCAATGAAAAGCCCTTTCTCATTTCAGAAGCCCATGGTCCTTATAAATATGTAAATAACTGCACAAAAGTTTACAATTTTTCCTGTGCTGCTTTCCTACAGATATTTGTTTTTAAACAGTGTACACCTGTCCTGGTTATTGGAAAGCGAATAACAAAATCTCCAAAAGTAAAAACTAAGTTCTGCCAAAGTTCACAAAAATATGCAAAGGAAACAAGATCCTTCCCAGTAACTACTCTTTTAAATGAGTTCAGACTTACCCTTTTCTTTGTCTTCTTTCAGAAAAAGTCTATGTTATAATATTTTAACCAGTCATCCATTCTGTATTACCCAGAGGCCTACAGCTGCTAAGGTCTGACGCTCTATCTAATGCCACTGGGGTGATTTTATTTTCTGTTGCCAGTGATTCAGTAGTTCCCCCTTACTCTCTGCTGAGTATTTATTCTCAGCTCCTGGAGTTTTCTCAAAACAAGTAGATAATGCAGTGTCCTTCAATAATTCATTTGACTCTTGTCATTGATATAACATGACTTTCTCAATTTTTTTATTTTAGAATTTCAGTTTTTTAAGTTAATTGGAATATTATAATGATATTGCCTATTTCATCAGATACTTTTAAATCTTAAAAGCATGAGTCATTTTGCCAACACAAAAGCCATGCATTTAAATACACAGTCTTAAAAATAGAGACAAAGCACTACTAAATAATGTGTAAAATATTGCCATTACTTTCAATGGCAAAAGCCTCAATTACTTCTGCACCAACCTAATATTTGTTTTTCTATTGGAATTATTAGTATCCAGTGTTAAGAAGATTAGTGAAACAATGCAAACTTAGTTTCTATTCATTGACATATTTTGTTTAAGATTAAGGATATAGTAATAGTACTGTAAACTTAATTAGGATATCTAAAAAATTAGGTGAATTACTGTCTAAAGTGCATACAGATAGGAGAAAAAAAAACTTGAAGGTAAGAAAAATGTAAAAAGGGAGCTAGGAAACATGAATTGTGCATTAACTATGTTCCTTGATCTTAGAACAATTGCTGGCACAGAGTGGACATCCAATACACTTAAAAATGTTATTTAAATGAATGATTAACTGACATGTTTGAGCAATTTTTAAACGTTTAACATGGGAATAAAAAATGGGGATAACATCTGTGATCAAATTACTGTGTTAATAAAGCAAATAACCTCTCTTTTGATTTATACAACCTGTCTTCTATGCTAACGGAGGTTGTCTACTTAAGACACAGTTAAAAGTTAAAAAGACACAGATACGCACATGCATATATTCACAGAACAAAAGATTGTATATAGGACAATCTCAGAACATCTAAATACCATAGACTCACATCAGCAGCAAAGATGGAGGTCAGTGGAAAAATTGCTTTGCATCGTGCTCTGTGCACCATTCTGAATGACCTTAGATATCTCGCAGTATTTAGAAACTGGCCGATGGCAAATAATTTAAATAATATTTACTGGACGTATTAAGTAGCATGATTTTTTAAAAAATTAGTGTATACGTCTGGTTTCTAAAAATATGTTAATTTATTTTATACTACGTTAACTTTATTTATACCTTAATAATAATGTATAATTTATTATACTTATTTCTATACAGTATTTTTATAATTTTTAGTAGTTAAAATGTTTGAATTGTACAACAAGCATCTTTACTTGGTAGCTATCATTAATTTTAACTACATTGCCCTTTCACAGATTGATTTTTGCCCCTATATATGCCAAATATATTTTCTCCAAACTTATTTTCTCGATATGGCTAAACATAATGAATATTTGAACATCGAAATTTCTGTTATAATATTGTAATCCCTTTCTGAAATTTGAACAAATTTGGTTAATTACTAATTTTTTACTGCCTTGAAGACATGTTTTGCTTTCTTGTTTCCAATGCTTATTTTTTCCTTTTTTGTGCATATTTTATGTATTTATTGGTTTTAGTATACTTTAAGTTCTGGGGTACATGTGCAGAACGTGCTGTTTTGTTACCTAGGTATACACGTGCCATGGTGGTTTGCTACACCCATCAACCCATCACCTACTTAAGTATTTATTTCTCCTAATGCTATCCCTCCCCTAGACCCCCAGCTGCTGATAGGCCCAGGTGTGTGATGTTCCCCTCCCAGTTTCCATGTGTTCTGCTTGTTCAACTCCCACTTATGAGTGAGAACATGCAGTGTTTGGTTTTCTGTTCTTGTGATAGTTTGCTGAGAATGATGGTTTCCAGCTTCATCTATATCCCTACAAAGGACATGAACTCATCCTTTTTATGGCTGTATAGTATCCCATGGTGTATATGTGCCACATTTTCTTTATCCAGTCTATCATTGATAGATATTTGGGTTGGTTCCAAGTCTTTGCTATTGTGAATAGCGCTGCAATAAACATACATGTTCATGTGTCTTTATAGTAGCATGGGCAAAGACTTCATGTCTAAAACACCAAAAGCAATGGCAACTTAAAATTGACAAATGGGATATAATTAAACTGAAGAGGTTCTTCACAGCAAAAGAAACTATCATCAGAGTAAACAGGCAACCTATAGAATAGGAGGAAATTTTTGCAATCTGCCCATCTGACAAAGGGCTAATATCTAGAATCTACAAAGAACTTCACAAATATACAAAAAAAAAAATATCAAAAAGTGGGCAAAGGATATGAACAGACATTTCTCAAAAGAAGACATTTATGCAGCCAACAAACATATGAAAAAATGCTCATCATCACTGGTCATTAGAGAAATGCAAATCAAAACCACAATGAGATAACATCTCATGCCAATTAGAATGACGATCATTAAAAAGTCAGGAAACCACAGATGCAATGCTTTCTTATAGTCAATGAATGTGAAGTAATTTGAAATTTCATATCGAATCTGAAGTTTAATTCTCTTTAACTGGTAGAATTGATGAATATAGTCCAAAGCTAGGTATCTCGGAAGAATCCTACATTTTATTTCTATTGATAACACAGTTTGAAGTTTAGGTAATGAACCCAAGAAGCATTTTAGTGCTGTTATACAGATAGAACTGTGTGACAGAAATAGGTTAAGCAAAGATGCCCTACACATTCTGCTGTTTCTTGAATGTATCCCCCTACAATTTACATGTTGGAGATAATACTCAATGCAACAGTGTTTGTACTGAAACCAAATAAGTGGTATTTGCATCATGAGTGATAAGCCTTCATAAATGGATTAATGTCATTATCATGGGAGTAGGTTAGTTATCAAGAGAGTGTTTTTTTAATAAAGCAAGCCTGACTACTGGTGTCTCTCTCACACACACTTTCTTGACTTTCTGCCTACTGTTATGGGATGACACAGCATAGGTATATTGTGAGCTTGCCCCAGGAGCTGGCAACATGCTCTTGGACTTCCCATACTCCAGAACCACAAGTTAAACAAATTTATGTTCATGATAAATGTAACCAGTCTCAGATATTCTGTTGCTATAATAGAATAGAATAATACTCTCTTGCTATAATACCCAATAATTTATTGGATCAATAACAACAAGAAGTTTCTTTATTTATGGAGTATTAACTTAAACTTTCTTACATATGAACAATGGCATACACCAGAGCAAGTCTCATCTAATACAAACGAAAGGTTTCCAGTGAGCCATTTTATCTAGAAAAGTGCTACTGCAGTTTGGCTGAGTTGTGCTTCTCAATTACATAGTATCTGGTAAGTTCAGAAGTAATGGGTATTAGTTGTGATAAGAAAAGTTATATAATTAGGATATTATTGAAAATAACGATGCCTACAAAATTAAACACACAGTATGTAGAGCAGTGTAAAGAAATAAATTATAGTTATAAATAAACTCAGCCAAAGCAGGCCATGAGGATACCTCCACTCTCCCAACTGTGGTCATAGTCAGGGTACTCTGGTCCCTCCACATCTTCTCAGAAGGTCAAATGCAGGGCTAGTGTTTGGCTTCCCCAGTGGCTGCTGATGGAAGCAGATAAAGCAACTCACAACTGAGAAGTGGGGCTACACTTGGCGAATGAGAATAGAAGGTAACCAATAAATAAATGCTTTACCTTGCCCTAAACCCCATTCTTCCAACAGTTCAGAGATGCTGTAGTTCCAAAATGACTACACTTGTAAAAAGCTGTGATCTCCCCTTGTATTTGTTTTCTTTCCCTCACACTTCATTTCACTCACTTTTGCTTTTCTGGAATTACACTCGCCACTAAAACATTAGCATACGTGCTTTAGCTTTCTGTTCTGTTTTCTAAGAAGTCTGGCCCAAAACAAGGATGAAAATGTTTAAACACGAAAATAGAGAATCTTTTCATGTCCTTGGTTTTCAAATACTAAATTCTCTACAGAAGTGGAGAGGAGTGTTGGCACAGATATTTGAGAGCAAGATGGAAAGAAAGATTTGAAAAAGCCAAGAGTCTATGAAACTACATGGGTTCCAAACAAAAGCTTCGACAACCACTTACAAGATAACTAAGTAGATAGAAATTTTCAAAATAGCTTTGAAGACACTGAGAGAAGTTAGGTTTTTGCCCTTACTCCTAGGCAAAGTCTACAAGGAAGTTGTAACATCCTAAAGAAGGAATTTTTACCCGAGAATTTTTTTTTTTTGAGATGGAATCTTGCTCTGTCGCCCAGGCTGGAGTGCAGTGGCGCCATTTCGGCTCACTGCAAATTCCGCCTCCCAGGTTCACACCATTCTCCTGCCTCAGCCTCCAGAGTAGCGGGGACTACAGGCGCTCGACACCACGCCCAGCTAATTTTTTTGTATTTTTAGCAGAGAGGGGGTTTCACCGTGTCAGCCAGGATGGTCTCAATCTCTGGATCTCGTGATCCGCCCACCTCGGCCTCCCAAAGTGCTGGGATTTACAGGGGTGAGCCACCGTGCCCCACCAAGAATTTTAAGTTAAAAGGGCTGTTAGAAATTAAACAGGGCCAGATGGCACTCCTCATTCAAAATCGTGGTAAATATAATTTATCAGGCAGGTACTTACCATGCAACATGCATATAATGTATGTAATTTTATATTTTTACAAATCTATTGGTAGTATTAATATTAATTTAACTGTGACTGTTCACCAAAATACCTAATATTTTAGTTTCAATGCAGCAAATATTTCTACCTACATGATTAACTTATTAACATATAAGGCTGGCCGCAGTGGCTCACACTTGTAATCCTAGCATTTTGGGAGCCTGAGGAGGGTGGATCACGAGGTCAGGAGATCGAGACCATCCTGGCTAACACGGTGAAACCCCGTCTCTACTAAAAACACAAAAAATTAGCTGGGCGTGGCGGCGGGCGCCTGTAGTCCCAGCTACTCGGGAGGCTGAGGCAGGAGAATGGCATGAACCCGGGAGGCGGAGGTTGCAGTAAGTCGAGATCGTGCCACTGCACTACAGCCTGGGCAACAGAGCGAGACTCTGTCTCAAAAAAAGAAAATAAATAAATAAATATATATATATATATATATATATATACACACATATATATATACACATATAATTACGATTTTGTAAAAATAGCAAATCTTTATTTTTTATAACTCTTTTCTTTTGCAGATAGTTTAAATAAAATTTTAGAAAATGTAAATAAACACAATAAAAGTATATAGTTTGGAATTGCCATATCACTCTTAAGACGTTATCTTTCATTCAAAACATATTTTTTCTAAACCAGTTTTCACACCAGCAAAGGTAATAACTTTGTTTTGTTGAATTTCATAAGACACAAGTAGAAAAATCATATGGCACTTATGTATCTTAGATAGAGTTAAGGTGAATGTTATCACTGTGTAATACAGACACATATATAGTATGATAATTGAGTGTTATATAGCTTCTGTGCTTTGCATAAAATTATTTCTTCTATGAAAAGGCTTTTATCAGTGACATACTTGGAAATTTAACAAAACTGCAACTAACCTAATATAATTTATTCCTAGGAAAAAACTTTTGGATGAAAAAACAAGATAATTTTTTTCCATTTGAATAGGAAAGGTAGCAATCTCAATAGATTTATTGAGCATGAAAACTTGAAATGCTATAATGCTCCTAAGGAATTAAATGATCCATTCATGAATCACAAAGAGGATATAAATTACCAAACTGTTTGTATAATTGTAATGTACAAGTACCCATTATAATACATTAGTTCAGGCTTCTAAAGAAATTCTCTAAAACAGTTTTGCTACCAAACTGCAGAAAGTGTGTTCTCTTTTCCTCTATATATTAGTATTGGGCCATTCATTTAGCTTTCAAAATTTGCTATTTAGCACAGGGCTTTATTCATCTGAACATGCAACAAGACTCTATTCCTACTGCTTGCAATTGAAGGATAGACTTCTAAAGTAAGAGGTAGAGCCTACAAAGGAGCTCAACAATGATGACAAAACTATATTTAAAAATACGTTGTGAGCCTTTACCTTGTGCCAGCTATCCTTCAGGGAATATAGAAATGAACAAGGCATCTGAAATACCTGCCATCAAAGGGCTTACATTCTATTGGAGTGCAAGGGTAAAGTAAACAGATAATGGTACAGTAAGTAAATGGCTGACGGTGATAAGTGTTACAAAACAAAATAAGGCAAGGTAAAAGCCAGTAGGCAACGTCAGGGGGAAGGTTATTTTTCTTTTATAATGGGATGTTATGTCTACTTATAACATTTTGTTTGAGTGGAAAGGCAAAGGAAGTGAGGGAAGATGACATGCAATTATAAAGAAAAGGGATGTCAGGCAGAGGGAAAAGCAAGTATAGTCATGTGTTATTTACCAACAGGAATACATTATGAGAAACTCATCTTTAGGTAATTTTGTCATAATGTAAACATCTTAGAGCACACTTACACAAATCTACACAGTATAGCCTACTACACACCTAGGATGTATGATACTGCCTGTTGCTCTAAGTTATAAACCTTTACAGCATGTTGCTGAACAGAATATTGTAGGCAATTATAACACAATGGTAAGTATTTTATTAAACATATCTTAACATAGAAAAAATAATGCATTGTGCTTCAATGCTACTAGGGTACCACATCACTTGGCCATAGAAATTTTGCAGCATCATTATAATCTTATAGGGCAACCATGATATATGTAATTCATTGATAACTAAAATATTGTTATGTGATGCATGACTATATTTCTGGAGAGAACAGCTTGTCTGTCGCATTTGAAGAACAGTGTGGAAAGCATACAAATGCAAAGAGGAAAAGAAGTAATGATGTATCAATTTTTAGTACAAAGGCACGCTTTTCACTCCGAGTGAAAGGGGAAGCTATTAGAGCACGTGTAACAGTGGAATGAAACCATCTGACTTTATCTTTAAGTGACATTGCTATGCCAGGAACAGACTATGGTGGAAGGAGGAGAGGTACAGGTGTAGAGGTAGGGAAACCTACAAGATCAATAATCCAGGTAACATATAATGGTGTTTTACCAATCTGGCGGTGATGGAAGCAGTAAGAAGTTATTTCTCTGCATATATTTTAGTGGTAGATAAATGCAATTTCCAGATGAGTGGGATGAGGTATGTGCAAGACAGAATGTGTCCAAATTTATTTTATGTGCACAACAGAAGAATGAAGTTACCATTTCCTGTCAGGGAGAGAACTTTGGGTAGAAGTGTTCTTTCTGATGAAATACCTCTAGGATGATTAGAATTTAGCATGACGGTGATTGAAACAGCAAGTCCAGAGCTCAAGAAGCAAGAGGTCATAGTATATTTGGAATACATTTCATCATAGACATGTTATATTGGGTCTTTCATTTATGAGAATGAATAAATGAATGAAGCCACCTGGGATCTGGTAAAACACAGAGCAAAAAGAAAGACTATGAATTTCAAGCTACAGATTTCAATGAAGGAGGGTATGTAGCCAGATGTGTTATTGAAGTAACCAACCAAGTGGGATGAACATAGACAATTGGGGTAACAGGGAGCATGAAAAAGTTTAGGTTTTATAAAGAAGTACAGCTCTTTGAAAAGCACATTTTAAAAAGAGTAAAGATGAGGCTGAAATACACTCCTTGCCTGGAGGAGAAGAACATTTGGAAACATGTTTATTAACCACTTAAAAAAAAGTCAGATGAATTAATATATTCAGACAAAAACTTAGTTTTACTAAGACAGAAGTAATAACATTTCAAAAAAGTATTTTATGATAGAGTAGAATTCATATTTCTCATGAAACACGGTATATAAAAAAGAGTGAAAAAGCTTGGAAGAAAAACAGAGCATACTAAAATAAGAATTAGGAAAAAGATAAATGAGTTGAGAACACTATATTTTTGACAATGACCTAATGTAACAGGAGTCTCTGGCTTGGTTGTTTAATGCTTTAAGATAATTTATGAAGATGCTTTTAGAGGTAAAAACAACAGCTTCTTTTATTTTTGAGAGCTAAATATAGAAGTGTCTTAAAAATAAGAGAAAAACATATATTAACCATAATCCAAAGAAAGTTTCAATGGTAATATTATGATGCAAAGTAAACTTCATGCAAACTTTATGCAAAGTAAACTTTAGAGCAAAATACATTACCAGACACAAGGTCATTTCAAAATATGAAAGAGCCAATTCTTCAAGAGGGAAAAATTCTTGAAATACACATACCTAATAATGTTCAAGATACATAGGACATAAAGTTATATCTTAGAGAAGAAATAGAAAAATTGGCAATTATGTTAGAAAATTTTAACACTCCTCTTGATAATTTGTAGAACAAATAGTCAGCAAATCTGTAAGATTTGGAAGACTTGGGCAACATTATCAACTAACTGGAAATGATTGATATAACAGAACAGTCATTACCATCAAAGAATAGGCATATGTTAATTGATGACCTTCTTTAAAAAGATAAAAGAGATAGTTCTAGCCAGACTTACCAATGTCAGAAATCAGAGGCATAGCATGTCCCTTGAAATGCACAAATTATTGAAGCTTCCTTAAGAAGAAACACACACTGAATAGACCTGCCACAAGAAAGTATATTTCAAATTATTATTATTTCACAAATTCCAGGCTGAGAAGCTTCATTTTGAAGTCCTACCAAATATTTCAGGATGAAATAATATAAATTCTACACAAATTCTTCAGAAGATTGAGAAAAAATACTTCGAAACTCATTCTTCAAAGTGAGCATTACTCTGATGCAAAAACAAGAAGAAATGAATTACCAAAAAATACAAATTAGTATTATTTATGTGTATACATATATTAAAGAGCCATAAATTAAATAAATAAACCCCCAAATATATAAACATCTAAATAAGTGATGACCAAATGAGGTTAAACTCAGAAATGCAAGTTTGGTTTAGCATTTTATAAAGTATATGTATTAACATTTAACAGCTTATAAAAGGACAGTCATTTGATGATTTCAATAGGTGTAGATAAATTGTTTAATAAATTCCAACATCTACTCCTGATAAAACTCTCATCAGACTAGGAATAAAAAAACTTCCTCCTTATGATAAAGGTCCATTTGCACCTTCTTTTCCAACATCATGTGCTCATTTTGAGTCTCTTCGTCACGTTTTGGTAATTATTACAAAACCTTTTTCATTATTGTTATATCTGTTATAGTGATCTATGATCGGTGATCTTTGTTGTTACTATTATAGTTTCTTCGGAGCACTGCAAACTGAACCCATATAGGATGTCAAACTTAATCAATACCTATTGTGTGTGTTCTGACTGCTTCACAGGGCCATGCCCTGTGTCTCTCCTGCTACTTGAGGGTCCTTACTCCCTGAGACATAACAATATTAAAATTAGGCCAATTAATAACCATATAATGGCCTCTAAGCATTCAAGTGAAAAGAAGAATCACACATCTCTCACCTCTAATCCAATGCTAGATATAATTAAACTTAGTGAGGATGGGATGTTATAAACTGAGATAGCTGCATTTGCTGTACCAAACAGTTATGCAAGTTATGAATGCAAAGACAAAGTTCTTGAAGCAAATTAAAAATGATAACAAAGTGAAACAGCCTTTTTGTTAACATGGAGAAAGTCTGAGTGTTCTGCCTAGACTAAACTAGCCAAAACATTTCCTTACGCCAAAGCCTAATCCAGAGCAAGGCCCTAACTCTCTTCAATTTTGTGAAGGCCAAGAGAGGTGAAGAAGTCATGGAAGAAAAGTTTGAAGCTACCAGAAGTTGGTTTATAAGTTTTAAAATAAGAAGCCATCCTCATAACATAGAAGTGCAGCAAGGTGAAGCAGCAAGTGTTGACGTAGACGCTGCAACAAGTTATCCAGAAGATCTAGCTAAGATCATTGATGAAGGTGGCTACACTAAACAACAAATTTTTAATGTAGACAAACAGCCTTCTATTGGAAGAAGATGCCATCTAGGGCTTCATAGCCGGAGAGGAGAAGTCAATACTTGGCTTCAGTGCTTCAAAGGATAGGCTGACTCTGTTGTTAGTGTCTAATGTAGCTGGTGACCTTAAGTTGAAAACAATGTTCATTGACCATTCTGAAGCTCTTAGGTCCCTTAAGAATTATGCTAAATCTACTTTGCCTGTGCTCTATTAATGGAACTACAAAGCCTGAATGGGAGGATATAGTTTACAGCATTGTTTACTGTATATTTTAGCCCACTGTTAAGACCTACTGCTCAGAAAATAGATTTTTTTCAAAATATAAATGCTCATTGACAAGCACTTGGTCACCGAAGACCTCTGCCGGAGAAGTAGAAGGAGATTAATGTTGTTTTCATGCCTGTTAGCACAATATCCATTCTGCAGTCCATGAATCAAGGAGTAATTTGGACTTTCAAGTCTTATGAATTAAGAAATACATTTCATAAAGCTATAGCTGCCATAGATAGTGATTCTTGTGATAAATCTGGGCAAAGTAAATTGAAAATCTTCTGGAAAGGATTCACCATTTTAGATGTCATTAAGGAAATTCATGATTCATAAAAGGAAGTAAAAATATCAACGTTAACAGTAGTGTGGAAGAAGTTGATTCCAACCTTAATGGATGACTTTGACTTCACTGCAGTAAGTAACTGCAGATGTGATGGAAATCATGAGACTAGAATTAGAAATGAAGCCGGAAGATGGAACTTAATTGCTGCAATCTCATTATAAAACTTGAATGGATGAGGCCTTTCTTCTTATAGACGAGCAAAGAAAATGTTTTCTTAAGATGGAATCTACTCCTGTTGAAGATGCAATGAACACTGTGGAAATGACAACAAAGGATTTAAAATATTACAAAAATTTGGTTGATAAAGCAGCAACAGGGTTTGAGAGGAGCGATTCCAATTTTGAAAAAAGTTCTGTCAGTAAAATACTATCAAACAGCATTGAATGCTCTAGGAAAATCTTTTATGAAAGAAAGAGTCAATGAACGTGGCAAACATTTTTGTCTTATTTCGAGAAAATGCCATAGCCACCTCAACCTTCAGCGACCACCACACTGATCAGTCAGTAGTCATTGACAGTGAGGCAAGACTCTCCACCACAAAAAAACATTATGACTCACCGAAGGCTCAGATAGTCCTTAGCATTTTTTAGCAATGAAGTTTTTAAAATTAAGATATATGCATTGTATAAACACAAATGTGTTCCACAATTAAGAGACTAGAGTATAGTGTAAACATAACTTTTATATGCCCTGAGAAATCAAAAAAATACTGTGACTTTTTTATTGCAATATTCATGTTATTGCATTGTTCTGGAACCAAACCCACAATACCTTCCAGGGATGTATGTAATTAATTTGACTTAATCAAAATAAAAACTTTTGCTTTTTGAAAACACTATTGAAAAAATTAAAGATGAAGAAGGGGGAGGAGGGAGTGGCAGCATAGCTGCTGTCATCACTGTGCCCCAAAAGGATTTGCACATCTTATATTTGATTAAGAATGTCTACTCACATTATTAGAAACAAAATTCTCCTCACTAATAGCAAAACAGTGTACCTAATTTTATCTATGGAGAAAATACTTAACCGCCATTTTTGCAAATACATAACAGCAAATACATTTTAGCAAATACATAACAGCCATTTTAGCAAATATACATGGTTGGCTTATAAGCACAGTAACAATTGAAAAAAAGGAAAATGTCTATCAATACAGCAATGATAAACAAATTATGATATGTCCATACAAAAGAATGCTACATAGCATATAAATGAAAGAACTGTTTATACACACAACTTGGATGCTTTTCAAAATAATTATGCTGAGTGGAAGAAACCAGACAATAAAGACTACACATCATGTGATTCTAGGACTGTAAAAACCTAGAAAATGCAAATTAACATATAGTCACAGAAAGTCACCAGATTTATCACTCTGATTTCGTCAAACTTCTGTTTTTTCATAAGTTCTTATACTTGCATCTTACAATATTTGTCACATGACATTGTGACCCAAACTCTTTTTCTTAATCTAACCTACTAGAGTAAGAACTCTAGAAGTTAGGAAACTCTCAGTTATCAGCAGAATTTCTATCACATAGTAAGTTTTCAAATATA
Organism: Homo sapiens; assembly: GCF_000001405.40. Lineage (NCBI taxonomy): Eukaryota > Metazoa > Chordata > Mammalia > Primates > Hominidae > Homo > Homo sapiens. Next base: position 32,374,576 of record NC_000004.12, on the reverse strand, counting down.
AAAGCTAGAGCCTTATAATGACATCTAAGCTTTTACATGAAGTCACTCATTTAGCCTCTTTGACCTCATTACTTGCCACTCTTCCATTCATTTCTGCAACCCCAGTGGTCTCGCCAGTATTCTTCAGATACGTTAGGCATGATTCAACCTGATGGCCTTTGCAATTGCCAATCCATTTGTCTGGAGTTGTCATACTACAGAGAGTTCTTGGCAAACTCCCTTGCCCTTTTTTGCTTAAACATTACCTTCACAATAACTAAGCTTCACTGCACTAAGCTTCCTATTAAAACTTTAACTTCCTATCCCAGCTCAGCAATCTTGATTCATCTTAGCCCAATCAATCCATTTTTTTTTCTTTTTTTCCCCATTGTACTCATCATCTTTGAACATGCTATATAATTTCTTTATTTAGGTTGGCAGCTTTGCTTTACTTTGTCTTCCTATTAAAATTAAAGCTCCAGAAAGACACATGTTTTTTTGACCAATGTGATCTAAAGTAATATCTACCATCTACTACAAAGTGATGATCAATAGTTATTTGATAAATTACTACCTAAATTAATGTTGAACAAATGCACAATTTTATGTCATTTTGCCTTCTTTCCTCAAAAAAAAAATTTTGTGAATGATAATTTAAGTTTGCTTTCAAAATATTAAATAACATGTAACAGACAAAATACATGAACCTTAAAGAAACAATCACATGAATTACCAAATAATAATTATTCAAAAAGTATAGATTTCCACACTGCTAGATTCTCTCTGAAGACCCTAAAATAACGCCCTCAAAAAAAAGAAACTTTAAAGCTCATATTTTGTAGAAAATTTAAGAAAATAAGAATTTTGTTCAGCAATTTGAAATATCACCAGTAATTTTAATAAATGTTTTTAATAAGTGTGAAATCATATCACTGAAGTGTACTAAAATTAGGACACCTGCTAAGGGTGAGAAGATGAGAGTAAACATCATTATTCCAAATAACCAAATTTTAGTACCTGCTTGAATCAAAGCATATGGATGTGTTCTTATTAGCAATAAAGAAATGCAGAACCAGAAACCATAAAGAGTAATATTTTAAATTTCTAAAGAACTTCAAAATAAAGGGTATACATCTTTTAAGTGCTACATAATGCTATATAATGATAAGGTGACAGGTTGAGACTAATAGCATTTTAAAAACTCTCCTCATAATGAAACTGAAGGTGTCATTTCCCTATAATTTTATATATGTCACTAATTTACTATATCTAGATACAACATATTACCAAACAGATGTTCATCAAGGACTAAATCATTTTTAATAGAACATAATAATTTAAATCTATACCTATTAATCATTTCTCATTCTAAGATTCATAATCTTGCTAAACATTTAATCAGTTGTCAACATTAAGAAAAACAGAAGAAAAAGTAGTCCTTGGAGAAGTATATTCCTTTCAAAACTGCATTTAAATGAAAATATTTGACAATATTTATTAAAAACACCAGATGTAATTTTAATAACTTGATATTTGACCAATTTACCCTATGTCATATTTGTTACAAAATAAGAAATATATATATATATATATATATATTTTATCTTTTTTAAATGTTTGATAAAGCACATTTAGTTGTATTATTTTTGTTGGGATATGTCAGCTAATAAAAATCGATAACTGGCATAAAGACATAGTGTTTTGAATTTATAGTTTCTGCCAGGATGATGACTTAGCTTTAGCTTCTAGACCCCTACTCCAAAATCAATTCTGGAGAGACTTCACAAGTGAGAAAGAAAAATATAATTCAGATACAAACAAAAAAACAAAGAAAAAATAAGAAACCTCTGGGAACACAAAGCTGTCTTGGGCTGATGTGTCTTAAGTTCTATTTCTGCTTTTGCAACAGTTTTTAACTGACACTTCACTGCAGAAATTAGACCAAATGACAAGAGGATATGAGGGTTGTGCCAAAGCCCTGAAGGGTAAGGACTTGATGAAGACTCAGTGGAGAAATCAGACCTCTAAGGAGTTACTGCTTCATATTTTCCTTCCGAATACCCAGGGCTGATGGATGATAAATTATGAAAATTGCTTTCTCCCAATGATGCTTCTCTATGAGGATTTAAAAAGTGAAATCTTGATCATAAGATTTGCCTCATTGAGTACTATCAAGTGGGAGTGGGAGTGATCCATATTTGTTCTGAAGAAATGGCAATCCTGAATTATCAACCTCATTGGTAGCCTTCTCATTAAATTCTCCAGGTCTTTCATGAAGTGGTGATGGGACTTCAGTCTGTTACTGATGCAAAATACTAGTTGGAGCATCCATTGCATAGAGATATGTGTACCCAGAGATATATACTGCCTTCTCTGCAGTTCAGTGCAGAGACATGGTTGAGTTCTAGACAAAGATTTGAACAGATAATTTGATAGTCACTCCCAGACTTGGCCCTAAAGAATATCTTCCATTTCTCATTTACTGTTTCTCTGGCGGACCCTGACTAACACTTCATGTCTTTGTGATAAGAAATAGTTAAGCTTTTCAGACACTATAGATACAGGATGGAAAGAAGCTATTCAGTATGTAATAAGTTTTGACTAGAATGAGAAGCAAAACTTTATTACATTAAACTATCAATATTTTATATTTTATTTTTCCCAAGGAAGCCCTAGCATACATTGACTATGCAGCTGCTAATAGTCTCTTATATAATTTCATCGAGAAAATAAACTCATAGTAAAAATAACTGCACATGAAAAATAGATTTTTTAAAGACAAGAGGTTCTACATAAAAATTAAAATGATATTATTGAAGCAGCCAGAAAAATAACTTAAAATTATCATAAAATAAAAAGTAAATATATATTTATATCTTTACCCACCCATATGTGCGTGTGTACAGAGAGAGAAAAAGAAAGATATCAATTTTAATTAAGTAATACATTAAAATTATTGAAATAAATAATGATTATTGCATAATTAGGGGAATATAGCTGTAAAATGAACAAGTGAATTGAAAAAAATAGATTAATTACCTTTGTTAAAAGGCAGCAGAAAAAGAAAAAATTAAAGAAGGAAGAGAAAATATTGAAATAAATATTGAAGATAAGTTTTAGAAAATTAAAGGAAGAAGAAAGACAACTGATTGAAAGCATGCCTATGAGGGCTTAAAAAAAACTCACATATATGATGGCAAGTTTTAAGAATATTAAAGACAAAGAGACAACCATAAATATTGCCCAAGAGAAAGAGCAGGTTACCTGATAATGTGAGAGAATTATACAGACAACAAATTTCTCAGCAACTACAGCACATATAAAAACACAGCTGAGTGTATATATGTGTGTTGGGGGGGGCACAGTTTTAAGCACAGACCAAAATGTATTTGAAACTAGATATTTCATATCAAGCCTAACTACTAATTAAATTAGAGGGCCTAATAAAAATCCAGCAAAGCATTTCAGGTCTTGAGATAGTTGTCATGGAGATACATGTTAAAGACAATTTTTAAAGAGTACTCAGACAATACAATAAACATAAAGTTGCAGTGAGGCTTGCTTAAAGTAAGGCTGGAAAACCATTATGGTAGAATTTATTATTGTTGCTCATAAAAAGGCTTGGGCAAAGGAAAATATGAGTTATATTAATAATAACCCAGAACTAAAATTCCAGAAAATATCTACATGATGTGTGGAGAGGCCTGGAAGAAAAAGTACTTAAAATTGTGCAAAAGTATTTGTTTGTAGTAGGAAAGATGTAAATATTGGTAAGTATAAGGTACCAATAGAGTCGATACATACAGGCTTGAGTCTTAAAGGAGGGCAATTAACATAACAAGAGTGGAAGAAAACATGATTTAGCCAATGGAAAAGATAAAATCAAAAACAAACAATAATAAATAAATAGAACTAAATAAAATACTTTAAAAATACTAAATAAATATGGCAGAAAAGTTTTAACAAAATATTAATTACAATAGCCATGAGTTAAACACAGTAACTAAAAGACAGAAATCCTCAGATATACAACAAAATGAGATCCCAAAATGTATTGTCTAGAAGAGACATAGTTAAAATAAACAAAAAGACAAAGAAGAATAAAAACAAAAATGTATACTAAATACATAGCTACTAAAATAAACTATAAAATAATATGTGTATATAATATGTATTATGTAACTACATTTATGTATTTGTGCACTTAATTATGAAATTTATCTACAGAAGACAGAATTATGTGCTTAGAGACACATTTTGAAGGAAAGATTGAATATTATAAACACTATAAATATTTATTTAATCCTTAAATTATGAATTTTCTAAATATCAGTAGAATTTGTTCTAATCTTTATCTTTAAATATATCCCAGGGGATTTTTTTAGTGGAGTCTGAAAAATCAGGCCATTTTGATGTGTACTTTTTGTTTGTTAGTTGAAATTTCAATAACATTTAATTGTGGAGTAAACCTATTTCATTGTTCTAGTAATTCTTGCCCTTGGCCTACACAGAGGATAATTGTGTGTGTGTGTGTGTGTGTGTGTGTGTGTGTTGTTTGTCAATTTCACTGTGCTATATTATTTTTAAGTAGATCTAATTTTAATAAATATAATTTTTGGAATTTTTAGGGGAATGAAACTTGTGTGAAATACAGAGCAAAATCTTCATCTTTGAAAAAGAATTTAACAGGCTGATTCCTAAAAATGTTCCAAAGAAGCACAAAGAAGATTAATTTTATTTTCAAGATAGACATAGAATTTATATTTAATGTAAATTTGGCCCATTTAAAAAAAAATCTAATTCTCCATATAAGTATATAACTATAGAAGTTAATCAATCTTAAGTATGTATTACTCAAAATTATTCTATGAATTTCTTTAAAATTAGCCTTCTCTGCATTGCTAGGCAGAATAATAATCAGCATTAGTAAATAAATTAATTGCTGTTCAATTTGTCTTTGGGTGCATTGTATAGAATTGGCCAACATCTATAATTTGGGTTGATGATGTACAATTTTTAAAAATTTGAATCCATATTCAAAATTAATGTTTGTTTTTTCTCTCCACGTGTCTTAATAAATTGCATAGTCTATCCTCATTGGAAATAAAATAAAATGTTATTTGATCTCAACCCTAGCTCTTTTAGAGGTTTAACTGCTAATATCTGCGCTTCCTTTAGAGAAGCGTAACAAAAAAAATAAGATCTGCTAATCCATGATGGTCTGTGGAACGTTTATTGTGAATTGCAAGGAGATAAAGAGCTCGTGCAAGAATGTAAAGCACTTTGTGACTAAACATGCTATTTATTTCAGCTGACTTTTGCTTTTCTTTATAGCAAGACATTCTCAAAAAATTAAGTATTATTTACTTTCTCTCTCAAGCTTCTTATCTCATCCTGGACCAATAACAGATAGTTCAAAGAGCAGCTACCTTGAGTGGCACAACTTTACTCAATTTCTAACATAAGCTTTAATTTATTGAAGTTGTGTCCAACTATGTTGACTTGATATAGTAAAAGACAGACATACAAAAAAGCATACTTAATTTATGTAGATTTCTAAGCTCTGTCTCTTTGTTTACATTGCTATAAGAAAGTGTATTAACATTTTCTAAATAAGAACCAGTGAAGTATTTTCAAAAAACAAACAAATATAAAATGCCAGAAGCACTACTAGGTCAGCCTTAGGCAAAAAGTGACTTAGAGCCCAGCTTACTTTAACCAACAATGTATACTACAGGCACTGAATATATTACCCTGAGGCAGTGATATCAAATTCTTTAGGTTAGAAAATTTTAAGAACAGTTTTGGTTGGCTGGTTTCATTTACAATTTGAAAGCGATTCTGTTGTTTGCACATTTTAATACTTGATTTTCCAGGAGTAATAACTATGATTTAAATTCACTCTGGTGTTTGACTTTAGGACGATTTTACTGAAACTGGATATAGTTTTGTCCTAGAAAACATACAAATTTTAAAATCATGCTTTTCAGATGTGACATCTTTTAGTAGTTGAGACTTCAGTATAAATGCAATAGGAAAAGAGAAATTCAACTATACAATATTTTCAACCGGTAAGTTAGAATGCACTAGAGGTCTAATATAAAATAGAGTGACCAAACTTCAATAAGATCTTATTTTCAATTCAGAATACATTTTATCATGGAACCTCTAAAATCAGAGATATCAATATTTACCACTAAAGTGAATAAACACTATTTCCTGAGATTCAAGGTTTATCCATATGCTCACCTGCCAGATGAATAATGGCTAAATTTTTTATCATAGATTCCTACCAAAATAATATACAGTCATTCCTCAGTATCCATGAGGAATACCATCCAGGACCTCCCATGGATACCAAAATCCATGAAAGTTCAAATCCTTTATATAGAACACTGTTAATATTTGGATATAACCTATGAACATCCTCTTTTATACTTTAAATCATCTCTAAATTACTTATAATACCTAGTACAATGTAAATTCTATATAATAGTTGTTATACTATGCTGTTTAGAAAATAATAATGAAAAATGTCTGTACATGTTCAGCGATTTTTTTCTGAATATTTTCTAACTGCAATTGGTTGAATCAATGGATAAAGAACCCAAGAATATGGAGAGCCAATTGTACTCCCCAAATGGGTAGTATTATGAATTTTCATTAACTTTTATTGATAATAGAGGGTGTAAGACCCGTTATAAAGGGAGTTAAAAAAATGACATTATTAGGGGGATATAGAAAGTATGTGATGCTAATGTAACAACTTTGCATATTTATCATATTAACATGACATAACAGGTCTCAAAAACATATTGCTTAGAATCATTGAATATTCCTTAAACCTATTCTGATAGCTCTTTTCTACTTTCAAATTGTAGCATTTAGGTATATGATAGGTGTTACTTACATAAAATAATCTCAACGAATATATATTTTTAAATTTCTAATAAAAGATAAACCCCAAAAGATTTCTTTTGTACTAATTTAATTAATGTTATTGAGTGACCTATTCCATCACGGTATTAACGGTTGTATAAAATTCATACCTCATGCAATAGATATAATTTTTCAGACACACTAATTAAAGATAAACAACCAAAAAAAAAAACTTCTGTGGTTTTTTTCTACAATCATGATTATATAACTATATTAGAAAATCTTTGCCCATAATATAGCAATGAGTAGAAATTACACAGGGTCTGTGACGGGGTTATTGATGAATAGGCTCCAATATTAACTTATGTAGACTTGTATTAAGTTCACTGTAAAATATAACACGACAAAGCAGACTCCAATCATAGAAAATACCCAGGTAATACTCATTAATTATTTTATTTTTTATATGTACATCAGGAGTGTAGCAAACAACCAATATTCTACTTAGTATATTTTGAAAATAACAAAAGAAGCAAACCTAAGAATTAGAAAATTATAAACTACTTGTAAACATTACTTTGTCCACGTCTTAGGGACAGATGAAAACAGAAATAAAACAAAAACAGTTGAAAACTTCACAAGACTTTTACTATGTTTTCTACTTTGTTTTCCTTAAAAAAAAATTTGTAACCATTAATGAAGAGTAGCATTAAACTCGACTTTAGAAATTATTTTTTCCAGAAGTTATATTAGTTTGATGATTAATTCAAAATAATTCTGCTGAAAGCTTTAGGTTTTCTCAGTGAGTTCCTCTTCATAAACAATTGAGTCAGAAGGTGTAAACTAAAGATAATGAGAAATGTTATTGGAAGAGAATATTCTCCTCTTAATATATTTCAAATATTCTACACAAGGCAAAGTGTGTCTGAGTAATCTTTAGGTTAGGTAACTTTTAGAGGTGTATGTTTCCTAAAGTATTTTTAAACTACCTTCTCTATGTAAAGTTCCTAGAGTGAGCTTTGAGGAATGTGTTAAGAAATTATAATGAGGAATAAGACATGGTCCTTACTTCAAGAATCATATACTATACTAAGTTTTAAGGGACAAAGCAGCATCTCTTCTCTAAGAAAAGTATTCTGGGGGAGGAGCCAAGATGGCCGAATAGGAACAGCTCCGTTCTACAGCTCCCAGCGTGAGCGACGCAGAAGACGGGTGATTTCTGCATTTCCATCTGAGGTACCGGGTTCATCTCACTAGGGAGTGCCAGACAGTGGGCGCAGGTCAGTGGGTGCACCCACCGTGCGCAAGCCGAAGCAGGGTGAGGCATTGCCTCACTCGGGAAGCGCCAGGGTTCAGGGAGTTCCCTTTCCGAGTCAAAGACAGGGGTGATGGACACACCTGGAAAATCGGGTCACTCCCACCCGAATATTGTGCTTTTTGGACCGGCTTAAAAACCAGCGCACCACGAGATTATATCCCGCACCTGGCTCGGAGGGTCCTACGCCCACAGAGTCTCGCTGATTGCTAGCACAGCAGTCTGAGATCAAACTGCAAGGCAGCAGCGAGGCTGGGGGAGGGGCGCCCGCCATTGCCCAGGCTTGATTAGGTAAACAAAGCAGCGGGAAGCTGGAACTGGGTGGAGCCCACCACAGCTCAAGGAGGCCTGCCTGCCTCTGTAGGCTCCACCTCTGGGGCCAGGGCACAGACAAACAAAAAGACAGCAGTAACCTCTGCAGACTTAAATGTCCCTGTCTGACAGCTTTGAAGAGAGCAGTGGTTCTCCCAGCATGCAGCTGGAGATCTGAGAACGGACAGACTGCCTCCTCAAGTGGGTCCCTGACCCCTGACCCCCGAGTAGCCTAACTGGGAGGCACCCCCCCAGCAGGAGCACACTGACACCTCACACGGCAGGGTATTCCAACAGACCTGCAGCTGAGGGTCCTGTCTGTTAGAAGGAAAACTAACAAACAGAAAGGACATCCACACCAAAAACCCATCTGTACATCACCATCATCAAAGAACAAAAGTAGATAAAACCACAAAGATGGGGAAAAAACAGAACAGAAAAACTGGAAACTCTAAAACGCAGAGCGCCTCTCCTCCTCCAAAGGAATGCAGTTCCTCACCAGCAACGGAACAAAGCTGGATGGAGAATGACTTTGACGAGCTGAGAGAAGAAGGCTTCAGACGATCAAATTACTCCGAGCTACGGGAGGACATTCAAACCAAAGGCAAAGAAGATGAAAACTTTGAAAAAAATTTAGAAGAATGTATAACTAGAATAACCAATACAGAGAAGTGCTTAAAGGAGCTGATGGAGCTGAAAACCAAGGCTCGAGAACTACGTGAAGAATGCAGAAGCCTCAGTAGCCAATGCGATCACCTGGAAGAAAGGGTATCAGCAATGGAAGATGAAATGAATGAAATGAAGTGAGAAGGGAAGTTTAGAGAAAAAAGAATAAAAAGAAATGAGCAAAGCCTCCAAGAAATATGGGACTATGTGAAAAGACCAAATCTATGTCTGATTGGTGTACCTGAACGTGATGGGGAGAATGGAACCAAGTTGGAAAACACTCTGCAGGATATTATCCAGGAGAACTTCCCCAATCTAGCAAGGCAGGCCAACGTTCAGATTCAGGAAATACAGAGAACGCCACAAAGATACTCCTCGAGAAGAGCAACTCCAAGACACATATTTGTCAGATTCACCAAAGTTGAAATGAAGGAAAAAATGTTAAGGGCAGCCAGAGAGAAAGGTCGGGTTACCCTCAAAGGGAAGCCCATCAGACTAACAGCAGATGTCTCAGCAGAAACCCTACAAACCATAAGAGAGTGGGGGCCAATATTCAACATTCTTAAAGAAAAGAATTTTCAACCCAGAATTTCATATCCAGCCAAACTAAGCTTCATAAGTGAAGGAGAAATAAAATACTTTACAGACAAGCAAATGCTGAGAGATTTTGTCACCACCAGGCCTGCCCTAAACGAGCTCCTTATGGAAGCGCTAAACATGGAAAGGAACAACCTGTACCAGCCACTGCAAAATCATGCCAAAATGTAAAGACCATCAAGACAAGGAAGAAACTGCATCAACTAACGAGCAAAATCACCAGCTAACATCATAATGACAGGATCAAATTCACACATAACAATATTAACTTTAAATGTAAATGGACTAAATGCTCCAATTAAAAGACACAGACTGGCAAATTGGATAAAGAGTCAAGACCCATCAGTGTGCTGTATTCAGGAAACCCATCTCACGTGCAGAGACACACATTGGCTCAAAATAAAAGGATGGAGGAAGATCTACCAAGCCAATGGAAAACAAAAAAAGGCAGGGGTTGCAATCCTAGTCTCTGATAAAACAGACTTTAAACCAACAAAGATCAAAAGAGACAAAGAAGGCCATTACATAATGGTAAAGGGATCAATTCAACAAGAAGAGCTGACTATCCTAAATGTATATGCACCCAATACAGGAGCACCCAGATTCATAAAGCAAGTCCTGAGTGACCTACAAAGAGACTTAGACTCCCACACATTAATAATGGGAGACTTTAACACCCCACTGTCAACATTAGACAGATCAACGAGACAGAAAGTCAACAAGGATACCCAGGAATTGAACTCAGCTCTGCACCAAGCGGACCTAATAGACATCTACAGAACTCTCCACCCCAAATCAACAGAATATACATTTTTTTCAGCACCACACCACACCTATTCCAAAATTGACCACATACTTGGAAGTAAAGCTCTCCTCAGCAAATGTAAAAGAACAGAGATTATAACAAACTCTCTCTCAGACCACAGTGCAATCAAACTAGAACTCAGGATTAAGAATCTCACTCAAAACCACTCAACTACATGGAAACTGAACAACCTGCTCCTGAATGACTACTGGATACATAACGAAATGAAGGCAGAAATAAAGATGTTCTTTGAAACCAAGGAGAACAAAGACACAACATACCAGAATCTCTGGGACGCATTCAAAGCAGTGTGTAGAGGGAAATGTATAGCACTAAATGCCCACAAGAGAAAGCAGGAAAGATCCAAAATTGACACCCTAACATCACAATTAAAAGAACTAGAAAAGCAAGAGCAAACACATTCAAAAGCTAGCAGAAGGCAAGAAATAACTAAAATCAGAGCAGAACTGAAGGAAATAGAGAAACAAAAAACCCTTCAAGAAATTAATGAATGCAGGAGCTGGTTTTTTGAAAGGATCAACAAAATTGATAGACCGCTAGCAAGACTAATAAAGAAAAAAAGAGAGAAGAATCAAATAGACACAATAAAAAATGATAAAGGGGATATCACCACCGATCCCACAGAAATACAAACTACCATCAGAGAATACTACAAACACCTCTACGCAAATAAACTAGAAAATCTAGAAGAAATGGATAAATTCCGTGACACATACACTCTCCCAAGACTAAACCAGGAAGAAGTTGAATCTCTGAATAGACCAATAACAGGAGCTGAAATTGTGGCAATAACCAATAGTTTACCAACCAAAAAGAGTCCAGGACCAGATGGATTCACAGCCGAATTCTACCAGAGGTACAAGGAGGAAGTGGTACCATTCCTTCTGAAACTATTCCAATCAATAGAAAAAGAGGGAATCCTCCCTAACTCATTTTATGAGGCCAGCATCATTCTGATACCAAAGCCAGGCAGAGACACAACCAAAAAAGAGAATTTTAGACCAATATCCTTGATGAACATTGATGCAAAAATCCTCAATAAAATACTGGCAAAACGAATCCAGCAGCACATCAAAAAGCTTATCCACCATGATCAAGTGGGCTTCATCCCTGGGATGCAAGGCTGGTTCAATGTACGCAAATCAATAAATGTAATCCAGCATATAAACAGAACCAAAGACAAAAACCACATGATTATCTCAATAGACGCAGAAAAAGCCTTTGACAAAATTCAACAACCCTTCATGCTAAAAACTCTCAATAAATTAGGTATTGATGGGACGTATTTCCAAATAATAAGAGCTATCTATGACAAACCCACAGCCAATATCATACTGAATGGGCAAAAACTGGAAGCATTCCCTTTGAAAACTGGCACAAGACAGGGATGCCCTCTCTCACCACTCCTATTCAACATAGTGTTGGAAGTTCTGGCCAGGGCAATTAGGCAGGAGAAGGAAATAAAGGGTATTCAATTAGGAAAAGAGGAAGTCAAATTGTCCCTGTTTGCAGATGACATGATTGTATATCTAGAAAACCCCATTGTCTCAGCCCAAAATCTTCTTAAGCTGATAAGCAACTTCAGCAAAGTCTCAGGATACAAAATCAATGTACAAAAATCACAAGCATTCTTATACACCGACAATAGACAAACAGAGAGCCAAATCATGAGTGAACTCCCATTCACAATTGCTTCAAAGAGAATAAAATACCTAGGAATCCAACTTACAAGGGATGTGAAGGACCTCTTCAAGGAGAACTACAAACCACTGCTCAAGGAAATAAAAGAGGATACAAACAAATGGAAGAACATTCCATGCTCATGGGTAGGAAGAATCAATATCGTGAAAATGGCCATACTGCCCAAGGTAATTTACAGATTCAATGCCATCCCCATCAAGCTACCAATGACTTTCTTCACGGAATTGGAAAAAACTACTTTAAAGTTCACATGGAACCAAAAAAGAGCCCGCATCGTCAAGTCAATCCTAAGCCAAAAGAACAAAGCTGGAGGCATCACACTACCTGACTTCAAACTATACTACAAGGCTACAGTAACCAAAACAGCATGGTACTGGTACCAAAACAGAGATATAGATCAATGGAACAGAACAGAGCCCTCAGAAATAACGCCGCATATCTACGACTATCTGATCTTTGACAAACCTGAGAAAAACAAGCAATGGGGAAAGGATTCCCTATTTAATAAATGGTGCTGGGAAAACTGGCTAGCCATACATAAAAAGCTGAAACTGGATCCCTTCCTTACACTTATACAAAAATCAATTCAAGATGGATTAAAGACCTAAAACCATAAAAAACCCTAGAAGAAAACCTAGGCATTACCATTCAGGACATAGGCATGGGCAAGGATTTCATGTCCAAAACACCAAAAGCAATGGCAACAAAAGACAAAATTGACAAATGGGATCTAATTAAACTAAAGAGCTTCTGCACAGCAAAAGAAACTACCATCAGAGTGAACAGGCAACCTACAAAATGGGAGAAAATTTTTGCAACCTACTCATCTGACAAAGGGCTAATATCCAGAATCTACAATGAACTCAAACAAATTTACAAGAAAAAAACAAACAAACCCATCAAAAAGTGGGCGAAGGACATGAACAGACACTTCTCAAAAGAAGACATTTATGCAGCCAAAAAACACATGAAAAAATGCTCATCATCACTGGCCATCAGAGAAATGCAAATCAAAACCACAATGAGATACCATCTCACACCAGTTAGAATGGCAATCATTAAAAAGTCAGGAAACAACAGGTGCTGGAGAGGATGTGGAGAAATAGGAACACTTTTACACTGTTGGTGGGACTGTAAACTAGTTCAACCATTGTGGAAGTCAGTGTGGTGATTCCTCAGGGATCTAGAACTAGAAATACCATTTGACCCAGCCATCCCATTACTGGGTATATACCCAAAGGACTATAAATCATGCTGCTATAAAGACACATGCACACGTATGTTTATTGCGGCATTATTCACAATAGCAAAGACTTGGAACCAACCCAAATGTCCAACAATGACAGACTGGATTAAGAAAATGTGGCACATATACACCATGGAATACTATGCAGCCATAAAAAATGATGAGTTCATGTCCTTTGTAGGGACATGGATGAAATTGGAAATCATCATTCTCAGTAAACTATCGCAAGAACAAAAAACCAAACACCGCATATTCTCACTCATAGGTGGGAATTGAACAATGAGATCACATGGACACAGGAAGGGGAATATCACACTCTGGGGACTGTGGTGGGGTGGGGGAGGGGGGAGGGATAGCATTGGGAGATATACCTAATGCTAGATGACGAGTTAGTGGGTGCAGCGCACCAGCATGGCACATGTATACATATGTAACTAACCTGCACAATGTGCACATGTACCCTAAAACTGAAAGTATAATTTATAAAAATAAAATAAAATAAAATAAAATAAAAAATTAAGGAGCAGGAAAAAAAAAAAGAAAAGTATTCTATTAGGTTGGTGCAAATGTAATTGTGGCATCATGTGATAGCTCTATTTTTATTTTTTGAAGAAACTCCCTACAATTTTTCATAATGGCCGTACCAGTTTACATCCTCATCAAGAGTGTTCCAGGGTTCACTTTCTCCACATCCTTGTCAACACTTGTTATCTTTGATAGCAGCCATCCTAACAGGAATGAGGTGAAATGTTATTATGGTTTGGATTTTCATTTCCCTGATATTTAGTGAAGTTGAGCATTTTTATATACTGTAACAGCAGAAACCACAATTACGTTTGCACCGACCTAATACCATTCTCTGTATATATACATATATATGTAAATATATATGTTAATAATATATAAATATTTAATATACAAATATTTATATATTAAATATTTAAATATAAATTTAAATATTTGCATATATTTACATATATATGTCTATATAAATAGAGGTATACATGTACATATGTGTATATATATTCATACATTTACCCACATATGTGTATATTTATATATTTATATATTTTTCCTATTTTATGATATCCATATAAATAAATTTTAAACTCAAGGGAGGAGACAAATTTGCCTTATTTGTTCCTTAGTTTACAATTTAAAAATTCAGTATGGTATTGGCATAAATACACAGATGTAGATCAATGCAACAGAATAGAGAGGCCAGAAATAAATTCATGCATTTATGGCCAACTCATCTTGGACAAGGATGCCAAGAACATGAAGTGGGGGAAGGACAGTCTCTTCAATAAATGGTCCTGAAAAAACTGGATACTCCACATACAAAAGAACGAAATTGAGCCCTTATACCATACATGAAAATCAACTCAAAATGGGTTGGAGACTTAAATGTAACACCTGAAATTGTAAAACTACTAGAAAAAGAAAACAAAAAAAAAGCATAGGAGGAAGGCTTCTTGACACTGGTCTTGGTAATACATTTTTGGTTGTAAAACCAAAGCACAGTCAGCAAAAGCAAAAACAGACAAGAGGAATGACACCCAATAAAAAGCTTCTGCACATAAAAATAAACCAATGATAGGGTGAAGAGGGAACTTATGAAGTGGAAGAAAATATTTGCAAACCATATAAGGCATTAATTTCCAAAATATTTAAGGAACTTCTACAATAGACAGAAAAAAACCAAATCGCCCTATTACAAAATGGGCAAAGGGCCTGAATATTCATTTTTCAAAAGAAGACATGCAAAAGGACAACAGATATATAAAAAAAAGCTCAACTTCACTAATCATCAGGGAAATGAAAATCAATACCATAATAAGAAACCACCTCATTCCTTTTCCGATGGCTGCTATCAAAAAGATAAAAGATAACAAGTGTTGACAAGGATGTGGAGACAGGGAACTCTGGCACACCCTTGATGAGGATGTAAACTGGTACAGCCATTATGAAAAATTGCATGGAGTTTCTTCAGAAAATAAAAATAAAGGCCAGGGGTGGTGGCTCACGCCTGTAATCCCAGCACTTTGGGAGGCCAAGGTGGACGGATCACGAGGTCAAGAGATCGAGACCATCCTGGCCAACGTGGTGAAACGCTGTCTCTACTAAAAATACAAAAATTAGGCAGGCCTGGTGGCACGTGCCTGTAGTCCCAGCTACTCGGGAAGCTGAGGCAGGAGAATCGCTTGAACCTGGGAGGCGGTGTTTGCAGTAAGCCGAGATCACACCACTGCACTCCAGCCTGGCAACATAGCGAGACTCCGTCTCAAAAGTAAATTAATGAATGAATAAATAAATAAATAAATATAGAGCTACCGCATGATCCAGCAATTCCACTTCTGGGTATATATGCAAAGGGACTGAAATCAGGCTCTTTAAAAGATATCTACATTCTTGTCTTCACTGCCGCATTAATCAGAGTAGCCAATATATGGAAACAATCTAAATGTCCAGTGATGAATAAAGAAAATTGGTAAATGTATACACAATAGATTATTATTGTGCCTTAAAAATGAAGAGCCTGCTTTTTGTGACAACATGGGTAAGACTGAAGTATGTTGTGCTAAGTGAAATAAGCCAGATGCAGAAAGACACTGCGTAGTATCATTTATACATAGAGAATACAGTCAGAGTTATAGAGGCAGAGAGTAGAATGGCAGTTGTCAGGGGCTGAGAAGAGGGGGTAATGGGGTTTTGTGGTAAACGTGTACAGTTCCAGTTACATATGATGAATAAGTTCTGGAGATCTACTGTGTATCATAGTAATGATAGTTAACAGTACTGTATTGTATACTTGAAATTTGCTAAGAAGGCAGACCTTAACTCTTTTCATCACAAAATAAATGAGGGAAATAGCAACTATGCAAGGTGATGCATATGTTATTTAGCTTGATTGTTGTGATCATTTCACAATGTGTGTGGTTCACAACATGAAGTGGTACTGCTTAAATATATATAACTTTTATTTGTCAATTATATCTCAGTGAAGCTGTTAATGGATACTTATTTCAAAACAGAGAATCTGGTAGAAGTTTAATGGTGAGAATACTTATATTTAGAGGTGATTGACCAAATATTAATAAATTTTAAAATGGAAGTGAATTATGACACATAACAATGCGGCAAATAATTAGATCAAAGCCACTTACTATGGTCAAAAGACACTGGCTTTGGATCTGATAAAGAGACCTTTGCCCTTTGGAGGAAGAAATTGGGGGTCTTGGGATTTTACAACTAATTTTCAGAATAAAGGCAGAGAGGATTATCTAAGCTGCAGCCAAAATCTAATATGAAGCATCAAGAAAATAATCCTTTTTCAGACAATGGGTTCTTCCAAATGACCATGTTACAAAATAGATAGATGGACCATGCAGACCTGTAACTACAAGAACGACACGCTGCCTGGAAGGTGATCAATG
Source organism: Homo sapiens (assembly GCF_000001405.40). Classification (NCBI taxonomy): domain Eukaryota; kingdom Metazoa; phylum Chordata; class Mammalia; order Primates; family Hominidae; genus Homo; species Homo sapiens. Next base: position 32,357,618 of record NC_000004.12, on the reverse strand, counting down.
CTTTTAAAAAATAATGAATAGTATTAGCCTTTTAAAAATAGTCAGAGAAAAAATACTAATTGTCTCTCTTTTTAAAGGAGGTAATTAACAACAACAAAAAGCTACGTGAGGCATACCAAATTAGTAGCAAATATTGGACATTAGATGTTGTCGAAGAATGAATGCAGAGGATAGAGGCTATGGTACAGAATGATGGAAGGGCACCAAGATGGCAGAGTACAATCGAAAGACTCAACGTAGTAAATGCAGAGGAAATTACTCATTATCTAGAGATTGTAAGGAGTTGCATGGAAAGCAAAAATTAACAATACAGATCATGAAAAAAGAGAGAAAACAGGCAGACCTGAGGAAACGTTTACAACATTTTAACCTCTTAAGCGACCAGGGTAAAGTAGAAAAAGAGACAAAAGTCTTTATAAAACTAAGCAAAGATATGCAAATCATTGTCACACTAGTGACTTCTACCACACCCTGTGATAATAATAATATTAATGTACTGAGGACAACCACCTGCAAATTACATTTTACAAAGTGGTTTAGTTAGAGCTACCAGAGTGATGGAGCTCACAAAGAATCAAAGGGAAGAAAATGATGTATATGTTAAAAAATGCTTAATGTAAGCTGTACGTCCTTCCATTTACCACCAACCTGGACCTTCTCCTGCTGAGTCAGTGTGTGAATCTTATAGTTATAAATCCACAGTGCATCATCTATTCTACCCCATAACAACATTTGGAAGGACCTATGATCTGGAAACTCACTTATTTATCTGTGACTTCTCTAAGTTTTTGGCTGCTGTTTAGATTATCCACTCCACACTTACCATCACCATGGGAAGTGGGGGCCACCGACAAGAAGCAGCAGCAATAAAGGAAATCAAGACTTCTATAAATATATTTAAGAAGCAGAGCATGAGACACTAATTTCTTTTTCTGCCAAATAAATTCTTGCAATAATGAAACCATATAAGAAGAGAGTCTGCAGTCCACAATGACGTTATCCTACTGGACTCAGAATCTTTTTACATATTTTCCACCTCTGATCAATGTAGTTAACCTATGAATGTTTAACATAATTATAAGTAACTAATATCATCTGAATTATTTCAAAGCTCATTTAAGGCTTCTGACATTCATATATTCTGGGAGCATCTATTAAGCTTCTTCTCTGTATAGAACCCTTTACTATAGTACCTGCCTTAATGGAACATTAAGTCTAAAGAAAATCCAGGCAATATACGAGGAAACAAGCAATACAAATAAAATAAATACATTTTGTGATTATATAGTCTGGTGATGTCACATTACATTGATATGACAATGATGAGAAGGATCTACACTTTTTATAAAAGATTTTGCTTCATATATAAATTGATATTTAGGGAAAATTATATTACTGGGGATGTTCTGCACCATGTAAAAATACTCTGTTATGAGCTGACTATTGTTCCAACTGTGACCCTGGCTTTGTTCGTGTATCATGTGTTAAGCCTGAGTTTCAATCATTCTACTGGAAGCTGGTTATAAAACTGCTTACATGTACCTTCAACCTTGCCTCTGGTGGATAATGAGATATGTTTTTGTAAGATACGAGTTTCATGTGTAGACGATGTAAGAAAAAAATTACATCTTTAGTTAACTCCTTGTAATAATTTGTATTGTTTTTTAAATCTATTTGCTTAATTCCAGAAGAGTTATTCTATTATACACCACTGATATCAAGAGTGTCTAATATTGCCTTTCTTTGGTCAATGTGTCATTTGGAGAGATTTAAGAGCCAGCTGGTCGTCTGTCACAGCTCTTTTCTTCTGCTAAAAGATTAGCAGTCTTCTAGATGAAGACGCTCCCTCAGGTTGGTCCTGGTAGGCAGATGGCATGCACTGACTGATACATAGCTTGAAAAAGGGAAGACAAAACAGAACAAAACAAACAACAACAACAACAATAAAATATTTTTATTGCTGTAGTCCATTGAGATTTGGGGATTAATTGTTCCCTCAGTACAGCATAGTTTCATTTTTTTGATTGACTCTCCATAAACAACATCCTTAAAAAAATCCCATATATATACCTTGTAATTCAGGCCTCCTTGCTACTTGATATAAAGAAACAAACAAAATGTATACAAAATTGGAGATTCAACTGAAAAACTGAGTTCTCTCTTGTAGCTAAAGGTTTACATAACCAATACTAAACTCAACACATTTTCATTAGTCTCAGTATTACATTGTAATGATGCCGTACTTCAAACTAGATGGAAGCTTCTTAAAGTTAAACATCACAGTTTTTACCTCCAGTATGTCCACAGACATTCCTAACGCTGTTCCTAATAAGCACTTATTAAAGTAGGCTAACATCAATTTTTCTAAAAAAAGATATATTTGAATGATAAAAATGGAAAATATAAGAGTATGCTGAATCCTAAGAGCAAAGATAGAAAAGAAAATAAACATGCTCTAGAGATTTCCATTAAAAAGAAAAATGACAAATAGTGCAAGGAATTTAGAAAATTGATTACCATAGGAGATTCTTGAGAGAAAAGATAGAAGCGACATTTTTAGAAAACAGCAAATGAGTAGAGGGCAAATTAATACTGCCTCTATAATAATGGATCCTTTTCTGTTATTTTACTTATTTAGGTATTAACTGGTAAATAGAAACATTTATGTTTATGAATAAAGTGTCATTTTTTCTGTTCAGTGTGAAAATGTGTCACATATAGTATCTAAGCTTAAAGATATAGTAGGATCTTATAACACCCACACTGTCTAAACATCTAATTTGTAAATACGGTTAGAGAAAGCATAGGGATAGCAGCCTTATGTGGTTCTCATCTTAGAATTAAGTATGTTCATTAATGAAGACTACTTTAGAAGTTTTAAGTGATCAGTTGCGGGCAATTTTCCTAACTCTGCCAGCCCCTTCCAGTTCTCCCCCACCACAACCCCTTAGGAATATTAATTTCATTTATCTATTTGTATTTTATGTTACTGTCTTGCTGGCTTTTGGTCTTTGTTGCCTCCCTCTCTTCTTTCTTTCCTCCTTATTTTCCTTCTTCTTAAATAATTTTTCAAATCATACATTTTTTACCTAGCAGTCAGACAGTCACTTCTTACATATGAATCATCCTTGTCATCAATTTGCTTACCCAAGAGATGAAATAGCATCAATATTTAGAAGTAGTTATCTAAAACTTTTATTAACTGTAAATTTAAAAATAATTTATGAAATGTAAAACCACTAAATTCAGATATTTATAAAATTTAGTCCAGACACACACTACAGGCATTAGCAAATCATTAATTGTGTTTAGTACTCAAATTAAAATATGGTTATTATGGTTTTATTAAATATATTCATAAAAAATTGGGAAAAAATGAGGTCATTGCTTTTAAGATGTGAAATTCACCGATTGATTCTTTTAAAAATTAAAAACTGTAATACAAAAACATTTTAAAAATATTAAGACAGCAAAGTTTCCTGAATTGTATTGTTAAAAGTGCAGATAAAATGACCTTTCTCAGTTTCCCATTTAAATTATCAGCTTAAAGGGTAATCATGTGAAGTAGAGGACTTTTGAGTTATTTATGAGTGCATTGCTTGTGTAGAGAGTTCTATATGCAGTTGCATTTCTCTTTTTGACTTTGCCTAGTGAGAGGCAGCCAATTCATTGAACAAGATTAAACATAAAGACATTCGCAAAAATTCATAATGGTCTTATGAGGAAAGGCAGCAAGGGCAAGAACAACTGTAGCAGGGCTAATCCCAAATTTCAATGGCCATCACTTAATTATTTTAGCTTTTCAGTTCAAGTAATGTATCTCTTTTTAAACCCATCATATTTCGTTAATTACCACAAACTGCTCTCCTGAAGTCACGGTCAGCACTTAGTTACGGTCTTTTCACATATTTCACATACTTAGTACTTAAAATGACCCCTATGATTTATAGTGTAGTGAAGGTATTTTACCGGTTGGCTAAATGTATTCACACTACGTGTGTTTTTTAATGAAAAATCTTTTCTTTTTGGATTAACATTTTTAACCTAGTACTTGTGTTGCCAGAAAACATAAACTTTATATGTTCAAAAACTTGGGTTTTTTTTTTCAAATTCTTATAGCACTTGTGGCATAAAAACTATGTGAATTTAATATTAGCCTATTATATATAATATTTGTTAATATGCCGAAGGACATATTTAAGACTTGCCACATTCAAGGTATTGTGGATTATTGAATTAGAATTTACATCCCAGGAGTGTTTTGTGGATTTCTGTGACACATTCAGGTAGGATAATTCTTTTGCTAAATACTTCCAAATAATAAACGAGTATGAAGTTTCAGTATAGGTAATTTGTAGACCAGTGAAGTAAAACATAAATATGTAAAGAACCAACAAATAAAGTCGTATCATATTTAATTTGTTTACTGAACCATTACTTCATTCATGTATCAAGGATTTATTTACTTGATATAGAAGAGATACAGCCATCTTATTGAGAAGAACATATGTAAAATCTCTAGCTTCCTTGATCACTTTGCTGTGACAATTTTAGAACATAAGATGAGACAAAATTTAGATACAAATTGTGGTAGTTAAAGAAAAACTCATTAAGAATGTACTCATTACTATAGTTTTAGCCCTTTGACAAAATGATAGACAAAATTAGTGAAGATATGTATTATGAAATGAAAACCACGGTGTCAAATGTATATGACTCATGGTAGATCTTAATAGGCTATAGGTCAATAGTGAAGTATCAGTTACATCTACTCGGTTCCATGTCCTTTAGATGAATAGGCTTCCTACATTCACATTAGGTTGTCTAATGGGGTATGCAATAGTTAGGCATGATCGCTGATAGGTTCATGGCTGGATAGAGGGTGTAGAATCTAAAATAGCTCAGCAGTGACTCCTTTCAACTCTTTTTCACATTGCTTTCTGGTCCTCCTCATGTTCTGTGTTTTTTCTTTCACTGTTGGATGGTGGGATTAATTTATTTCTCCTTCTCATTCCATGTCTTATCTTGTCTTTAGGAGATGAAATGTTTGCTTTAAAAATATGCATTTATATTTTCTGTTCCATACTTTGGTCAATGACTTTATTTGAACATTAAGTACTCCTTCTGTATTGCTTCAGGTACTAGAAAGAAAGTTAGACGGAAATAAAATACACAAAATTCACTGGTTAATACCTTGTGATATAACTTTGCCAGACAATTAAAATAATTTAATAAAATAACATTACATATTATAAGAATGTAAATCAAGGTTGTTCAACCTGCAGTCCATGAGCTGCATGTGACCCAGGACAGCTTTGAATGTGGCCCAACAGAAATCTGTGAACTTTCTTAAAACATTATGAGATTTTTTTATGTGAATTTTTTTTTAGCTCATCAGCTTTTGTTAGTGTTAGTGCATTTTATGTGTGGCCCAAGATAATTCCTCTTGTTCCAATGTGGCCAAGGGAAACCAAAAGATTGGACACCTTGTAGAGAACATCATATTTCATGGCTTGTTCATGAAGTATCTTCTAATTGCCTGCAAAGGTTACATAAACATTTCCAATGCACAGCACTTTAAAACAGGGGTCCGTAACCCCCAGGCCATAGACTGGAACCAGTCTACAGCCAGTTAGGAACCAGTCTGCACAGCAGGAGGTGAATGTCAGGTGAGTGAGCAAAGCTTTATCTATATTTACAGCCACTCCCCATTGCTTGCATTACCACCTGAGCTCCATCTCCTGTCAGATCAGCAGCAGCGTTAGATTTTCATGGTAGCTCAAACCTTACTGTGAACTGCACATGTGAAGGATCTAGATTGTATGCTCCTTATGATAATCTAATTTCTGATAATATGTCACTGTCTCCCATCATCCCCAGATGGGACTCTATAGTTGCTGGAAAACAAGATCAGGGCTCCTACTGATTCTACATAATGGTGCATTGTATAATTACTTCATTATGTATTGCAATGTAATAATAATAGTTATAAAGTGCACAATAAATGTAACACACTTGAATCATCCCTTAAACATCCCCTCTGCCCATCTGTGGAAAACTGTCTTCCATGAAACCAGCCCCTGATGCCAAAAAGGTTGAGGATTGCTGCTTTAAAAGGCTATTATATGTTTCCAATTACAAGTTACAAAACAACTTCTGGAGAATTAGAACTTGTTCAAATCCATCAAGATAGTAAGTGACTAAGTCAATATTTCAACCTAGGTATAAATAACTGTCATGACATCATTCTTTCTGTTTGTCCACTCTGCCTAAAAGTATTGCCTTGTATTGGGGGAGGGGGGTTTTATCACTTAGTTTTCTTAGCAAATTTTTTGTTATTTTATTTTTTTTGACATACAATGGCAAACTTAGTTGACTTCATCATAGCAATATCACAAATACCTTATAATTGAAATCTAGTTACTACTAGTTATTGTATTGCTATATATGACAATCATTATAAGAGTTAACCAACATAATTTTCATTCAGTCAGATATTTTTTCCTCATTTTCCTAGTTCTTGGTTTTGTTTGTTTGGTGTTGTTACAGGTGGTGATCTGGTTTTGTTTGTTTAAGTAGTCTCTTCATAACTCAATATAGATGGAATCATCAATAACAATGCCTCATCTCTCAACAAAAAGGTGGGCTTAGAACTCAGAGGGAGCCTATTAGAATTCTGCATCCACAAGATGGGCCAATAAGATTATTCCCTGAAACATGTTAGGTAGAGCCTGTGAAAAAGGCACAGTAACTTGCTCTGTAACACACAATAAAAGGCCCTTGAACTACTAGGTGGCTATATAGCATGGTAGCAAGGAAGAATGATAGTTGCAAAATAAAACCAATTTTCAGAGGGAATTACAGATTGATACAGGGCTCTGAAATGACCATTTAAGCCATTAGATTCTTTTGTGCTTGAAGTCATTTCTAGGGAATAGACAAATTTCCAAGCTTTGTTAGTCAAGTTTCATTGTGTTATTTTTGTCACTGATGACTGAAAGAGTTTTGGCAAACAGAGAAATTATTATGTACAAATATGCTTCTAAAGTGACAGTATATTAAATAATGCTATGGATAAAATAGATTTGGGGGCAATTTTTTTACTTAATCAGTGAAACATTAACAATCTTCATCATATGACAATTAAGCAGGTGACTGGTTGTAGTAATAGATGTTGTGTTTTAGAATTCAAACTGTATACTTCTCAAAACTGAAGTTTTAGAGGATTAGTAGAAAATTTCTGTATATTGGAGTGGATTTCCAAAAATCTCTTTTCTCAAAATAAAATAATGTTAAACACATTCTGTTTTACGTTTTATTCCTTTTAGTTTTTGTGGTTAGGGAAAATGGAAAGGTACAAATTATTCTAAAATTTTCTAGAGAATAAAACGCTTAGTTCATGAGAATAAGTGATAGGAAGAGTTCTTGATTCTTCATGTTGACAAAAAAGGATCTGATTTGTATTGATTTAGGCAAGTAAATGAAGTATAAGGTAATTTATTTAGGGATTAAATTCACATTATAATTTCTTTTTTTTTAAAAAAAAGGTCAGAATCTGATAGGTTAATTAAGGTGTTTCTCTGGTCCAGAAAACCTCTCTTGATTCTGCTTTTTACAGCTCTGCTGACTAGGAAGCCTTTCACAAGATACGGGTGCTCAAATTATTGTTAGAACAGGACAGTTGGGGCCTGTAGAGAGCGGTGGGAGGTGAGGAGAGGGTGGCAAAACTGCATCTCCAATTACACTTTCTGCTTTTAGGTTCTTTGTTACACACAAATTGGTTCCTTAATTTATTCCTTTGAGGGTTAAATTTTAGTTCAAATTTCTGTTGACTTTTATACTTTTCAATTTAAAATTTCAGATACATTAAATTTTTTAAATCTAGAAAATTATAGCAAAAAAAATTAAAAAGTCCTATATCCCACCAATCAGAAGAAGCAGTCAGGCTGATAAAAGTCTCTTGGTCATTATTTGATGTGTAGGTCCTACTCTCATTTCCAAATTAGGATTAACTGAGGCTACAGAGTAGTATCCTATTAGTTGGAAACATTTCTAGCGATAAATAATAGCAAAACCTACATCAGGGGCTTAAAAAAGCAGCGCTTAAGAAATCACCATAAAGCCAGGTTCTTCTCATCTTTGTATTTCCCCAGTCTTAGAATAAAACTCTTTGTTTAAAACATCCCATATTTTAAAGACAGCTGCTTGCTCTGAAAGCATCACATCCATGTTTTAGGTAGAAGAGTAAAGGGGTATCTCAAGCAAGTGTGTTTTTTTTTAGAAACTCTCATCTCTTCCTGTAGCTTCAGTTTCTTAAAATCAGCACTTGCATATATAAGACCTAAAGAGTTATTCTGGGAAATGGTCACATGGAAGAACAAGGAATAAAAAAGAGTCACGTGGTTAAGAAGCAGCAGCCAACCTAAGGGCACGTGATTAAGTTGATTATCACAGTGGGCACCAGAGCATTAATCCTACTGTATAGAATACATCTCGGAATCCTATCTCGAAAAAGAAAAAGCCATTTTATCTACTTACTCCTGCATCCCACCCTTATTGGACAAAGGTCATCCCAGAGGTAATTAACTCCCTCTCACTTTGCTATTATCATACGTGCCAGAAGAGTTGAGCGAGCTTGGTCAGGCAGGCACCCCACACAGTATGAGCCGAGTAGACCCAGGCAAAAAACTATTAGTACTTTTCAAGTTAGATTTAATGAGACTCTATCGATCATTTATTAATTTATTTTATTTATGAACATATTTCATCAGTCTTTCTACACTAAGATAGTATTCTATTTTTCCTTTTATAACTTGTGTTATGTTATCACAAATAATTCATTATTCTGCCACATTTGCTTAGTAATGGTCACCAATTTCTGTTTTCATATTTTTCAGACACATGATATCAATTTCCAAATAAATTATTTAATTTTTTTCTTTTTACACTAGATGTAAAACTATAAAAAACTGATTTTTGCCTTATAGCATATCATCACATTTTACTCAAAAAATAATAATATACTTCAGCAAATTTGTATTATCTCTGTTTATTTTTATATAGATCTCCATAATTTTCTCTGAATCCTTTGGTTTATATTATATAATTTTGTTATAGTTTTCATACTGTAACTAATGTATTTCCACCATTATATTTTTAACTTCTTCTTGCCTTTATAAGAAAGAAAGCTATTTAAAATCTGTATACCTGGCCAACTTCCTCACTTCTATAACTTTCTAGCTTTAATTGGATTTTTTGAGGTGTTCAAGGAAGCAATTATTATTTCTGTTTTTTACTTCCTGCATTTACTAGCTTCAGTGAAAAATTTAAATAATAGTGATGCGAACAGGCATCATTTTCTTGTTCTTGACTTTATTGAGAATGACTCTAGCACAAAGTATTCTGCAAGACATTAATAGATACATATAAAAAATTTCACTGGATGAATAAGTTGAAGAGGATGAAAGTCAGGCACAATTGAATAGCTCCTGGCAGCTAATTACTCATGTAAATTTGAGATATTATTGTTTTTATTACATCTCATTGTCTTCACATTTTTTTAATTTCCTACAGGAAATTCCCAATGAGTTTTTACATGTTTAATATGTACCTACAGAGGAATTATCATAGTTTTAATTTAATAATTACTTGCCAATTTTAGATATTTCATGTATTGTCCACTGAAGTATCAATTATCTATTAGCTTTTTAAAATATTATTAATTGAAAATAAATATTTAATTTTAATATAATCAAATTAATCAACATTTTTTCCTTTGATGTTCAAAGAAATCCTTATCATCCCTAATTGCCTGTCACAAACATAATTTTTACATTGTTACTGTTAATTTTATTGTTATACAGTTAGGCTTTCACATATCAAGTATTTGAATTATATCTTCAATCCATGTTATATTAGCTCCCTTCAATGTGTGATGGTAGATAAGGATCAAACTAGGTTTATTTCACCTACATAATAAGTCCCTCCTTCCGTCACCATCTATAAACATTATGTCTTCTTCTCATTGATTTCTGGGACTCTTTATCATACAACAAGTATCTTTATGTACTTACATCTGTCCCTAAGATATTTGTTGTGTTCCACTGGTCCAGTAATTCATTCATCCATTACTATGTCATTTTTTTCCACATTTATTGAGGAAGGAGTAACAAAACTTCCATAGATGTGAAGTGTCCAGCACGATGTTGCGAAATTAATATTACCATTAAGCTAATTAATATACAAACACCTCACATAGTTATCCTTTGTTTTATCATAAGAACATTTGAGATTTACTCTCTTAGCAAGTTTTGAGTATACATTAACTAAGTCAGCATTGTGTATGTTAGATCTCCAGAACTGTTTGATTTTATAACTGAAAGTCTGTACCCACTGAACAATATTTTCCCATTTATTCCATCTGCTAATCACTATTGCACACTTTATTTGTATGAGCCTGACTCTTTCAGATTTCATGTATAAGTGAGAACACGTAGTATTTGTCTTTCGGTATCTGGCCTATTCACTGAGTATAATGTTCTCCAGGTTCATCTGTGTTGTCACAAATAGCAGGATCTCCTTTTTAAAGAAGTGAATGTTATGGGATTGCTGGATAACAGGGTAGATCTATTTTTATTTCATTAGGAACTTCCATACTTCTTTTAATAATGTTTGTATCCATTTAGATTCTCACCAACGCTGTATGTGAGTTCCCTTTTCTTCATGTCCTGGGCAATATTTTTGTAATCTTTTGACTTTTTAATAATAGGCATCCTAATAGCTGTTAGGTTATATCTCAATGGTTTTGATTTGCATTTCCTTGTTGATTATGGATTTTGAGTATTTTTTCATATACTTGTTAATCACTGTGGGTATTCTTTGGAAAAATGTCTATTCATATCTTCTGCTTATTTTTAAATTGGGCTATGTATTAGTTTATTATAGAATTGCAGCACTTCCTTATATATTTTGGATATAAACCTTTTATTATACATGTAGCTTGCAAATACTTTCTTCCATTTCATATGCTGCCTTTTCATTTTGTTAATTGTTTCCTAGGCTGTGCAGAAAATGTTTGCCTTGATGTAGTCCCACTTGATTATTTTTGCTTTTGTTGCCTGTGCTTGTGGCAATATGTTCTAAAACTTATTACCAAGACCAATGTAGAAGATTTTTTCTCTGAAAAATGTTATGGTTATAGTTCTTACCTTTAAGCCTTCAATGCATTTGAGGTTTTTTTTTCTGTGTGGTTTAAGGTAACGATCCAATTTCATTCCTTTCATGTGGTTGTTCAGATTTCCCAACAATTATTGAAGAGACTATTTTTCCCCATTATGTATTCTTATTGAAGATATGTTGAACATATATGATTGGGTTTATTTCTTTTTTCTCTAATTTTTCCCATTGGTCTATGTGTCCATTTTTATGAAAATACAACACTGTTTTATTTACTATCACTTTGTAATATAATTTGAAGTCAGGAAATGTGATGCCTCCAGCTTTGTTTTCTCTTTGTAGGCTTAAAGGGCATTGATAAAGCAATGCAAGAGTGTATTTCCTCCCCTCTTTGACCTATCTTTTTCTTATTTCTGTGATATAGCTAGGTACTCTAATATCTTACCTGGATTTTTTAGCTCTTGTGAATGTATTTTCCTGCATGAATAGCTGTTCAAATTAATATTTCTCTGAGGCAAAGAGCACTGGAAAGTTGTATTCCATCATCTTGTTGACATCACTCTCCATTAACATTAAAACATCTCCCCTTTCTTTCTCTCTCTATGTTTTCCTTTTTTACCCCTTTGTTTTCTGTATTGATGAGAACCTTGTATTATCCAGATGTTTGCACTTGTATTTTTTTCTCCATATGTCTTACATCATCGCTTTTATTTACGATATTGTTAATGCTTTCAAGGTGCTTGATGGGTGTTTGCCTTAAATTAACTGTTCTTCACCTATATCTATCTCATTATTTTTCCTATCCCTTGTATTATTTGATTTTGCCATATATATATACATATATATACACACACATATATACATATATACACATATATACATATATACATATATACACATATATACACATATATACATATATACACATATACACATATATACATATACATATGTGCATATACGTATATACATATATGCATATACGTATATACATACACACATATACATATATACTATATATACACATATATATACATATATGTATATATATAAGTATATCCGTATATACTTATATACATATATGTATATATAAGTATATACGTATATACTTATATACATATATACATATATATACACATATGTGTGTGTGTGTGTTAGTACTATTAAGTTCTTGTTCATGTTTCAATATCTTCCCTTATCTCCATATGAATATTCATTGGGTATATTTTAAATCTCTGAAATGTCTCTTCTATACCCACTTAATATAAGCTGTCTAGCGTAGTCTTTATTTTGAGGTAACTATATGTTTAGGCATTAATTATTTTTGTCTTTTAAGCTAAGGGCATCAGCTACTGTGTCTGGTAATACCGGCGGGCAAGTGACTTAAAGCTGGGTCTCAGTCCTTACTACCACTGTGAAGCCAAAGAAAAGGGGCAAGATAAAGCTCCAGAGGAGGATGCTCCAAGTATTGCAATTGACCTAGTCTCTTTTTATGATTTCCTTTTTCTAATGAGTCAAACATTTTTTCAGGGATTCACTTTAAACCTTTTAGGAGATGCGGAATTGAGAGAAGAAACTCACCCAAATCTAGGGACTCACAGGGGCCAAATTAGAGTAGTGAAGGCCATTATCATCATGCATCACAAATGTTACCGATGGTTTTCGCAAACTTAACAGCAAGAAATGAGAGTGCAAAACTTTAGTATCCTGCAACCTATCATTTCATTGCTGCTTATGACAGCCCACATTTTTAAAGTCCATATAAAATCAACATAAGATACTTTTCGGTTTCCTCTCTCACATTTTAATGTACTTGAACTGTGGCCATTTAAAAAGTAAACACAAGAAAAGAAGAATACATAGTGATTCCATGTGATTAAAATATTAGAAGAAATCTACTTCCAATAGCACTCATCTTATAAGATTATATTTTATGTATATAATATTATCTATCTGATGCCTGCATTTTTCTCAGTTAACTACTATTATTTGGTAATAAATATTTTTAAATGAATATTCTCCTACATGTCTCATGTCTTGTAACTTCTGAGTTATTTAGACTTCGAGATAGGAATAATTGTTTCAAGAACCCTCACAAGACTTTGTATGACATGATTTCCTCATTCCCAGATTCTTCATTCTGATCACTCAATGTTTATTAGCACTTGTAACTTACTGATAGTAATGCTTTAAACTGTAAAAAACAAACAAAACAGTGACAAAAATATGCTTTGTTTCCTAATAGTCAAGAATTTTTTTAAATGAATTTCTTGGGTTATTCAAATGTGGGTGAAAAACATTATTCAAACCAGAAGATCAAATTTGGACCCTGCAGTACACACTACTTTATGCTACTTTTCTGATTTCCAGAGAATTTATTCTGTCAGTCAAAGACTAAACTGTTTTAGTATTTTCAAAATGTAATAAAAATTCCAGAAAAAATAACATATTTTCTTATGAATTAGAAAAAAATGCAACTTCTACCAGTGGTTACTGTAGAATCTCTTAAATTCTTGCTAAAATCAGTAAAAAGTAAAAAAGAGTAATATATTAAAGTTAAATAATAAGCCTGAAAACAGCAAATTCAAAAACATTAAGAAAGTGAATCTTTTCCAAGTCACTACATTTACTTTCTTTTTATTGATTCATATGGATTCTTACTATTCTAAAGTATAATGTTTTCCTAAATTCCTTCCAGAAATTTTTAAATAAAATATTATCACCTAAAAATAAACCTGCTGCAATTGATCTGGATGCTGAATCTATTTGAATTCGTTTCAATTCCAGAATCTATGAATAATAAGTTTACTCTTTCAGAAGTTTTTTTTTTAAGGGAAACTGTCTCTACAGTATAGATTTTCATCAACATCAAAGTGAATAAAATAAGATCTTAGCAGTAAAGAGGGAATTGTTGAATAGCTGTAATGTAAACAAAATGTAGTACATTTATTACATGTAAATTATTTAATTCATGTCATAATAAACTAAATCATAATGCTAGTGAATTGTGATTGAACATCAGAGTTGATCAACTCATGTCTGGTAAAGAATATGTAATGAATAAATTAAATTATCTCTCTCCTCATATATTTAATCATTGATTTTTTTCTGAAACATTGTTTACTGAGCTACTTTCTGAACTTTGAAATATTTATTTCTTTTTAAATATATAACATATTGACAAAATCCATACTGAATTAGATTTGGGAAATTAAAGTACAATTTTATCCCTTCTGCATTTGATTTTTCTAATAATTTTGATTCTTTCCTGAGAGCAATAAAATACTATTCTATGACTTTTCTATTGTTTCTGTAACAAATTACCACAAATGTAGAGGCTTAAAACAACACACATTTATTACTGTACAGTTTTAAAAATCAGGAGCCATATTGGGTCTCACCATGCTAAAATCATGGTATGGGCAAAGCTGTGCTTCTTTCTGAAGGATGTATGGGTGGATCCACTTGCCTGCCTTTTATAGCTTTTGGAAAGCAATTTTGGGCTTGTAGCCCCCTTCCTCCAGCTTCAAAGCCAGTAATGCTCATTTGAGTCTTTCTGAGAATACTTACTTTTGTTTTTTTTTTGAGATGGAGTCTCTCTCTGTCGCCCAGGCTGGAGTGCAGTGGCAAGATCTCAGCTCACTGCAACCTCTGCCTCCCAGGTTCAAGCTATTCTCCTGCCTCAGCCTTCCCAGTAGCTGGGACTACAGGCATGCACCACCACACCCGGCTATTTTTTGTATTTTTGAGTAGAGACGGGGTTTCACCATGTTGGCCAGGCTGGTCTCAAACTCCTGACCTCAAGTGATCCACGCCCCACGGCCTCCCAAGGTAGTGGGATTACAGGCATGAGCCACCACGCCCAGCCAACAATGCTAGTTCTTTGCATCTAACTCTTTTGCCTCGCTCTTCCCTGAGTAAGCCTTATTTAAATTATCCAAGATAATCTTTTCATCTTAAAATCAGGAGATTAGCAATCTTGGTTCAATTTGCAACCATTTTATTTGATACAACATTTTCATATGTTCCAGATGAACAACCATGTTGGAAAATTATTGTATTGACTTTAGTTAACATTGTAAACATGACATTCAATGATTAAGTTTATTATGCATTCAAAACATTTTACTGGTCACTACAATGGGCAAGGCACTACTAAGAACACATGGTTCTTTCTCACAAGGTATATAACACATAATGAAATCATCAGGGGGGTTATTATGCCATTACACTTTAGTGTGACTAAAGGTATGATAGTAAGAAGAGCAAGGTGCTAAGGGGAGAAGCACACACAACAAACTGAGTCTCTACAGTGAGGTGAAATTGACTTGCTTTGGAAGGCATCTTTTAATGTGGGATTCTAAGTAAAAGTATAAACAGCCCAAAGATGTTGTTTTGTAAGTATGCAAGCATGCGTATGTATATAGAAAATACGTGCACAAGCGTATGTGTGTGTGTGTGTGCATACACACAATGTAGATCCAGATAAATGGAGTAATTTGTGTCGTGACTGAGGTGGAATGGTATAAATGGCATATTCCAGTGAATGTAATATAAAATGATAGTATATTAGCGGGAGGAAACAGTTGCTTGTCAGTGGTAAACGTGGCAATTAACTAAAAATCAAATTGGGAAGAACTCTTTTTCCTGATGAAGGAATTGAGAAGAGACTGAGGATATCATCAAGTCTAAAGGTTTTTGATAGATAATTAATTTAATCAGACCTTTATTTAAGAGAATTATTTGAGCAGTTGTTTGAGTAATTAAGTGGCAATTGAGGTGAAGACCAAATGACAAGCTTACAATTTGTTGCAGTAATCAAGAGAGAAGAAATTAAGATCCTGAACTAGTTGGCTGAGAACAACCTGTTACATAAAACAGGCAGACTATGACCTGTGAGATCTCCACTCTCTAAGTATCTATTGACACAGGTGTGGAGCATGAACAGAGAATCCATCTCTTCATGTCAAAACATTAAATCCACAAGAAAGTGTCATTTCACATAAAGTAGCAGGATTGTGTCTTACTGTATTTCACATTATATTAAACATCCTATATTTCCAAACAAATGTGGATTTAAATGGTCGTAAGTGTGTTTAGTCTAGCCAGGCAAGCCACAGGAGTGGTTTACAAGGTTCACAGTTCCACTTTATTAATGTCCCAACTGCTTCTTATAGCAAAAACGTAAGGCTTGTATGATTTTAAGCCTACTGAAACCATTTTCCCCCTTTTTCTCTCTAGAGAATTTCAGTGCCTTTATTTTATTTATCTTTAATATTTGAAGACATTTATTCTGAGCCAAATATGAATGACCAGTGGCCCATGACACAGCCCCAGGAGATCCTGAGAACATGTGCACAAGTTAGTTAGGTTACAGCTTGATTTTATATGTTGTACAGAGACATAAGACGTCAATCAATACATGTATGATGTATACTGGTTCAGGTGGGAAATATGGTACTATTTGAAGTAGGGGGTTCCAGGCCATGGGTGAATTTAAAGATTGTCTGACTGGCAATTTGTTGAAAGAGTTATTATCTAAAGATCTGCAATCAATAGAAAGGAATATCTGGGTTAAGATAAGGGTTGTGGAGACCAAGTTTTTCTCATGCAGATGAAGCCTCCAGGTAGCAAGACATAGGTAGCAGAATGTAGATTTTTCCCCACAAGAGGAAGCTTTGAAGAGTCATTTTAAAATATGTCAAAGAAATATACATTGGGGTAAAATACTTTGATTTCCTTCAGGGCCTGCTATCTGTCATATGATACTATACTAGAGTTAGGCTGGGAGTTGGTGTCTTTTGCTACAGAAGACTGTTTTGTCAGGCTTAAGACCTGTTTTAATGTTAATGCTTATCAGTGTGCCTGAATTCCAGCTGGGGGAGGGCATAGCGAGGTCTGTCTGACCCTGCCTTCCTATCTTGGCCTGAACTAGATTTTCAGGTCTACTGTGGAATGCCCTTGGCCAAGAAGAGGAATCTATTTAGTTGGTTTGAGGGGCTTAGAAATTTAGTTTTGGTTTACATTCACCCACTTCTGGCCAAGATCCAGTTATATCCAGAGGCAGCATCAGTGGCCACCAAACTTTTATTCTGTTCATAGTATTACCAGGGTAGCATGGCTACCTGCCCCAGGTCCATCCTGTCCCTCAGTGGGACCCCTATGGCCAAGGGATTTAGACTCAAAAGACCTATAGCGAATTTAAATGTTCTAGGCCAGATGGGAATAGAGGCGTATAGGCATTCACTGACAGTTAACCTTCTTTGAGCAATATAAAAGCCCAAAATCAAAAGCCAAAGGCAAGTTTACAAAATTTGGCTTCTCTATAACTTCTGTACGTCGAGCTACTCTAATCTTGGTTTTAGTTACAGACTTGTAGCAATTGACTATAAAAAAACATGAGCATTTTGTTAAAGCTTTCTAATCTAAGAAATTTTAGACATTTTTGCTGTGCTGCAATGCTTTTTGTGGTCTTCATAATTTGTCCTAAGTGGCTGATAAACATTTTTAACATATCTGCTGGGAGCATTATAACCAGGAGGCTTTGTCATTAGGAATCTTGATATTTTGTCAATAATTTTCCTAATTCTATGGGAAGCAGGAAACCCTTTATTGTTGGGATGGATGACAGGGGCCACACAATAACCCAGGAGGCAAAGTCTCTTACTTTGCTAACTGTTTAGACATCTGTGTGCCCATCCTTGATTTAGAGGGTCTGAACTAACGCTGTCCCTCAAAACTGGCCTTTACATTCTGAATGTGCTGGATCTTGCCTGATCTCCAGGCCTTTTAAATATATAGGAAGGTTATTATTATTACTATCATTATTATTCTGCCATGTGTATCAAGACTTTAACTACTTTCTCTCTATTAAGTGTAATTTCCTTCTAATGCAAATCCTGCCTTCGGTGTACCAAGGAAGAGTTCTTGTGTTAACAAGGATATAAATATCTCAAAATTCTGTTAAGAAGCATGTTGCCTTAACATTGTCAAAGAAGGATCTTTGGCAGACTTTGGTAAAGTTGTAATGGAACAAATACAATAGGAGAAGGCCTAAACCTCTCTCAAGCTTCCAAGAGATATGATGGTGTAGTGAGCTGCCAATTCAGGAAACTGGAGAGGAGTTCAGCTAAATGAGAAGTTAGATTTTACTTGAGAGGAGATAGAATGGGACTCTGTAAAGAGATTGAGGAAAGATGAGCCTTAAAATTTGATTTTTCAGAAGGAAATTTTTAATGGCACAGTGACATGGGTCAGTAGAAAGGTGAACTTGCAAAGAGATGAGAATAGACAAAAATTGTAAGAAAATAAATTTGGGAAGGAAACATAATTACTGAATTTCTTTTGGTACCATATTTTAGGCTAATAGAGATGAGAAATATTATCAATGAAATGTTCTAAAACAGTAGAGAATCAGGAAATATTTTGTTCCAGTTATAGGCTGAGGTCTTCACTTAGGTTTTTCAAATACAATGTTGGAAAGAAATTACTCATTGCTTCTAAATATTATAGCAATAAAACCATTTCATTTTAATTATATGTTAATGGACTTATATTTCATTAGGTTTGGAGTTTATTGAGAACAAACTTTATCTCAGGATCACAAACATCCTTATTTAGTGCTTACCACTGGGAATGTTTAAAGACTAAACTGTAGGTTCTAAGTAAAGTTTTATTAAATAAAATAAATGAATAAAAATTATTATACACCCATATGTTCATTCAAAAAGTATTATTAATCAACTAGTACACATTGTTCTATGCTTAAAGTAGTAAACCAATGTTTTTATATCTTCTCTTTATCTATTGCCATACAGCTGTGATACAAGAATTTTTCAACATTTATATTAGGTTGGTATGAAAGTAATTGAGATTTTTAAAAGTAATTAAAAGTAATGGCAAAAACCGAAATTACTTTTGCACCATTCCAATGTTAATTTTTCATTCTATGTACTATAATCAAGTAGAAGTTGAAAATATGTGCCAATATTTTTTGTTTTGTATTTTGAAATATTTGTTTATCCTATATCTTATATATATAAATGCATAAGCACATGCATATATAATACATATATAAATATACATATTTCTCATGTGAGAGTACTTGCACCATACAAAAATGTAATTTGAAGAAGAAAAAATACTTTTATTTTCTTTTACGTTTGCATACTAAAATGTTAGAATTTAGCTAATTAGTATAACATTTTCTTCCTATATGAGGAGAGAGACAGAGAGATATCAGAATGATGTAGTCTAATAATTTTTAAAATAATAAATTGGTATTTAAAAATATTTGGATATAAAGTCAATCAGAAATTTCTTTTAATTGTTAGCAATTTATACTCTGCACTTAATATGTTTCAGATAGTATTTTTTATACTGGTGAAACTACGAAAATGTAAAACGTTTTTGCATTGAAAATCTTCCCAATATTTACTAGTAAATTTTACAAATATATATTTTTTGAATGCTCTTACCATGGGTACACTACAAGTGAGCCACTTTTCTGCAAATTGATGTATTTTCTCTTTTTGAGAGGATTTGATATAGATGGATTTTGTATAATATTTAGAAGATTTTGTATGTTTAAACATTAAAAATTGAGATTACTATCTTCATCTTGTCAAGTAGAGTGATCAAATGGAGGAGGCTGGAATTTAGAAACTGTTTTAATTGGTTAGAGGAACATAGATTTCCCTGTTTAATGACATGACACTGGTAAAGTTTAAGGGCTATAAATTTGTAACCAATTGGAGGAAAACATTCCCATGGAGTGTTGACCACTGGCAAAATACTCTGCATCAGGAGATCAGCCAGGAAAATATTGTAGCTGCACCTTAAAATGGACTATATAATTTTATGACCAGCATAACATGTGTAGCTATGAAAGCTAAAATAATGAAGGGTAATAAAAAAGAGGTAATTAAACATCACACTTCAGCGCATTAACCATTTATCTGCAGGACCAAGAGATACGCATCTTCTTTTAATTGATTCTTGTAAAAAATTATGCTTGAGTTGTGATGCCTTAGTAGTCTCTACTTTACTTTTCTGTTGGTGAAACATCATTTGCTGCTTTCCTCTAGCTTGGTTTGTAAACGTCTTTAGAAGGACATGTTATCTATACCAACATTTGGCACAATATAGATACTCAGGCTATCTGTGGTGCTCATTCCATGTTTCACATCACAGCAGCTTGAGGACATGAAATGGTCTACAATCTGACTTATAACCCCGGTTTCTCTAGTTTTTGCCTCTATCCCTGTTATAAGATTTTTGATCAGTCTCAAAGTCTCACATAATTTTCTTTTTCTGGAAGCAACAAGTAAGGATACAGTCATGATAAAACTCATGACCAAGCTTAGGAAGCTGTCTCTTAAGTGTTCCAAGTGTGTAAAACCTCTAGGGCTTTTGTTGTTTCCAGCCTTTCTCTTTTGCCTTCCTTATTTTCATTTTTGAATTTTCCCAAGCTCATTTCCTCTTACCTCCTGTCACTACCACTCCCACCCCAAACACTCATCAAATCAACTCATGTGCATTTCAATAATGGAAAGTACAGCATACTTATATCCTGGTCCTATTAGATGAAATTGTTAAACATTCTTAAAACATTGTTTCAGATAATTATTTAAAAATTATGATTTGTAGATAAACTTGCTAATAACCTTTAAGGATCAAGCTATGTAAACCAAAGGGAAAAGTAGTCCATTATTTTGAAATATTGTGAAAGTAGTCTGATGTTAGTTAGTGAAGTTGATCCAACTGCTTGGCCTTTCATAAACCTCTATTTATTTTATGTAACATTGTATTTCGGGAGGACCTGACAAATCATCCAGTACCATGGTACATCCAATTCATAAAAGCAAAATCAAACAAGTTAAAAGTAGACAATACGTGAAAGTTTAATAAGTAATAGACTAGCTAGATTATACTATATCTCTTGTGCTTCACTAAGGAGCCCTCTGCAATTAGTTTATATTCTCCCTTATGACTGCCCATACTCCCATAATATTTTATAATAGTACCTTTTTTGTTTTAAATGCTACATTTATGTTAGAAGCTGTTTTTGATTGTTTATCTGCTCCAACCCAATTAATTGTCATATGCATTTACACAATTAGTAAAATTACTTCTCTTTATAGGGAAAGTAATTGAAGCAAGGAAAGATAAGTATCCAGGTCAAGGGTACCCAGCTACTTTATGTTAGATTTGGGATTAACCCACAGACTGGGCTCAAAGGTTCTTACTCTTAGTCACTGTGCTTTACAAAGTTCCACTCATATTAATCTTACTGTAGTACCACTTATGTATAGACATCAATATCACAAAATAGACTTTGAGCTCCTTAATGGAAGAAGCTACACCTTATCCAACTTTATGCCCACTGTCCATCACAGATCCTCATACACAAGCCAATTTAGTTCACTGTGCCTCAGTCAAATCATCTGTAAAGTGAGGAATAATAAAAAAATCATGCTATATAGAACAAAGGGAAAAGTAAGAGAAAAGAGAGTAAGAATGGGCACAAAACATCAGCAGGTATCTGAATGTGGAAAATTTGGAAAACTGTCCTTTTGATTTTCCTACATAATGAAATATTGCCATGAGATTTCTATGGATTATAGAGAAAGTCTCTTTCTCTGGAAAATTCCCACATGAAAGCATAAAAAAGAGTTTGAAGTATGAACTCTGTCTGCCACCCAACATGATTCCATTTTGACATCATTTCCAGATCTTGAGAATTGAAGAGAGAGTAGAAGAGAGAGAGAAGGGGGAAGAGGAGAACTGATATGTATTAATTTATAATCAATGAGAGAGAGAATAAGAACTTGGTATGGACTAGGCAATAGCCAGTTAATGTTTGCATATTAGACTTTCAATTAGTGGTCTCTAAAATAGCGATCACATGACTCCTTGGGGTGCAGAAGAAGGTTTTAGAAATTCTATGTATGTTTACATTTATAGTTACAGTTGTTTAATTTAAAACATAAAATAGTAAATATACTTTGCCTACATTTACTGTCTGAATTTTTAAAAATTAGCTTATAGTAATTGAAAGTAAATTTTAGATTAAAATAGAAAATACATGTTAATCCTGCAAGTATTTCAAGTGTGAGATGTTCTGAGTTTTATGGTATATAGCCCTTATACAAATGAAACTTGGTAATAGATTACAAGATAATTATTGGGTTCTATTTTTTTCACTTATGATAAAGGAATAATATACCATTCAGATGAAACAAAATCAAAGGAAATATAGAAATAAAATGACTTTTTAAGTCTAGAATTTTATGATTATGTCATTGTCAGTAATATAGTATCCCGGAATAGCTAGGACTCTATATCAACTTAGGGAACAAATAATGTCTTAGGTGGTGAATTGAAGGCTAAAGTGGAAAAGGAAATAAAAATTCTTAAAAACAATACATTCTTTGTTACCTATGAACTATAGCAAACTAGGGAAACTGTCATCAGCAATATGCTCTAGAGATAACCTTTAATCACTTCTCAGGATCACATGAACTTTGAAAATGTCAAGGAACAAGTACTATAGCCTTTTCAGAGCAGAATTTGGGTTCCTGTAGTCATTCCAGGAAGAGTTTTTAAGAAATCATTGCTATGTTTTTCAACACATGCTGTTAGAATATGAAATTGGATTTTTCTTTTGGACAGCTATACAATTGAAAGACTTTCCTAGACAATGTATTAAACTTTCTTTCTGTCCTGTGAAATTTAAGGAAGTATAATATTGTATATGATATAACCAAGAATTTTAATTATCTTGAGAAAGCAATACTACAGTGAAAAGTAATTTAAAATTGATTCTCAGTTATAACTTGGTTGATTCAAGGAGAAAAAGAGATCCTATTTTTCTAAAGATATCTCTATGTAAAATATGGCTATTTGCATACTTCATCCTCATCTCCTTTACAAATATTTATTACAGAACACAAAACAGGAAATGAATCTTTGATAATAGTTTGTTTCGCTTGATGGAAATGCTACCTTAAAGCCAAGGTAAATGAACACTTTATTATTATTATTATTGAAAACTACTTTGTGCCTTTGTGTAGTGACACCATAAAGAATACAGTGTACTATTACCACATCAATTCTGCCTTAGCAGAGCTAATGTCCTATAGCAGAGTTTCATACAACAGTTTTTGCATAAAGTGTTTTTATCTGTCAAACTATTTATAGCAATAACCTAATCATAAGGTTCTATCATACTCCACTTATGATGTAGTTTTTAAAGATGAAATCCAAAATGAAAATACACTATAATAAATAAAACTGCATCAGTATTATGAAAATGACACCCGCTACATTGAAAATGGGCTTGAACTAATGATTTCAGAAATATGTAATGATGGATGATGTTATAATAACGTTTACCCTTTCTGATATCTTCACATGACTTTTTATATTGGATGCTCACCCAAGAAGAGAGCATCTAGTGACTACATCAAGTTGAGGCAGCTGACATTCTCAAGGTAGACAAGCTTCTTCTCCATAGGTTCTTGTGTAATCAACATGTATTTAATAAGCATATTTGCTATGAGTTAGCAATAGAAATTTTCAGATGCATGTTATGTAATAGTGGGAGACACTGTTAGTAGAATCAACAGGCACGGCTATTGAGGGAAGGAGTCTACTATGACCTCAGTCAAATTTCCTGGGAAGCATCTTTTAGGTCAGTGGTTTCCAATGTCACAGTTTTTGAGTGACAATTTTTGTTTCTGAATTACTTGAATGAAGATGAGTTGGGAAGAGGGTCTAATAAGCTGAGAGTCTAGTTTCTATTTCAGAGAGGGCAGACTGCCAATTGTTAAGGGCCAGCTAGTACCCGAGATCTGTTTCCATTCTGTGAAAGCACTGTTGGCCACATTCTCCTCATCAATAACTAAGGAAGATGGAGATGGAAGTTGGCCTGATTTCTAAAGGAAATCACTCTACAAGCTTTATCAGGACTGGCACTTTGGGCATTCTGCTTGAGGCAAAATGCTTTGGAAAGGAATATCTCTGTTAACTCTGTCTTCTAAAGTTTTATTATTACAAAACAGAAAAATAAGTGACACAGCAGAAAGCATGAACTAGCCGATAAAACTTGTATAAGGGAAGGTGTCTTTATGAAATCACTTAGACAATCAAAATACTTTGAAAAAAGCCTGATGTAACTACCAGTCAACATGAGAATTCACATATTACAAATATATTTGAAGTCCTATATGTCTCTTTCCTGAATAAATTCATCTGCCTATGAGGAGCTGACCATTGCACTCACTTCTATGCTTTTTCATGCATAGATATCTTTATATTTTAATGCATACAAACAAATTCTTAATGGGTTTATTTTAATATTTTTTTCTAATTCATATATACTATATGAATTTTTATAATTTAACTACATGACATCTTAATTTTAAACTTGCTTTTAAACATACTTTCTTCACCCCAAATCTGTTATATTTATTTATGTTCATATTTATAGCTATAGATTTGTGTATGTTGTTGTTTTTCATTTTGACGCTGGTTTATTACTCTATTGCATTAATATTCTACAGTACATATTCTACATGCTGTATTCTATTCTCCTGATGTGAATTTAGTTCTCCCTACCCCAATATCTCACTGTTGTAATTTTCAATTACAAGGCTCTGTATTTATTGGGAATTATACAATTATATGTTCTATGCCTGGAGTATAAGGTGCATATATCTTTCTCTTTCCTAGATCTTTCAGGAATACATTCTAAAGTACTCCAGTAAGTACTGTGTGGAGAAGACTTAGAACTGGTGGAAGACCTATTATTTATTGCAGGCATAGACAAGTTTTTTTGTTTTTTTTTTCTTTTCCGAAAGCAGATAATGTAAATCTTTAACTAAACTGAAAATAACCTTCATACAAAATTCTGCCTTTAAGTGCACTTAACTTTCAACGTATTACTTACCAACATCTAGAAGATATTGCTAATTAAAATCAAGTAACATTTACTTTCATCACCACTAATATTATAATCTGACCAAATCCAAAATGTACTAGCAATTGATTACATGCCCATTTATTAGTATTATTTTGTGTCTTGAATGTCAAATTATTTAAATTTGCCAAAGAATCTTAATCAGATGTAAACAAAAATCCAAAATTGTTAAATTGCTAGTCACATGAGAAATGTTTTTCAGTATGGATTTTCCACTGCTTGTGCTTGCATTTATATTTAAAAAATGTTTTCTCTGCCCTGATCCCATTGGACATAATTAATGAAACAAATCCAATTTTGGAAAATTAATATGTCTTTTAAAGGAATTGAGATTACACTTCTTGACATTTAACTTGCAAATTCTCCCTTTTGAAAAATGATATTAAAATTATATGGAAAATGTAGCACTAAGCACTTTTCTTCTGTACATGTCATGACAAATATTAGCGTTGTGTACTCTCAGCATAGAGTTGACAAATTGTCAGAACTCATAGATGTGTAGAGTTAAATAAGTTTCTTCAAATTTTGTCCCTATCCCCCTTGAAAATGTTTTTTATTCTTGAAGTACTAATAAGCACAGGTAGAGGTGCAGTGTTCATAGCAATGATTAACAAAAGTAATATTGAGTCATTGTAATCAGATAATTTTATCTTTTGTTTTGAAGACTATTACTGGTTTGATTTTCTTGATACTTTTATCATTTACTCAAATATCATAAAGAAATTAACACTAACCTATCAAAGAATTACAGATACAGTAATGCTTGTCTTTTATTTATGTCAATCTATCTATAGTAATATTTGTACAGACAAAGAAACAATCAGATTTTCCTAACTTCTGTTAAAGTGTCTTGAGGAATTCAAACATCTTGACTTGAAAAAATGTGCTGCATTATGCATTTAAATGTTATTGTATTTGTATCTCAATGTTAGAGTATCTGTTCAGTTTCTAAAGCGCTGCCAAGTAAATTTTAAATGGAACAGTGAAATACGTGATCACATACCCAGTGATATGCAAAATAATCATCCCCAAAGATGACTTCATTCTACTCCCTGGAATATGTAAATATGTTAGTTTACATGATGGGGAAAATGATTAAAGGATACAGATAACATTAAAGTTGCTAATCAGCTGACCTTAAAATGGGGAGATTATCCTGGAGTATTCCAGCGGGACCAACATAACCATGGTCCTTAAAAGTGGAAGTGGCAGGCAGAAAAGGGAGACCAGAGAGATTGCAGCATGAGAGGAACTCTGCCTGACATTGCTGGCTTTGGAAATAGAGAAAGATGGGTTTAAGCCCAGGATTGTGAGCAGCCTCTGAAAACTGAAAAAGGCAGAGAAATGGATTATCTTCCACACACCAAGAAGGAATTTCAGACCTTCTCGAACCTTGAATTGAGTTCCATGAGATACATTATGGACTTTTGAGCTCCAAAATTTTTAGAAATAAATAAATCTCTATTGTATAACCCACAAATTTTGTAATTTGTTCTAGCAGCAATAGGAACATAATACCTATACCTGAGGACATTTAAAGTTTTTATGAGTGGCATTTTTGGTATTGTAATGTATTACATGCCAGTCTACAAATATTTCATAGTATGGGACCTGTATGAGGAAACTTCATAAAGCGTGTAGAAAAAATAAAATTAAAAGATAAAAATTAAAATCTAAATGTTATTTATCAACATAAACTCCTCTATCGAGTTCAAGACCCTTTTATAAGCAGTGATAACAGCCATTTGACTCATTCCTAAGGAACTGAGCGTCCTGGGAATTTAACCACATCAATGCAGTTATTTTTATATTATTAACTAAAAAAAATTGGTGCCCTTTATAGATTTTTCAAGCTCGTGAAAGAAAACAAGTCAGAAAGAGCCAAATTTAAACTGTAAGGTGAATATCTGGTGATTTTCCATAGAAATTCTCATAAAATTGCCCTTGTTTGAGGAAGCAAATGAGCAGGAGCATTGCCATGGTGGAGAAGGGCTCTCTGGTGAAAGTTTCCTGGGTATTTATTCAGCTAAAACTTTGGCTTTCTTAAAACACTCTCATAATAAACAGATATTATTGTTCTTTAGCCCTGCACAAAGTCAGTGAGCAAAATGCCTTGAACATTCCAAAAAACTGTCGCCATGACCTTTGCTCATGACTGGTCCACTTTTGCTTTGACTTGATAATGCCCACCTCGTTGTAGCCAATTATTATTTTAGAAAGACAGTGTAGTAAGTGCCTGACCATCACCTGATGGTCAACTGACATTCCTGGTGGGGGGGTGAGGGTGGAGCCCTCTCCTGTCCTGCTCATGCCTGACTAGCTACCTACTATAACTTAAGAAGTGAAGTCATTAGTGCTTACAAATTCAAGTAATCTTAGTATATCTAAAATATTCTAATTCAATCATCACTGGTTTCTGTGTAATCAGTTCACAAGAGATAAATATCTATTGTTATTTTGATATGAAGATCCCAGCACGATCAAACTGGGCAATTATTGTGTTGTCACTGCACTTCTTGTAACAATGTACCTGTTTGACCAAGTGATGATGGGTGTATCTCTAAGACTAGAAACTACAAATCAAAAAAAAAAACTGGTCTTAAGGAGATTAAGCAATAAAGTGTCCTGTAACAAAAACAATGTCATTATGATAAAATGTAACTGAGACAAACGAAATTCTAGAATATTTCATCTTACTTAGGTCTATTTTTATAAAAAGTAAAAACAGAGTGTTGGTGAGTTCCTTGGCTTTAAAAAATCATTCTGAATCAGGAACAGCTCGTCAAATTTGTTGAAGAAAAAGCCACATTAATCAAGGATGGTGATAAGGAAAGAGTCAAGTCAGCAGACTTAGGTTGTAGACCAGTAATGACTACACATTTCAAAGAAAGATCTATCTTCAGGATTGACCCTTGGCTGGCTCCTGGGAAGTAACCTCTGAGCTTCTGGGATATTCTGCTTGATAAGAGTGGTTTTTTTGTATGACTGAGGCCTTGGGATGTGCTCTACAAATTTGACCAGATAAGTTTAGCCTAACAATATAATTTATGATGAATGAATGATTTTGCTTTGGGAGTCTAGGGTAGGCTGGAGTCTGAGAAAGAAATTTAATTACATGGGTACTCTATGCTGATTCCCAATTATATACTGAACCCCAACAAAACCATGTCTGGCAACACTTCACATGTGTTATCAACTATTTTTGCTGGAAGAATTAAGTGCATACCTGTGTGACTCCACTGGTTGGGCATACCTGAAAGCCTTTACCTGGTTTCTCCTGGACTTCAGCCATACACCTTTTCCTTTTGATGATTTTAAGCTGCATCCTTTGTTGTAATAAACCATAACCATGAATATAACAGGTATTCTGAATCTGGCAGGTCTTTCCAGTAAATCATTGACTCTGAAGGTGGTCTTAGGAACCAACATTGATTGAAAAGAAGAATATTATAGTAACATCTATATTAATTTTTAATTGTATAAATAAAATTTATCTTGCTTAATGAAAGTCCTAGGCCTCAGTTACTATTTCCATGAAAACACCATAAAAGTCCAGTCTATTAAAATAGATTTACTAAACACTTCAGGAAGGTGATTTTTTTTCCCTAGTTCTGTATGTCATATAAAGGGGGAAAACAATCATGTTTACCCAAAAAGAAAATTGTTCTGGTTGCAACCGGCCAGGCTGGTTGTTGTGGTCAGTAAATGAATCTATTAAGACAGCCATAGGCAAAGAAAGGCAGATTTATTAGAGAAAGTATGAGGATACGTTGCAAGGGTGCAGGGGCCACACAGCAGAGAAGGAGCTGTCTGTCGAAAGACAGAGGCTGGAGGGAAGTTTTATAGAATCATATTGGAGGGACTCCATGCAGACAAGGTGTGCAGATAAGGCTGTGCTGCTGAGACTCGGTACTGGAACGAGGTATTTAGAAACAGGTCGTCATGCTAGTGGGTTGCCTGTGATTAGTTGTCTTTCAGAACAGTTGCTTTCTCCCACCTGGGACCCTTTCCTCGTTGTTGCTTACTTTCCAGGACTCCAAATCCCACCTTTGTCTGGCAGAATGACGATGACAAATCTTCGGCATTCAGGTGGAGATCTCATCTTCCAACTACTTTCTGTTGTCCTGGGGCAAAGAGTTGACTCTACCTATGGTTGTTGGCATTTCAGGAGACCCTGGGGGTCATTTTCCCAGACTGTGGTTCTCAGGATATTGAATCTCACTACAGGAAGGAACTCATCAGAGAGGGGGAGTATGTCAAGGAGAAACTGGTGTCCGGCTGAATCCAGAGGAGATCCATGAAGGTAGCAGGCAGCATTGGAAAGAGACTTTTATCCGATTTGCAGCATCATTTGAAGGTGAAACTGATGAATTACAGAAGACACAAATTTGACAACTAAGTTGAACATGCAAGGGCCAAAAAGAAGGAATAATAAAATACCTGTTAGTGACTCAGAGAATAAGAGCAACCAGGAGAACCATCTCCAAGTAGATGTCGATGAAGGCCATCCTTGTGATGCTTTTTCCTCAATTTCAGCAGCTTGGCCCCTGAGCTTTTGCACCTGGTCTCATACTGTTCCTGATTTATTAGCATAAACACAACATTCTTCTTCAAGGGTTAAACAAATGCCTCTTTGGGCTTCCATAAGCAGATTTAGGCCCCAGCAGTTTTAGAGAGCAACTGCTGTTAGGGAGTCGATCTGATCGTGGAGTACTTCCATGGTGTTGGAGATGCATTTGAGCTCAGTGGTGAGCTCGAATGAGAGGGTTTAATTAAGTATGAGCTGCAAGGTTCATGATAAGCATGGGCTGCAAGTTTTATACTTGTACTTAATCCAGTATCAATCCCTAGGCCAAAGCAATCAGATGGATTGCCCGTTCTACCCTGCTAGAACTATAAAGCAAGATTGCGAGCGATTGATTAGAAGGAGCAATTTGGATGTCAAAGGCAAAGTAAAGTAGTGTACAAGTTCCAGTCCAGTTGGCTGGATGATAAATATATGCATTTGATCTGCAGAGGAAGAAAGTGCACTCAGATTTAAGGCAAAAGGTTAGATTTAGAGTGAAGAAATTGAGGTGTGTTCTGGCCTTTTGACCCAAAGAAGAAATACTAAGTAGCTAGCATAGTAGTTGTAAGAGCCTGTAAGGTTTGGATGTTAAAGTTTGCATTTGGGTGGGGTTTTTTTCCTACAAAAAATGAAATAATTGAGTGTCTACAAACATCCAAGATTTTGGATTGCTGAGTGTGAAAATTTGCAGGCAAATATTAGGAGAATTTGGGATCTTGGAATTTTGCCATGAAGTTAGGTCAGGACAAGTGTCTGGAGAGGGGCACCCTGTGCTGAAGTGACAGTTCATATTTTGAAGATTTGGGGCATTGAGGTTGGCTGAGCCAGATATTCTAACTAGTACCAAATTATGTTTTTCCCACAGATGCCAGAGCTCAGAGGCATGGAGACAATTCCCTTGCCACCAGGTCAAGGGTTTCTGATAAATAAGCAGTTGGCCATTGGGAGACACCCAACGGCTGCCTGAGGTCTCAAGGGTGATACCCCTTCTCTCATGTACAAACAAATAAAAAGGCTTTCTGAGATCTGGCAAGGCCAGGGCCTGGGGTGGTGGTGAGTGCTTGTTCGAGGATTTTCAGGGCATTGTCCACTCAAGGTTTTAATGTAAGGGTTCCTTCTCTGGTCCTTGTAGTTCCTCTTAGAGAAGCTTTGTGATAAGTCCAAACTAAGATGTATAAGTGTGAAAGAAGAGTACTATTCCCAGAAAGGACTGCAACTGCTGTTTAGTGAATGGAATGCCCATGTTATAAGAAGATAAGATTTTTGTGGTGGTCTGAGAGACCCTTGGACCCTGGGGTTAATGTTAGTCCCTGGAATTGAATCTCCTGAGGGGACATTTGAACGCTGGAAGAATTGGCTTTATAATCACAGGAGGCCAACCTCTGAAGTATTTCAGTAATGTTCAGGTCTGAGGCATTTTCTATTGGACAGCAAATAAGCAGGAGCAGGGCTCTATTGAGGGAGAGTTGAAAGCTGGACAGATCCATGGACACAGCCTGTCCAAACAGCTGTGGGCTAGCTCTAAATCCCCGAGTGGGGGCTGCCCAGCTTAATTGTTGGGAAACATGAGTGGAAAGGTCTCACCATTCAAAGGCAAATAAAAATTGAGAGTCTAGGTGTACCAGAATGCAAAAAAGGGCATCTTTTAGGTACAGTACGGTGAGCCAAGAAGTGCCAGAAGGAATTTGCCCTAGTAGGGTGTAAGAATTGGGACCAATGGGAAGTACTGAGATTACTGCTTCGTTGACAGCCCTCAGGTCTTGTATCACTCTATAGGTACCATCAGACCCTTTGACCATCAAGATGGGTGTGTTACATCGTGAGTTACAAGGATGCAGCAATCCCATGGCCAAAAATTTTTCTATTAGGGGCTATAAGTTTATTTGAGCTTCAGGCTTTAGAGAATATTGGAGCTTCCTAGAGAAGGAGTTGGGATTTTTAAGGTGAATTTTTATAGGATCTGTGAAAAATGAAAGTCGTGGAGGAAAGAATGAGTGAAAATATTTTTCCCAAAGGTACTTAGTAAAGGAGAAGTAAGTCATGTCTGTTTTGGCTGACCTTCTATGCCAGTGAGGGAGATCGAGGACCAAAAAGTAGGTCTGGGAAATTAATTAGGGCAGAATAATCTGCTTTTGTGTTGATCAAGAACTCAGTTCTTCTTCCTGCCATGTCTACGGTTCAGCCATAGTGGTGAAAAACGCAGAAGGCTGGATGGCCTCTGGGTACTGTCAATCTCTGAGACAGACAGGCCCTCCTTGAGGTTCATCCGTTTTTCCTTTGTGTTCCCATCAGTTTCCTTATAGTCTTCTCCCATGTTGGCCCACAATTGATATTGCTGGTAAATGGGTGACTTTCCCACATGAGAGAGAGGCAATCCTGCTTCCAGTGCTCTACTTGTTTGCAGTGTGGGCATGGACCAGGGTGGTCACTGGGGACCTGATGATGGCTAGGGAGGGTTTCAGCAGTGTCAGCTAATGTGCTCTGACTGATAACAGTGATAGCAAAGGGGGGATCCCTTGGTGGCCTCTGGGCCACCTCCCAGTGGCTGGCCTGAGGCCCTTAATATAAACAAGGAATTAGTGATAGTGATGGCCATATAGTGGGCTAGCCACCTATCTCTTTCTCATTCCTTCCTATCCCATTTGATTCTCCAGACCTCCTCTCAGTAATTGAAGACCTTGAAGGCCATGTCCAGCAATGTGGGGAAAAGAGTTTGTGGTCTCTGATCTAACTTTTGGAGTTTATATCTAACATCTGGGGATGTCTGGTTGATGAAATAAACAGCCAAGATGGCAAGGCCTTCTGGGCTCTTGCAGTCTTGTTAATGTATTTTCTAATGGCCTCAGACAGCTAGGAATGGAATAGGCTGGGTTTTCATTTGACACTTGTGTTATTTCACTTAGTTTGGAACAACTTATAGTGGCTTTTTTCATGGCCTCAATCAGGTAAGTGATCATGTGATTACAGTGTTCTCTGCTATTGTCTCCTCTTGATAACCCAACCTAGGATTAATGCCAGGCACTGAAGTACTCCCAGGATCAGAATCCTGGGGGTTTCGGGCATGCACCTCATCTGCCCATCTTTGAGTCAGAGACCAAATGCAAGATTTTTCCCCGTGAGTGCAACAGGTGGTGAAAATAATATAGATGTCCTCCTGCCAAGTGAGGTTGAAAGAAACAGTAAGTCTCCTCAATTCCTTCATGAAGCGAGAAGGGTCCTGACTGAAAGAGACAAGCTTAGTTTCTATTTGGGAAAGATTAGACTTTGGAAAAGGAACAAGGACTCTGATGGTTCCTAGATTCCCATTTGCCACCTCCTAGAGCAGCAGAACTTTTTCAGGAGTGGAAATGGGATCACAGGTGGCCCCTGACCTAGTATGTGAAGAGGAGAAGGGTCTCGAATGAGTAGGAGGCACTGGAAAACCACATCCAAGGTTGGGATGTTGCAGGGAAGGTGAGGGAGAAGGAGCAGATGAAGTAGGTGCAATTGAATGTGAAGGTGGTTTGTTAGGGGCAGAAGGTGTGGCCTTAACTGATTCATCTGGTTAGGGAGAATGGGAGAGAGTAAAAAAGGGTTGTCCAAAATATCAGAAGAGTCAATGGGGCCAGAGAATCTAACCAAGCACATTTGACAGGTCTATTGCAGATCAGGATCCTGATAGAGATTCATGAAAGCCTGGACAGAAGAAACTTCAGACCATATGGAGGAATTATGACAAAAGAGACCAAGCTGTGAAATAGTGTTGGAGGCATGGGTACCTCCTGGAAGCTGGGAGGATTCCTGATCTGGAAGTTTATAAGGTGGCCATGCTGTATTATACAAGGGAATTAGATGTTTCTTTTTGAGAGTTTGAGAGTCAAATTTTTCCCAATGCTTTAAAATGCAGCTCAGAAGCAAGTCTGAGGGAATGGAGGGGCATTGTCCCATGATGGAACCAGGAAAAAAATGTCTGGGGGTGCAAAAAACACAATTTTTATTGGGGCATCCTGCCAAGGGAAAAGGGTTCCACTCACATCCACTGAGGGACTCCAAGATGCACTTTCCAAAGGGGTGTCCCACCTAGTGCCCCGATCTTTGAGCGCTAGGACCTTCCACTGGATGAACACTGGGTGAGCAACCCCACCTCAGCCCAGGTATGAATTATGCAGAGTCCTCCATCCAAGTGTGAGGGGAAAAAGTTAAGGGAAGACTCATTGTCCCAGTGCTGTTTGGAATCACCTGGGTTAAGACATTGGGAGCAGGTTGCCTGGTTGTCTTCATGGGAGAGTTTAGAGTGAGAAAGAGGGGTCTGAGTTTCCCAAAACATGTGTAGGTTCATCCTGGTTGAGCTTCCATGGCTAATTGCACTAGACAAAGGATTGGGGGCTTTTGACCAGAAAGGGGAGCCTTCCTCTCTTCTGGGCAAGGCAGCCAAACGTGTTCACCCCTGGCCTTTAGGCTACACCAGAGAGTGGCCCTGGCCAGTAGCCATCAATTGCCAGAGGGACAGTACAGTTTTGTCTTCTGGAAGACTGGAAGGGAAAGCAATACTCCAAAATGTCACTCAGTTGGGCGATGGTGGTCAGAAGTCTTTCTACTAGGACCTTCTGGTCTGCCAGGCAGTGGCCCTGGCTGGGGACCTTCAATTGTCTCTAGGCTCAGATGCGTCCATGAGAGATTGGAGTTGGAGGAGAGGAAAAGAAGAGAGTAAGAGACAGGTCCCCCAGCACTCCCTTTACTCTTCAAGCATTCCCTAAGTACTCTCCATATAGGCCACCAAAATGTTGAAGGTGTGACTGGCTGGGACCATCATCACAGGCAGTAAAGGAATTGACCAAGACTGTCATAGGTAAAGAAAGGCAGATTTATTAGAGAAAGTACAAAGATACGTTGCAAGGATGCAACAGGCAGCACAGCAGAGAAGGGGCTGTCTGCCAAGAGGCAGGGGCTGGAAGGAAGTTATATTGGGTCATACTGGAAGGACTATGTGCAGATAAGATGTGCAAATAAGGTTATGCTATATACAGAATGAGGTATTTGGGAATAAGATGTCATGCAGGGGATTGTGATGAGCTGTCTCTCAGAAAAATTGTTCTCACTAACCTGGGACCCCTTCCTCCTTGTAATTTACTCAACTTATCGGGACTCCATTAAAATCATTCAGAAAATTAAGGCAAGTGGGACTATCTGCCCTGTAGAGTATACAATTTGATCTTGAATTTTTTATCCATCCTATAGGAACTTATCTTTAATCATATAATGTAAGTGGAAACTAGGGTCTCATATACATTCATATACAGAATTTCAACTTACAATAAACTTTACAGAAGTATCTTCCAAGGTTGGATAGATATTATGTAATGTGTATTGATGGTCAAGATCCATTAGAATTTTCTTCTAGTGTGCATTGATGTATTGGAGAGGTTAAAAATCTGAAAGCTCTGCTTCTCAGATGTCCTTGCTGTGAGTTTTCTGGATACAATTTAGGTCTGATCAATCATATGCATTCACATTAGGTAAATAAAGAACTGAGTTAAGAAAACAAGGAGGAAGGAAATGTGTGCTCATACAAATGACAGAGATAATGCACTTATGTCATGTCTGCTTTCTGATTGTTAGTGTGTTTTCTTGCTGTCAGTTGTTGTGGTATTTTTTTTTCTTGCATTTGAGCCTGTGATTACAGCAGAGGTGGTTTCATTTGAAAGGTAGAATCATTCCTGGAAGTGTGGGCAGAACCTTTTTAATATACTTCCAGTGATTTTTATCCTCCTAATACTTGACAATAAATATCTTTTGGTTTAAAATTTCCGGAAAATATATAATTGTCTGAAAGCAAACCCTAAAAGCAAGGGATTCAATATTTAGAGAAAGGTATAATTTATTTCGCTTCACAGCTTTACTTGAAAAACTCTCAAAGAAGAAACGAGGACATCAATATTTCACAGAATTTTCATTTCAGTGTTTTCTTTTTTAATGGAAACACAACCAACTGCAGTGCCAATTTAACTAACGAATTCCCACCCTTCCAGAGTGAGTTCCACTCACTTAAAAGGCACAATCAAACCTTATACACAGCTTTGTTTCAGAAGCTCTTTATGTTTGGTTCAACAATGCAGGAAACTCAAGATAAAATGAGATTATTAACTGTTTATAGATAGTTCTCTGCTGAAACCATAAAACGGTTACACCAACATGAGAGTCACTTTAATGTGCCCACCTCAAACCATTTATTTCCTCACCTCTGTCAGAGTCTCTGGAGAGCATCAGCATGGATACTTAACAGATCCATCCCATTTTCTGTAGTCGACAACAAAGAAACAGCCAGGAACACATGCGGAATCATAGGCCTGCAAAGCTCCTGCTATTCACTATAACTCTGCCATGCCTTAGGCACTTCCTAACCTAGAATTCTGAGTGAAGGACAACAATAACTAATACTTTTGATTCAGGTATTACAAAGAAGTTAAGAGTTCATAAGGCACCTAAGTAAAGTCACATTGGTTAAGAGTACATGTCTCCAGATACTCTTACATTTGCAAAGTAATTGCATTTCTGTATCTATGGTCTGTAAATAAAATTGAAGAGTTGTGAGAATAAAAGCATGTTGTCTTTGATAAATTGTTTTTACAAAACAGGCACAAGAGAGGCTTGAAGGGTCCTTGCTATCTTTTAACCTATTTTATAATCTTTGCTGCATAAGAAACAAATATGCTTATTTACATTCTATACTTAAACATATTATCAAACTTTTATTCTGAAGATAATACACATGAAGGCTTTAAACTTTAATCTTCAATATATTTTTTAATCTCCCTGATGAATTAGGGAAATAAATATTGGGGAAACAAAGGCAGTTTTATTTAACAAATAGTAAAAATTGCTAACTGTACAAAATATAATGTACAGTGATAGTAAATATCACGGTAATATTCTCACCAGCTCAAGGAATGTATGTAAGTTGAATAAAATGAGAGTAATGAAATATTTTAAAACAGTGCTTGAACATTTAAGTTTGTGACTCTAAATAACAGGAATTGTAAAAAAAAATAAATTGTGCATCTTCCCAGCTCTGAAAATAAAGTGTATGCGGAGATATGTTTCATTCCTAATCACAATTTCATACTCTAAAGTTTCATTCAGATATATTTACTTTGGCTTTCTCTACCCCCTAGAATATAAAAAAATATGTATTTAGTTTAAAGGGAAAAATATGGTGAAGGATTGATTAAGAGATATAATAAAGAAGACTAAACAAATACAAGTCAAACAAACCACCGTAAAATCTAAAATTAGGGTAACATTAAACTTATGTTTACAAAACAAATGCATGTTATATTTGTTTTGTGTCATAGGCTGGATGAAGTAAACACTTTGACAGAGCCTTTTATTGGTGGTAGAAAATGTAGGACGTAGAAGAGGCTTTCTGGTCTCCAACACCTGACATCGTTCAGTTCTGGTGCCATCAGTTCTCACTGCAGTTACTTTAGTAACATCCCATGTAAAATCACTGTTTCTAATTTATGCCCCCATCCCCCCAAGTCCCAAACCAAAACAACATTTCTCCCTTCTATTACAGTGCTCTCTTTTAAAAATAAACAGAGACAACAGATGATTTCATCAGCCTGCATTTAAAAAAAAAATCTTTCTATGGAACCCATGAGTCTGGAGAATATAGTGCCATCGCTTTACCTCATTATGTAACAGAGGTTATCATTTAATCTCTGCCTCTTTTCAGAATGTCTTCCCATGAGTAGAGTTATGCTTTCCTGCTCCTACAGCAGATTACACTTTCTTCAACTGGAGAATTTGTAAGATAAGATTTATACCATATTTTATATGTCTGTCATCCTACGATCAGTGTCTCATTTTTATTTGCATCCTCTTAGTCTGATTTAGAGAAGCATTTGAAGAAAATATTAAAGTGCAAAATTAAAAATACTCTCTCCTACATAAATTTCTTCTTCTCTACCACATTTCTTTGATTTTCCATCACATAGCAGCCATAATGCTAATATTCTCATGTAGAACAACGCCCACAACAACAAAACAACTAAGCAAAATTTGCTTGGCCCCTATTAGCTTTTACCCCTAATAACCGAAGCTCAATTTTTTTTCTCCTTTCAACAAAGTCCCTCATAAAATTATTTATATTTGATATCAAATTCTTTTCTACCAAATATTTCTTAAACCTGCCAACCAGGACTTCATGCCTACCATTCCAGAACTGTCCTTTTCAAAATCACTAATGACCTCCCTGTGACCAAATCCAATTGGCAGTCATCCATCCTCATCTTGCCTCCTTATTGCATTTTCCTTCTTGCTTAATACACATTATTTTCATGACTTCCTGGAAAACTGTTCTCTTAATTTTTCCTTAGATTCACTAATATTTCTGATAACAGTGATGGCCCATCTAGAGCAAGCTGCTGCAAAGATGCCAGCTGCAGCGGAGGAGGCGTGGCAAGGGCTGTGCACTCCACAAAGCCCATGGGAACCAGGAACAGGTGGGAACCCTACCACCTTCCAAGTTGGCAGGGCAGGAGCCATGCCCACCCTGGCGCAGCAGCACCTGCCCAGCCAGGTATGGACTCAGGCATCCCTATGCTCTTGGGAATCCAGGGAGGCCTTCTATTCCCACAGGCTCAGAAGTGCCTGCTCTCACTGCCTGGCCTCCCCGTGCTCTAGGTGCTCATTCAGATTTTGGAGCAAAGTTGAGGCCAAGCCCAGGCACCGTTGTGACCCGGCCAGGTGTGTGGGAGCTCAAGGAGGCGCTGACATGCCAGCCCCCTGCTGCCTTGGCCCCCTCCAGACTTTGGGCACCAATGAGCATGGGAGAGGGAGGCTGAGGGGGCATTGAGGGCGGCTTGGCCGGGCTTGTAGGCGCCCCTCTGCCCAAACAACCTGAGCACCATGGACAACATGAGCAATGGCAAAAGGAGGCAGACAAGCTCTTGGGTGGAAATGGGCAGGTCCCCAGTGAAGCCCCATCTTCAAGCCAGGGATGGCCTGAAGCATGGGGGCTGGGTGTCAATTCCAGGTGAAGTCAGTGGCTCAGAGTGAGAACTTACGGTGCTTTTTCTGGGCCCACCCACAGCTGCCCATGGACCAATCAGCATGCACTTCTTCCCTTCTGAATCCTATTAAATACCCTATACTCAGCCAGACTCACAGAGACCTCAGGAATACCAGCTGCAGAAAGGAGCTAGCCACTGAGGGTCTCCTCTCCGCTGAGAGCTGGACACTCATTGGGGTGATGTGCCTGCAGAAATGAGCTACCCACTTCCAGTCCTGTGAGAACTGTTCTGTCACTCAAAGTGCCTCTCCGCTTTGCTCACCCTGCAGTTGTCCGCATACCTCATTCTTCCTGGACATGAGACAAGAAGTTGGGACCCACCAAATGGTGGGACTGAAAGAGCTGTAACACAAGCAGGACTGAAACACAAACCCCACTCACTATGTTGTGGACAAGAAGAGAAGAGCTGTGGCCCTTTGGGGAGCTCAGGCCTAAGGACTCCCTCCCAAGCCAGGGCTGTGACATCCTTTCTGGGGCTGTGCAGTTCCTGGCATCTCTGAGCTTCCAGGCACCACTGCATTTCCCTCATCCAGACATGGGTACCTATAGCAGAAGCCATGTGCAGTACATATGGTGCAGCTGCAGCCTTGCATGGACCTGGCACCTGTGCCACCACCTGGATCTGTCTGCCCTGCTGCTCTGTGCCTGGAGCCATTCTGTGCCTGGCTTACCCTTGGCAGGCATGGGATCTGGGCTGGTAGTACCAGCCAAGTGCAGCCTGCCAGGCCAAGTAGGTAAAATATGCCCAGGGCCCAAGCAAAACTCTGGTAAAGTGCCACTGGCCACAGAAGTTTCCGACTGGTGAAGTGACACCCCAAGTATCTTGTGATATTTCCTTCTGTTTCCTTTTGTAATTTATCCTCTTCTTCACACTGTCAGAATCCATAATAAAAATAACCTTTTAGAAACTACTATTCATCAAGTTTATTAAAATATTCTTCCCTATACTACAAACATATCTGTGTGAGGTTGCATTTACTTTAATGTAGTTAAATACAATTGATCTGTCACAATAGTTTGAATATAGATGCATATATCAAAATCTAGCTGCTTCTCTTAAGTCATGCATTATAGAGACTTGCCAAAATGTAAAGTAACACCACAGTTCTAAGTATTTCTTTTGTTTCTGAAAATAGTTATTTGATAAAAACTATTGTTGATATTAATGTTAATGGGTTTATTATTGTTACTTTTAAATCAATAAATGGATAAATATTTCTCTGTTCTATTTTCTTAATATGGTAAATATGTTTAGATATAACCCACACAAAGAATATTTTTAGGGTCCCCAATAATTTTAAAATGTAAAACAGCATAAGACTGAAAGATGTAAGAAAAATTACACTACCCTGATTCATTTCCGTGTTCTCTCACCTTATCTTAGAGTTTTAAATAGCCAAAAATAACTTTATTGGTAATGGGAGAAACTGGTATAGCCCTAGAAAGTGAACTCTAAGTTTGGTATTCTAGAAGTGGATGATGCACTGGATAAAATGTGATTAGGACCACATCACTGATGGAAGATAGAAAATTAACAATCCTTGAAAGGATGTTGTAGTGTTTGTGAGGACTATAACCTGTGGTGGAGAGGAATGGGTTACAGGTGGGAGGGTATGCAT
Source organism: Homo sapiens (assembly GCF_000001405.40). Lineage (NCBI taxonomy): Eukaryota > Metazoa > Chordata > Mammalia > Primates > Hominidae > Homo > Homo sapiens. The sequence goes on along the minus strand of NC_000004.12, from coordinate 32,317,224 downwards.
TCCGTTGTTCAGTGTCTCTACTGTTTGAACATTATGGAAGTGAAATCATAGCAACTTTTAGGATGAGGAATACTATAACTTGGAGTGATTGTAAAATCTTGGATCAAAAGATTCAAAATATAAAACAGGGTAAGGAGAGCATACTCCCTCACTACGGGAGACAATTTCCTGGGAAGAACTTCTGGAAGATGGGAAAGGAGAGAGTTGGTATAGCTCTTAGAAGCATAGAAAAACTGATGACCCATGTTACATGACATAGAGAGGCAAAGGTGTCATGACAGGGCGGCTGGGATGAGAACATAAGACTGAAACAATTTGGGATGTTGGAATAATTTACTCAATAAGGAAGAATATCCACCATCTGATTATGTTCTTTAGGAGGCCTGGAAGTCACTCCATGTCCCAAACAAATAAGGAATGCATTCATGAGACGGTACAAGCAATACTGAGAAGCTCAATAGTGGCTCTACCATGTAGGCAATGACTAATAATCATAGACTGTATTATACAGCAGGAATACCTATTAGCTTTGGATTGATAGGATCCAAGAATAGCAGGCACAATGTGGCAGTACTTAATTAAGCATCAAAAGCAAGATTAATATAATGGGCAGCAAAGTTGGAGTGGTAGCTTGTGGAGCTGGGGGACTGATTTATGGGAATCTATGGAACTGCTTAATTGAAATAGGAAACTAGGGGAAAATACATGGGAAGTCAAAACATAGATAGATGATAGATACATAGATGAATAAATAGATAGATTAAAACATACATCTAGGGATATGTAGTCTGGAGAAATAAATGGAAATTCATGAACCAGTTATCATATTTGAAACCCGTTCACTGGCAATGTGTCCCTATGGGAAAGCACCCTTCAATATAATAGAACATTTATAGAGTATTGATTTCCACCATTCCAAAGTGGCCTGTAATCATCTGCTCAGGTCATCTTACACTGAGGAAAGGAAAACATGGAGTTCTTTTGAGGGGAAATGGATCCCAGGTTGCAACTGGCAATAATACACACAGCTTCAGAGCAGTGATTAAAGGCATATTGAGGTTAGGAACTCAATGAATACCTGGCCTGGATCCATTCTCAGTGGGTTCACTAGGTTCATGGCACCCGCTGTAGTAATTTCCTTGGTACTCAAATGTACAAAGAGAATGGACATAGCAGTCAACAGAGTTCTTACATCAATGGACCTATGAGTAAGAACTATTGTGGTAGAAAAGGCCAATAACAAGTCTCTAAAGCTGTTACACTCAGACACAACAGTAAAGAAGCAAACTTTCATTACAGCGGAACAATTGATATCACTATAATCCTCAAAAACTTTAAAGGATGTAGGGATGATATTCTCTACTATATACCCATTTAATTCCGGAACGTAGTCCATGAAAAATTACAATGATCTACTTAAAATTTATCCATGTGGTGGCCTCTATTGCAGCTACCGTACCTAATGTGTTATCTTTACTAGAGAAGTATAATGCTAACTTGTTTATGTGATAAGCAGCTATTAATCTTATGTAGAGAGTGAATAAGAAATAGTTTACATTCACATAGAGCCACATTTATTCATAATCATGCCACAAATCTAGGATAATTTTCCTGTTCTCTGTCAAAATTTATTCCAAAATTCACTGGGCCATCTGGACATTCCACAGAACATCATATTGGTCCATAATGATGAAATCAAGTTAATCATATTTTATGATTGACACATGGGAAGTACTTTGATATCCTTAGTAAGATAAATATAATCTCTAGCAGGTGTGAGATAAGATCTACAAGGATTCAGAAACCTGTACATAGGTAAAATTTAAGGATGCAATGGTTTAGGGCATACTGCATATCTGTCCAACGTAAAGTAAAGTTATTTATTTTGCCTCCTACCAAGAAAGAGGCACAGTGCTTGGGTAGAACTCTATGTATCGGAAGCAATACATATATCCCATACTTTAGAATATAGCTCCAATGCATTGTAGTTTAAGCAGTCTTACCACTTGATCCATATAATATAGCAGATTTATTTAATTAGTATAATTAAATAAAATTAATTACCTGAGTTGGAAAAGGACACAGTGGGGAGTCTCTGGCAAAACTCAGTAGAAGATTCACAGCACAGATCCTTAGTGTTCTGGAGCAAGACCATGCTATCAGCACTAACACACCATTCAACTGTCATCTTCTAGCATGCTACTAGGTTTTGGTAGAGATAAAGTATCTAATCATGGGACATCAATTAATGATGCATCCAGAACTGCCCACCATGAACTAGTACTGTCAGCCTCAACCAATGATAAGGTTGGGCAGGCCTATGAGCAGTTCATCTCTAATATTGAAATGATTCATAGAGAAAATTACTTGAACAGGTCCAGAAGGCACAAGTAAATGGAATGAATAGATTCCATGTCTCTTATCATAGTTGTTGATACTGATAACAACTAAGGTATCTGTCCATTGTGACACTGCTAATAAAGACTTACCTGAAACTGGGTAATTTATAAAGGAAAGAGGTTTAATTGACTCACAGTTCCACATGGCTGGGGAGGCCTCACAATCATGGTGGAAAGCAAGGAGGAGCAAAGTTATATCTTACACGGCAGCAGACAAGAGACAGCATGTGCAGGGGAATTGCCTCTTATAAAACCATCAGATCTCGTGAGAACTCACTATCATGAGAACAGCTTGGAGGTAACCTCCATCATGATTCAATTACCTCTCACTGAGTCCCTTCCACAACACATGGGGATTATGGGAACTACAATTCAAGATGAGATTTGGGTAAGGACACAGCCAAGCCATATCAGCTGTGCAGATTTATTTTCTTCGGTTCACACCTATTGCCACATGGGATTCCTTCTGACAAGCTGCCAAAGAAGGAAGCAATTAAGCTGGGTTCACAGATGAATTGGCTCCATATAGGTATGCAAACTGAACATGAACTCCTACTACACTACAACTACACTCAGGGGTGCCCTTAAGCACAGTAATGAGAATAATTCCTCTCTTTGATTAGAGTATTATATGCTGCATCTGGTTATCCACATCTTACGCGGAGAGAATTTGCCTGTCCTAAAGATATATATATGGAATTATGGAGAGTGGAAGATGGTTCACCACTTGTTTAAGTAATTGTATGGGAGAAGCCAGGTCTGAAGATTTAGGAAAGTATGTGTGTGAATACACATTCAGAGTATGCGTAATGAATAGAAATATTTGTACCAACTGTTAATGCCCATTAAAGAACATCCATTGCAGAAGAGGTGGTAAATAATCTAGTGTCTCTAGAAGATTCAGGAAGTTGGTGTTAATCAGCTTCTGTCCACAATCATATCAATACTTTCAAAATGGACTGTTTAAAAGAGTTGCCATGGTGGCAGAAATGGAGTCTATATGTGAGCCAAACAATATGGACTCCCATTCACTAAGGCTAACCTAGCTACTTCTACTGGTTAATGTTTGATTTGTCAACAAAAGAGGTGGATTTTGAGCTCTTGATTTCTTGATTGATCTTGAGGAGATCAATCAGCCACTTGGCAGACAACTATTTCAGACTCTTTCCACCCTTTCACTATGAAAGACAGCTATTCATCTTGACCAGATAAACACAGAATCAGGTGGGTATCCATTGTCCTTCTGTGTCTGCAAGACCTTAAACAACAATACTAAAAAATAAAAAGGTTCACAGAGTGTCGATTGACTGATGTGGGCATCAAGAGACACATTTTATGAAATGGAAAATTCACCTATAGATACATGATCGTGTAATCCACTGCTCCTATCTCACACTACACCTCAGGAAGATGATAGTATAATAGAATGGTGAATTATCTCTTTTGATGCAGCTGAGGTCTAAGCTTGGAGATTTCATGCTACATTGATGGGACACTCTACTCCATGATGCCTTTTAATGCTTAAATTAATGATTATTATAGAACATTCCATCAAATAAATAAAATACCTGGGTCTGGAAACCAATGTGGTAGAAGTAGCAACTTTAAGCTCTGTATTTATGGCCGTCCTAAAGGGATGAACTCTTCCTTTAGGTAACAGAGGAAGAGTACCTAAAAAACTAAAGCTGTAAAAAAAACTTTATTTAAAAACAGCCACTGCCTAGTCACCTGGGACATTTGTGTCAGTGAATTATAAAATACAGCTATATTCTAGTTTTGGTAGTTGACTGTGGTCTTCATAAAGAGGTATGACTGCTGTTACATAATTGGAGTGAATTGGTGTTTTCTAGAGAAAGAGAACCAGCAGGGTGTGTGTGTGTGTGTGTATACATACATCTTTGTATGTGTTAGAGAGACATTTATTTTAAGTAATTACCTCTTGTAGGAATGCTTTGTAAGTCTAAAATCTGCAGAGTAGACTGGAAGACTGGGCACCCAGGGAAGAGGTGTGTTTTGAGTTCAAATATAGCCTGTAGGCAGAATTCCTTCTTGCTCATGGAGATACGTTTTTATCTCATTAAAGAGTTTTACTGATTAGATCTGGCCCACTCATATTATGAAGAGTGATTTTCTTAATATCTACCAATTTAAATGTAAATCTCATCCAAAAAACACCTTCACAGAAACATTCACAATAAGATTTGACCAAATATCTGAGCACTGTGGCCCAGCCAAGTTGACACACAAAATTAGCCATCCCAAAGAACAAGAAAGAATATGTGTGGGACTCAGGTGATTTATTTTGTGCCTCTCTTTCTTGTCATATTTTGGTATAGAATTTCCAACCCATCACCACAATTTGTGATGGTTAGTTACCCATCTTGATTTAGAAACAAAAACACCTTGTGAGAAAAAAACAATTTTAAAAATCTGCACAGTCACAAGATTTGTTAAATGTATAAAACTAAGAAATCAGAAAACTTCTTTATTTATACTTACTTCTAACGACACTGAGGATAAAAATTCAGTGTTTCAGCAATGTGACAGTCAGGTGACAGTTTTATAGGTTAAAAATTTCCAAAAGTAAAGTATATTATTTGCAATGTAATTATTTTCAGGATGAAAGAGTGGTGATGGGCTCCATTTAGTCTATTACGACTTATAGACAGCTCCATATTGGATGATAAAACTACATCATAAATAAAAATATGCACAGTGGAAATAAGCCTAGAAAGAGGGATTTAAGAAAATTGTAGCAGTAATAATTGCCTTAAAAAATGTAAAATGGCCATAAATGGTAACATGGTTAGTCTTTGAAATAGCCACATAAATCAAAGCCTTATTGCATTTCTTCCACATTTTGTTGTTCCTTGTTATTTCCAAGTTGCACTGAGTAACAGAAGTTACAAGTATCTTTGTCCCTTCAGGCCAAGATCTGAATTGTGCCTCCAGTATTTCAATTTGTTGTGGGATTCTGCTTTTTTGACATGTAGTTCATCAAAGAAACCTGATGCTGAACATTATGAGACATTTATCTGGTGTAGTTTAACAGCTTGTAGGGAAAAAAATGTGGCAGGAGAAAGAAAACTATTGAAAAGTACCAGAGTGATATCCATTTTCTTCAGACGATTGCAGTTATCCCACAAACATGACTCGCCGTATCAGAAAAAAAAAAAAAGTAACATTAAGAATAAAAAAGCCAAAGTGATAATTAGGTCAGAAGATAGCATTATACTAAGATTGGTTTTATTATTTTATTACTTTTGTATTCTCTTCAGGACAAAGAGGAAATTTCCAATATTTACCTCACAGGCATTCAGGTATACTATTTCGTGGCCTTTAGCAAAGTTACCTGTTCTATTTATGCTGCTGAGATGCCTAGCTATAAAACAGACCATAAATATTCAAATTTTTCAGTGACCAACCTTTTTCCTGATGGGGACAAATTTCATTTTTTAAAATTTTATTCAATTCATTATAAAAAAAAGTCATATTTCTTTTCAGTGAGATAGCTATAAAGAGAGGAATTTCCCCCGATGATAAATATTATTGCCAACTTTAATGTAAAAATAAAAAATTTAAATATATAATGTTTATATGTAATACACATATATAATATATATAACAAAAATAGAGATATAAAAAAACTGAAACAACTGGACATTGAAAGTGTCTTTTATGATAATGTCCCTAAATTATTCTGAATGCTTAGAGCTCTTACTGGAAATGTGAAATCATGTGTAAATACATACTGTGTTTTGTTGTAGGTTTAGTTGACTTCTGAAACATGAATGTAAAGTTAAATTACAAGACTGGAAATGCACATCAGTCAATCAAATCACATGAATAGAACTACACATCAATGTATAAAAGACATCAGAAATTTTTCAATATTGAGTTATTGGCTCCATAAATATGTCTTGAGTGTTCATTTTATGTTAGGCACTATTCTAAATCCTGGGGGAAAAAACAACAAAAATACCTGTCTTCCTGGAGCTTATCTTCCAGTGGGAGGAGTCAGACCATGAAATAAAATGTCTATTATGTTACAAAGGGATGAATGCTATGAAGAAACATAATACAGTGAAAGGAGATAGAGACCCCTAACAGGGCTTGAAATTGTCAATAAGTTGCTGGAGACTCTTCCACTGAAGTGGAGATGTTGCATTTCTTGAAGAAGACAAGAGAGAGAACTACTCATCTGTTTCACAATACAAAAGGCAGAGAAAAAAATAAGTGTGAAGACCCTGACAGGAGAGCAATAGAGACAGTGTGGCTCAGTGTAATAGAAGAGATGTTGATATTCAGAATGGGAAAGATCACAGGTGCTAGAAGCATTTTAGGTCCAGAAGATATTATCAGCTGCATTCTGCCATTAGAGAATTTGGAATAGGGTAATTATATGTTAACTACTCTATCATACTTACTACTGCACTGACAACAAACAGAAAAATAGAAGGCTGGAAGCAGGGAAGCCAGTAGGGAGGCCATGGAAATAATTTCGGCTTGAGTCAACGTTGCCTTCAATCACGGTAGTTGGGATGGATGGAGGTGGTAAAACACTGGGAAATTGGATGTACTTTCAAGGTAGAGGCAACAGGATTTGCAGAAGAATTTGATATAAGATGTGAGGGAAAAAGGAATGAAGGTAAATTCAAAGATTTCTTCCTTATCAATAGAGAATGTGATCCTCCCACTTTCAATTCTATAAGACAGGATTTAGAAGAAAACTTTTGAGTCTAGTATGGAAAATCTGAAGGTAAGGACGGATATGAATTAGCAGCTGGAGGGACATAATATTTTTCATAGGTAGGAGAAATTAGAGGATGTGTTATGTTGATGATAATGATTCAGCAAAAAAAGGGAAAAAATGGTTCAGGAGAGAGATGGGAAAATTGCCTGAAAAATATCCCTGAGGAGGAAAGTACAGATGGGGCATAATGTTCAAGTGTGGGTTTTGGGCTTTACAAAGAGCACAAAGAAGGAACTGGGGGTGTGTTTTCATCTTAATTGCTCTTTCAGGAGCACTCTTCTTAAAATACCCTTATTGAAATAATATCTTCCAATGCTTTTCTTTTTCTAAATTTCATTTTACCTACTTTGAAATGAACAGATATAATATAGGTTGTGACAAATGAATACATACATAGAAAGCACCTTTATTAAAATATAGACATAGCTCCCTTTCGTCTTAGTTCCCAGTCAATAACCTCCCACTCACCAAACTCCTAAAAGCAACTTCTATTTCACTTTCTTTTTACCATGTAATAGTTTTGCCAGTGTCAGAAGTGTATATAAAAAGAAACATAAAGTATGTACTCTTCTCCTGTAACTTCTTTTGCTCAGCTTAATGCCTTGAGATTCATAAATATTATTGCATGAATGAGTAATATGACCTTTTTATTTTTGTTTATCTATACCTGATGATGGACATTTGGATTTTCTTCTGATTTTGGGCCAACTATAGATGAATATTTTCAGAACATTCTTGCAAAAAGACTTCATACCATCATATGATTTCATTCCTCCTGGATAAACACTTAGGAATAGAAAGGCTCAGTTATAAAGTAGATGTGTTTTTAACTTTATAAGATACTGCCATATTGTTTTCTAGAGTACTGCCTGGTTTACACACCTCCCCTCGTTGTAGAACACTTTTGGTTGTTCCATATTCTCGTCACCCCTCAGATGGTATCACATTGTGAATTTTAATTGCATTTCCCTGATTATTTTTTTTCCCTTGTGCCTATTTGTCTTTGTCTGTCTTGTCTTCCTTTGTGAAGCATCTCTTCAGGTATTTTTTTAATTAATTCTCCAATTTGTTTTTTTTTATCATTACAGCTTTCTTTTGTGTGTAATGCATATTCTTTGATTCAACTATATGTATTGTAAACATTTCTCCCAGTTTCTGGCTTGCCTATACATTTTTTTTTTCTTTCTTTCTTTTTTTTTTTTGAGACAGAGTCTTGCTCTGTTGCCCAAGCTGGAGTGCAGTCGCATGATCTTGGCTCACTGCAAACTTTGCCTCCTGGGTTCAAGCGATTCTCATGCACCAACCTCCTCAGTAGCTGGGATTACAAGCGCCCCCCCACCACCACACCCAGCTAATTTTTGTATTTTTAGTAGAGACGGGGTTTTGCCATGTTGGCCAGGTCGGTCTCAAACTCCTGACCTCTGGTGATCCTCCTGTCTCAGCCTCCCAAAGTGCTGGGATTACAGGTGTGATCCACGGCGCCAGTCTTGCCCATACATTTTCTTAATTGTGTCTCTCAAAAAGTAGATGTTTTAATTCTGATAAAATTCAACTTTGCTTCCTCCAGGATCATAAAGTATTCTTCTACAATTCTGACTGAGAATATGGGTAGGGGAGTCTCTGGAGTTGTTGAGGGTGCAGGAGCTGGAGCCACTTCCTGCTATCAAGCCATGACAGCAGGCAGGCAGATACATTTGGGAGAGCTGCAGCCCGGTGGTTGTTGCTTTTCTTTTTGTTTTTCTTCTTATGAAGGAAGGCTTCAGGGACAGTGCTGAAAAACACAAAGATGCTCTACGCCTCTCTATCCTCTCACCTCCTTGGGTCTGAGATTCCAGGGCATTTGTGAGGTTGGTTCCTAGGAACTCAGTTGTTTCACTCTCTCAGCCTCAGAGACTTTGTGAGACTGCTATTACTCTTCTTTTCAATGAAATTAACCTTAAACCCAAACATCATTAACTCCAGAAAACTTTTCCTTCACCTGCCGGACACCAACAAGACTTGTTCTGTACCTCTAACCACCACCATTTTTCCTCTTTTAACACACAGTTCATCTCACTGTTTTTGTTTTATAAAAATAATGTCTCAATTTCCTCTGTCTCAGGATTATGTTAGGTTTGTTTTCCACTTTGTTTCCAAACCTAAATGGTGTTCCATTTTCATTCTTTCCTAATTTTTACTTAAAAAAAAATTCTTCTAAAACTCAAATTTTCATATATGTATTTTATTTTATTTATTTTTTATAGTTATTTATTTATTTATTTATTTATATTTATTTATTTTTGAGACGGAATCTCACTCTGTCGCCCAGGCTGGAGTGCAGCAGCGCGATCTCGGCTCACTGTAACCTCTGCCTCCCGGGTTCAAGTGATTCTCCTGCCTCAGCCTCCCAAGTGGCTGGGACTACAGGCGTGTACCACTAAGCTCAGCTAATTTTTCTATTTTTAGTAGAGATGGGGCTTCACCATATTGGTTGGCCAGGATGGTCTTGATCTCTTGACCTTGTGATCTGCCTAACTCGGCTTCCCAAAGTGCTGGGATTACAGGTGTGAACCACTGTGCCCTTCTCCATATATGTATTTTAAAGATTATTTTTTAATTGAAAATGTGTTCTAGGAAGATATGTGATTTCAACAAATAAAGGGTTCACAATCACAAGAAACCCATAACAGGAGAACTAAATAATTTATTACTATGTATTAGTAATCTAAATGAAAATTTGGAGGAAATCAGTTGTTATTTTTTTGAATATATCCAGGAAATTTTATTCATATGTCAGAAAACATACATATACATTTCTTTGTAAAATGTCTTATCATACACTAATTTTTTTCTAAATTGTTACTTTATAATTGTGTTATTAAAAATAGACAAGCCTGCATACACACACAAAGACATACACATAATTTTGCACAATATTTTCTCTAGATTGAAACTTTTCTGATTCCATAAAGCAGTGTTCACTGAGCTAATGCATACTAGGTCTGAGGTAATTCCAAATAGAATTATCATATTTAGCAAATAATACAATAAGAAACAATTATTCCAAAGCTCCAGTCACTATGTAAACAAGAAGACAAAAAGTGACCTGAAATTATCATTGTAAATGAAGAATCTGCAGGAAAAAAAAAAGGTATTAGTTCTATCTAGAAAGCTCTCTAACTTCAATCTGACATTTAAAGAGTTTGCAGTTCATCACTCCCATCCTCTCAACAGGAAAAAGAGGCTGAACAAGCTGAAAATCACAACTCTTCTTAGATCCATCAGAGAATTGAGGTCACAAGCCAAAGTACTGTGAGAGGAAAATAAATCTTAGGAACCCCAAATCACTAAGCTAAGGGGAAAAGCCAAGCTGAGAACTGCTTAGGTCAAAACTGAGTCCTATTCTATTCAAAGTCATCCCTCTGCTTACTGAGATAAATGCCTCTCTGATCGCCTCTTTTGGAGAGGCTAATTAGAAACTTTAAAGAACGCAACCATTTGTTTTTTATCTACCTATTACCTGGGAGCCCCCTCCCCTCTTTGAGTTGTCTCTCCTTTGTTTCTTGTTGTCCCACCTTTCCAGACCAAACCAGTGTTCACCTTACATATGTTGATTAATGTCTCATATCTCCCTAAAATGTATAAAACCAAGCTGTGCTCTCACCACCTTGGGCACATGTCATTTGGACCTCCTGAGGCTGTGTCATGGGTGCGCATTCTTAAACTTGGCAAAATAAACTTCCTAAGTTCACTGAGACTTCTCTCAGATTTTGGGGGTTCACAGTGCTGTCATGAAAAATGAGGAGACAGACAGGCACTTACACAGATCAAAGCTTACAAGAAGGAGAAGTGCAGGAGCCTGCAGGTAGAGCCAGTATCAGAAAGAACACTTTAAATTGCCATGGATAAATTACTGGAGGTTTAGTGTACAATAGGTTTGTAACTTAAAAACTTAGAGGAAGCCCAGTCTCAGGAGGGTCCCACACATTTGTGATTTGCCACCAAGAGGCTTACCAGGATCTCACTGTGAAGACTGGAGAAAATAATTTTCTTCTAGCAGAAGGAGGCCAGGCGGACAGCGGGAGTAGCCATTTTGAAATAGCATTATGTTTTCAGTTCTCTTTAACAAAGACTGTCCTCAAAGAAAATGGTCTTACAAGAGCCCAGCCAACTTTGACAAGGAGAAAAATACAATTCCTATCCCCTTTAGCTTTTGGTGAAGAGAAAGAGAAATACCCAGTTCAGTTTCATTGAAGACTGTGACCTAATCATAGAACTATCTAGAACACTCCTTTCTCCTAACATCTTATCACTATACCAATAGGGGTCCTCTATAATAACTGGAGATTACAAGTAAAAAACTACAAGCTGAAGGCCCTATTTAAGGAATCTCAAGGAAATTACAAAGAAAACAACAAAGACAAATAAAAGGGCATAAGGGAAATTTTTAGCCTCTGACATCCACAGGTAAAGCACATATTAAATGCTGGCTAACTCCTGGCCAAACAAACATAAAATCTCACAATACAGATCTAAATATGCTCATGCTGAAAGACCAAAAACACAGTCTGAAAAAACAAAGTAAGCATCACAACCAGACTCAGATATGGCAGAGTTTTTAGAATTTTTAGAATGGGAATTTAAAAATTTATGATTAATATGTTAAGGGCTCTAAGAAAAAAGTGGAAACCAAGCAAGAACATATGGATAATGTAAGTCAAAAGATGTAAACATTAAGAAACAAAAGGAAATTCTATAAGATCAAAAACACTGTAACAGAAATAAAGAATGCCTTTAATAGGTCCCTCAGTGGAGGACAAGGCCAAGGAAAGCATCAGTAGGTTTGAAAATATATCAATAGAAATCTCAAGATTGAAAAGCAAAAAGAAAAAAATGGAAAATATGAAATGGAACATCGAGAATCTTGGAACAATGACAAAAATTGGAACATGTCTGATAGAGGGCTTGTATTCAAAATATACAAAGAATATATGCAAATAAATAAGTTTTTGAAAACCCAAGTAAAAAATGGACCTAAGCTGTGAATAAGCATATTACCCAAGAAGATATACAGCTGAAAATAAACAAATCATTAGATGTTCAACATCATTTATGGTTAGGGAATTGCAAATTAAAACAATAGAATAACACTATATACCTATCAGAATAGGTACAATTGTAAGAGGAAAAAAATACCAATTGCTGGTGAATTTGCAGAGCATTAGGAACACTCATTCACTTCTGGTAGAAATGCAAAATGATACAGCCACTTTAGAAGATAATTTGGCAGTTTCTTACACAGCTAAACATATGGTAACCATATGATACAGCAATCACTATTTTGGGTATTTACCCAAATGGGTTGAAAACTTATGTCCACACAAAAACCTGCTGATTAATGTTTACAAAACTTTATCGATAATTGCCCAAAATGGAAAGCAAACAAAATATCTTTCAATATGTGAAGGGATAAATAAAAACTGGTACATCCATGCAATGTAATATTATTCAGTGCTAAAAAAATAATGAGCTATTAAGCCACAGAAAAGATATGAAAAGAATCTTAAATGCTTGTCTGAAAAGGCTACATTCCATATGATTCCAATTATGTGACATTCGGGAAAAGGCAAAACTATAAAAATAGTAAAAAAAAAACAGTGGTTGTCAGGGGTTGGGGGAGGAAGAGAAGAATTAATAGGTATAGGACAATGGATTTTTAGGACTGTGAAACGTTTTGTATTATACTGCAATGGATATACAACATTATGCATTTGACAAAACCCTTAGAATTGTTCAACACAAAGAGTGAATTGTAATATGAACTACAGAATTTAGCAAAATATATCACACCAACAGCATATGTAAATAATAAGGGAAACTGAGTGAAGGTGAGGGGAGTGCTAGTACGCAACAACCCTTTGATACTTTTTATTTAATTTGTCTATAAACTTGAAACTGCTCTAAAAATAAAGTTTATTAATTTTTTAAAATGTACTGAAAATAAAGGTGACTTGAAGAGCTGTAAAATCCACAATTTTTACTTACAGTGGATAATAAAATAAGTAAAATCTAGTTTGACATTATCAAGGAATTGACTTTCCTCTCATGATTCTTTTGCATCCAACAGTGATAAAATTGCTTGGATAAACATAAGGTATTTTCCCAACCAGAAAGTTCTTGTCACCCAAATTACAATGTAATCAATAGGAACCTATTTTCCAATTTTAATTTCTGTTTCTAAGTAAAAAAACAAAAACAAAAACAAATACCATAATTATGTTGCATAGAAATTTTCAGGTTCTATCTCTCAGTATTCCTGAACAATATTACATCACAAAAATACAACTAAAAATAAAAGATGGTGATGTATATTTAATTGTTATGATAAATATATTAACATATTTTTTATTTTAACTATAATTGTTTCTGCTATTTTAATATATACTACTGTTATTTTAATAAATAATATTTATTCTAAACATTTTAAATATACACATTTTATATTAATTATACATATATTTTAATGTTAAATTACTATTTGCATTTTGATTAAGATCATCTATGTCATCTTAATTGTTTGGTTTCTAAAGATTTTAACTAGAAGTAATATTTATTCAATTTCTGTAAATGTTGCACGTGTTTCTTTGTTACAAGGTAATATACATCTGTATACTCAGTTTTATTCATTGTGCTGGTAAAATATATGCTTAACTTTTTGCTTGCTTATGGCATGAGGTGGAGGTATCAAATAAGTGCATAAATGATCCATTATAAATTATTGAAAGGAGCATTATGTCTTCACTTTTCTACAGTGTAACCTTTTTATCATTCAAGAAGTTTATCTATCTGGGTGATTTTCTAGGGTGTTTGTTTTCCGCCAGTGGTTATTTCTTTTTCTTCCAGCTCCAATTACATTCTACCTTATTTTTTATAGTTTTATAATAAGTTTTAAAATCTAGTAGAGGAATCCTTCATTCTCATTTTCTTCACTACATGATAGTCTTTGCTATTCTTTCCTATTTTAATGTAACTTTAGTTTATCAATTTTCATAAATAATGTTATTGTCATTTCTTTCCTTGTGATTACATTGAAACTCAAATTCACTTTAATGAATTTTCTTCTGTAAAAAAATAACTGTGTATTCCTTCTTATCCAGGTATTATGCCTATTATTATTTTTATTTATGACTCACTGCACTAAGTCATAAAATCAAATTCAATGTTAAATAGAAATGTTCATGGCAACCCAATCCAACTATTCAATGTTAAATAGAAATGTTGATAGAAGACCATATATTGTTCTCATCTAAAAAAAGAAAGTTTAAATATTTCATAAGGGTTTGCAATGTATTGTTTATAATATCCCCTTTTATCTTATAGCATTATTAAAGTAGATCTTCATGTAATAAAATATACAAATTTAACTTTACAGTATAGGTTGATTTTTTTTTTTTTTTTTTGAGACAAGGTCTTTCACACAGGCTGGAGTGAAGTGGCATGATCACAACTTGTGGCATCCTTGACCTCCCAGGTTCAAGTGATCCTCCCACCTCAGCCTCCTGAGTAGCTGGTAACACAGGCACCCCACCCAGTTCACAATGGAATCTCACAATGTAGCCCAGGCTGGTCTTGGATTTCTGGGAACTAGCAGTCCTCCTGCCTATGCCTCCCAAAATGTTGGGATTATAGGTGTGAGCCACAATTCCTGGCCAATTTTTAAAATTATGTATAAAAACTTGTACTTCCACATAGATTGAAATATATAATTTTTAAATGTCTTAAGAAGTTCATTCCTACCCCTTCTCAGTCAAATATCTTTTGATATCTAGCAACAGAGATTTATATTGTATGGTTTAGAAGTTAATGTAATGAACTCATGCAGCAGGTACCTTTTTGTCTCTCTCTTCAGTTTACTCAACTTTATGTCAATAAGTTTACTCATGTCCTTGTGTAGTTGCACTTTTTATTGTTGCATAGTTTTCATGCTGCTGATAAAGACATACCTGAGACTGGGCAATTTACAAAAGAAAGAGTTTTAATGGACCTCTTTATGTTCCATATGGGTGATGAGGCCTCACAATCGTAGCAGAAGGCAAGGAGGAGCAAGTCATGTCTTATATAGATGGCAGCAGGCAGAGAGAGAGCTTGTGCAGGGAAACTCCCATTTTTAAAATCATCAGATCTTGTGAGATTCATTCACTATCATGAGAACAACACAGTAAAAACTGTCCCTATAATTCAATCACCTCCCATCACATTCCTCCCATGATACGTGAGAATTCTAGGAGTTATAATTCAAGATGAGATTTGGGTGGGGACACAGCCAAACCACATTATTCTGCCCCTGGCCCCTTCCAAATCTCATGTCTTCACATTTTAAAACCAATCACGCCCTCCCAACAGTCTCCCAAAGTCTTAACTCATTTTAGCATTAACCCAAAAGTCCACAGTCCAAAGTCTCAACTGAGACAAGGCAAGTCCTTTCTATCTATGAGCCTGTAAAATCAAAAGCGAGTTAGTTACTTTCTAGATACAATTGGGGTACAGGCATTGAATAAATACAGCCATTCCAAAGGAGATAAATTGGGCAAAACAAAGGGGCTACAGACCCCAAGCAAGTCCAAATCCAGTGGGGCAGTCAAATCTTAAAGCTCTAAAATGATCCTTTTTACTCCATGTCTCACATCCAGGTCACACTGATGCAAGGGGTGGGTTCCCATGGTCTTGGGCAGCTCCACCCCTGTGGCTTTGCAGGGTACAGCCTCCCTCCTGGCTGCCTTCATGGGTTGGCATTGAGTGTCTGCAGATTTTCTAGGTGCATGTTGCAAGCTGTCAGTTATCTACGATTCTGGGTTCTAGAGGATTGTGGCCGTCTTCTCACAGCTCCACTAGGCAGTACCCCAGTAGAGACTCTGTCTGGGGGCTCCAACTCCACATTTCAATTCTGCACTGCCCTGGCAGAGGTTCTCCATTAGGGCCCCGGACCTGCAGCAAACTTCTGCCAGGTCATCCAGGAATATCCACACATCTTCTGAAATCTAGGCAGAGGTTGCCAAACCTCAACTCTTGGCTTCTGTGTACCCACAGACTCAACACCAGATGGGAACTTCCAAGGCTTGGGGCTTGCACCCTCTGAAGCCACAGCCCAAGCTGTACCTTGGCCCCTTTTAGTCATGGCTGGAGTGTCTGGGATGCAGGGCAACAAGTCTGTAGACACAGCAGAGGGACCCTGGGCCCAGCTCACGAAACCATTTTTTTTCTTCCTAGGTTTCTGGGCCTGTGATGGGAGAGGCTGCAGCAAAGGTCTCTGACATGCCCTGGAGACATTTTCTCCATTGTCTTAGTGATTCGCATTTGGCTCCTTGTTACTTATGCAGTTATCTGCAGCCAGCTTGAATTTCTCCTCAGAAAACAGAATTTTCTTTTCTATTGCATTGTCAGCTAAAAATTTCCTGAACTTTTATTCTCTGTTTCCCTTTTAAAACTGAATGCCTTTAACAGCACCCAAGTCACATCTTGAATGCTTTGCTGCTTAGAAATTTCCCTAAATCATCTCTCTTAAGTTCAAAGTTCCACAAATCTCTAGGTCAGGGGCACAACACTGCCAGTCTCTTTGCTAAAACATAACAAGAGTCACCTTTGCTCCAGTTTCCAGTAAGTTCCTCATCTCCATCTGAGACCACCTCAGCCTGGATTTCATTGTCCATATCATTATCATCCTTTCGGTCAAAGCCATTCAACAATTCCCTAGGGAGTTCCAAACTTTCCTACATTTTCCTCTCTTTATCTGAGTCCTCCAAACTGTTTCAACCTCTGCCTGTTACCCAGTTCCAAAGTCGTTTCCACATTTTCAGGTATCTTTTCAACAGCACCTCACTCTACTGGTACCAATTTACTTTATTAGTCCATTTTCACTCTGCTGATAAAGACATACCCAAGACTGGGAAATTTACAAAAGAAAGAGGTTTAATGGATTTACAGTTCCACATGGCTGGAGAGGCCTCACAATCATGGCAGAAGGCAGAGCAAGTCATGTCTTACATGGATGGCAGCAGGAAGAGAGAGAGCTTGTGCAAGGAAACTGCCATTTTTCAAACCATCAGATCTCATGGGACTCATTCACTATAACTAGAATAGTGCACAAAAGACCCGCCCCCATAAATCAATCACCTGGCACCAGGTTCCTCCAATGACAATTGGGAATCATGGGAGTTACAATTCAAGATGAGATTTGGGTTGGGACACAGCCAAACCATATTAGGTACATAGCCAGGTTCCCAGTGTTTAAAAGGATTATGTTAGTAGATATCTGCCAAACATTTTTCAAATTGTATCTAACATTCACCCTTCCACTACCAATATACATATTTTGCAGTTGTTCCATTTCCTTACTTAATATTATTTCATTTCTTTAAATGTTTTTGTACTGATCAATGTGTAGTGGTATTCACTGTAGTTTTGATTAACGTTCCCCCAGTATTTAATTGTGTTGAGAACTTTTTCATATACTTCTTGACCATTTGCATATTTTCCTTGGTATGTTCAAGTATTTTGCTCATCCTCTTATTAATGAATATAAATTCTTTCTAGCCAATGGATATAATTTCTTTATTGGATACACATATTACAAATATTTTCTCCCAATAAATAATTTGCCTTCTTTCTTAATTTTTTTATTAAGTCATTCTTAATTTTAATTTTACTGTATAATTCATTTTTATGGTCAGCACTATTTTTGTACTGTTTAAGAAAACTTTGATTACCCTAATGTCATGAAAATGCTCTTATTTACATACACACAGTCAGCACCTTTTAGCTGTGCATTTCACTTCTGTGAGTTCAGTCAATCACAGATCAAAAATATTAGAAAAAATAAAGCAATAAAATTCATACAATTTTTAAAAAATTATGTAACAACTATTTGAATAGCAATTACACTGTATTGTGTATTGTAAGTAATCTAGAGATAATTTAAACTGTACAGGAGGATGTGTTTAGGTTTTTTGCAAATACCACACCATTTTATGTAAAAGACTCAGCATTCAAGGAATTTGGTATCCTGGAACCAGTCCCCTGCAAATACTAAGAGATGACTGTACTTTATTTTTACATGTAACTCTATGCTTAAACTATACTTTTTGCATATGATGAGAGATAGGTGGCCAAAGGTCACTTTTGTTTCCTAAGATATTCAATTATGCAATAACAATTTATTGAAAAATACATCTTTTTCAACTGAATTGTATGATGTTTTTGCTTTAGTAAAAGATGGGTAGTTTAGAGTCTGTTTCTTCTACTCTCTATTCCTCTAATCTGTGTGACAGATCTTTGTATTTCTACCACCACTGCACTATGCTAATTATTGTGCCTCTCTAAAACTTTTTGAAATTTGCTACAGTAAATCTTTCAGCTTTTTTAATCTTCAAGTTTGCCTTGGCTTCTCTTCATTCCACCTATTTTATATTTGGTTTTCTGTACTTTCATACTTTTCTCTGGATTGTTTTATATTTTTAACTGGTTTGTTTTATATTTTTATACTTTCACTTTCTCTTAACACTTCAATACTTATATGCACACTCCATTCTTCTAGTGGCAATGCCCCAAAATGTACATCCCTCGTTTAACAAAGATTATTGTCATTTGTTACCATTGTTCTCTTCTCAGACAATTTAAGAACCACAGAACACTTTACTTTTATTTGCTACCAATTTATATGCTGTTCTTTCCACTCACTTAATATTCCTCCATAACATTAATTTTTGATTTGTACCATCAATGTTATGTTATATATAACCACAAATTTACCACTTTGAAGCAGTTTATTTATTTATTATTTTATTTATGAGACAGAATCTCTCTCTGTTGCCCAGGCTGGAGTACAGTGATGTGATCTTGGCTCACTGCAACCTCCACCTCATGGGTCCAAGTGATTCTTTGCCTCAGCCTCCCAAGTAGCTGGGACCACAGGCACGTACTACCATGCCCGACTAATTTTTGTATTTTTAGTATAGACAGGGTTTCACCATGTTCTCCAGGCCGGTCTGAAACTCCTGACCTCAGGCGATCCACCCACCTCAGCCTCTCAAAGTGCTGGGATTACAGGTGTGAGCCACCATGCCCAGCTGAAGTAGTTCATTTCTTTCTGCATATTGACATTTGATATTTTTTGGTGTCCCCGCCAAATCTCATCTTGAATTCCCAAGTTGTGGGAGGGACCCTGTAGGGGATAATTCAATCCTGGGAGTGGTTTCCCCTATATAGTTCTCGTGGTAGTGAATAAGTCTCACAAGATTTGATGATTTGATAAGGGGAAACCTGTTTCACTTGGCTCTTATTCTTTCTCTTTGCCTGCTGCCATCCATGTAAAACATGACTTGCTTTTCCTTGCCTTCTACCATGATTGTCACGCTTCCCTAGCCACATGGAACTGTAAGTCCAATTAAACCTCTTTCTTTTGCTCAGTCTCAGGTATGTCTTTATCAGCTGCATGAAACGGGACTAATACAACATTGCATCAGAAACACTTTGCTTTCTAGCGTCTACCACATTTTTTGCCTGAAAGTGCAATACTTTTTTCTTGATTAAAAATATTTCTCTTTTAATATACAGTACTAGATTGGCAGGTATTTGTCAGTTTCTTGACTAAATCATTCTATCTCTTTCTGGAACTTGTTTCCATTGAGACGTCACATGCCAATCTGAATATTTCTTAGGTTATCCTGTACCTTTTATTGTTATTTTAACTTTCACTCCCTTTTTCCTTTGTTTGCTGTTAGAAGAGTTACTTTATTAGGTGTTTTTCAGCTTTGATTTGCCTTTTTCCCTTGACACTCATCAAATATGTATTTATTTTTATATTTTTTACTATTCATGTTTGGATTGTTTAGTATTTCTTGCATATATAGATTCCTATCTTCAGTTTTGAAATATTCTTACTCATTATGTATGTCTTCAAATATTATTCTTTCTCATTCTGTCTTTCATACCTGTTAATCTACCATAGTCTATATTACTACAGCTTTTTTTTTTTTTTAAGACAGAGTCTTGCTCTATTGCCTAGGCTGGAGTTCAATGGCACAATCTTGGCTCACTGCAACCTCCGCCTCCCCGATTCAAGAGATTCTCCTGCCTCAGCTTCCCAAGTAGCTGGGATTACAGGTGTGCAGCACCACACCCAGCTAATTTTTGTATTTTTTTAGGAAAGATGGGGTTTCACCATGCTGGCCAGGTGGCTGTTCTCGAACTCCTGACCTCAGACGATGTGCCTGCCTCGGTCTTCCAAAGTTTTGATATTACAGGCGTAAGCCACTGTGCCCAGCCTGACTATGGCTATTTTTAATCTGATCTTTCTATGTTCATTAATATGCCCTTCAACTACATTTAAGATACTTTTATATCTTCTACTGAGTTATTCATTTTACCTATTGAATTTTTTAATCTACCATTTCTTCGGGATTCTTATTTATGAAAATTCTCTGTTGAAAGATCAAAATTCTCTGTTGTAAGATCGAAGTTCTCTTCTCCAAATACACATGCTCCTTAACTGATGATGGGGTTACATCCTGATATACCCATTGTATGTTGAAAATATAAGTCAAAACTGCATGGCTGACTGAGAGCTACAGCTACCCAGCATTGTAAGTGATGTACAGTTTTTACTGAACACATACACTTTCACACCATAGTAAGCAGAAAAATTGTAAGTCCAACCATCAAAACTCAGGGACCGTGTGTGTGTGTGTGTGTGTGTGTGTGTGTGTGTATGTGTGTGTGTGTGCATGTGTGTATATATATTATATATATATTATATATATAAACTTCATAGATATATCATATATTATATATATTATGTGTATATATATTATGTATATATATTATGTATATATATAATATATATAATATATATATATTATATATATACAATATATATTATATATACACACATATATGAAGTATATATTATATATATACACACACATATATGAAGTTTATCCCTATATAAACATATATATAAAAGACATATATATGAGAAATATAAGTTTACATATAAAGTTTTATAGAATTTCATATATAACTTATATCATAGTTTAAAAGACCTTATCTGAAACCTCTATTCACTGAGTTAGTATGGGATAGTTTCTACTGTGTGTTGCATTTGGCTTTTGCTCATACTTTCTAGAATCTTGTCTTTGTATGGTTATATTTAATAGAGAATGTAAGCATTTGTATGAAATTTGTTCTCCATTTGATTTTAAGCTAAGTAAACATATTCCTGTTCTTATCTCTTTCTTTCTTATTATATTTTCTTAATTTTTTTTTACTAGATTTCAAAACCTTATCTGAGATACCAAACAAAATGTTTACATTAGAAAATAATCATAAACACTTGTAGACATCAAAGGAAAAAAAAATTATAGCAAAGGACTAAAGCCCAAAGGTTGTTTATAAGTATGATAAAACATGTTGCTGTGTGAAATTCCATATTTAAAATATGGGAATGTCTCAAGGGCCTAAGAAAAACTGAATTTTAACTAATTTCAGGACAACACTCTCCCCAAATCAACAAATGAACCAAACATACAAAATGAAGAGCATTGTTGCTATAACCTAATTTTATACGTTACCATTTTTCTCTGGAAGACTAATAAAATGCATAATCCTACTAACTAGTATAAGAGAAAATAAAATCACGTACATTGAAACAAAATGTTTTATGGATCAGTGTAATGTGATCCAATCACTCTTTTGGAACATTTTATGTTTGCCTGTGATTATCACTTTACTATTAAAATATATCCAGCTTAAAATAGAAATAGATCAAACATATTTTTACTTTGCTTATATTTGGTTTGTTAATTTAAATTTCCAGGAGCATTAAAAATGCATTATAACCAAGAGTCACTTGGCTTTTGCACATATTGTCAGTTAACATGCTCTTGCATGATTATATTTGATTGATAGAGTCTAAATGTTTGTAAAAAATGGCCAGGCATGGTGGATCTCTCCTGTAATCTCAGCACTTTGAGATGCTGAGGTGGGTGGATCACTTGAGGTCAGGAGATCGGAACCAGCCTGGCCAACACGGCAAAATCCCATCTCTACTAAAAATACGAAAATTAGCCGGGCATGGTGGCGCATGCCTGTAGTCCCAGCTACTCCGGAGACCGAGGCAGGAAAATTGCTTGAACCCAGGAGGTGGAAGTTCCAGTGAGCCGAGATCGTGCCATTATGATCCAGCTTCAGTGACAGAGAGAGACTTCATCTCAAAAACAAACAAACAAAAAACCTCCAATCTATTTATAGGTTAAAATTGAGCTAAGTACCTAACCTTAAGCTTATCTGGCTAAGAAAAGTTCTATATCATTCAAAGACGTGATAAAAATAGATACAATTGTGTTTTTCTCATCAGCAGCATGGAAAACATTTTCTACTGCAGTGAGTTTAAAGTAGTATATACAAGCTGATAATCACTGTCTTTTTACCATAGAAAAAAATTCTACTGCAATTTTAATGTTCATATCCAATCATGATATATTTATATATAAATTTGGTATTATCACAGGGAAAAATGACTCTTCATATTACCGAAAATCTTGAATAAAAATTTTTATAAAGGATATTATTCCTATAATACTATCATAACAATACTACATTAACTTTCCATCTGCAAATATTTGTCTCAGTACTTTGCTTATGTTTTCAATGTCATTTGCCAGGCACTTTAATTACATTATTTGGGGTTTTTTTATTATTAGTATTGGTCCCTCTCTATCAGTGAGTCATGTACTGTATTTGTCTTTTTTATCTCGGTAGCTACTATGCTTGGTACAATATGTGCATATTTTAGTTGCTCCATAAATAGTTGTTAAGCTAGTACATATATTTCTTATCCTTATTGTTAAATTTGCAGGCATTCATGGGTTCACTTTTATAGCTTCAAAAATAGATTAAATTGTAGTTCAGTGGAGTAATAAAGCTTAAACAGTAAAATGGAGAAGTGAAATTTCAAACATGGTGAACATGCATGCATTTTAATTTTGAATAAACTATTGTAGATGTAGGGATAACTCATTGTCAATTACGGCATATGGAGAAAAATGTCCAAAAGCCACTAGAGAAACAAAGAATTATCAACTTGAAGATGATTATATTTTGAAAGCCTTCTGAATACATAACGCTTTGTTGTATGGAAATGTACAATTATTCATCTTATTCTAATAACAAGTTTGTATTAATCCTTTAGTAATTGGTTATAGATATTATATCATATGTAGAACCTGATTAACATAAAGCCACATTTTTTATCTTTCACCTTACATCAGCATCATGCATAAAGTAACTTAAGTGATATAATTCTACACTAGCTTAATTTTTCATGAGTTCACTATCCTATATTATGTAATAATACATAAAATCTGATATTTATATTTCCATTTGTGCTTGAAAGATGTTATTTCTCCTTCACCTTTCATTTATGGGAGCATGATTACACATATAAAAATGATGTTAAGAATATGGCATGTGGTGTTTGGATTTGACACTATATAAAGATGATACCAAGCTATTAAATGTGATTATGTATGTGTGTATGTGTATGTTTACATATACATGTACATTCTAAAGAGATATATAGTCTTCTTAGAATATAAATCCTTATTTCAATATGATTTTCTGTTTTAATTTTTAAGTTAAATTTCAAGAAAAATCTATAAAGTATATCACCTCAGTAAACTTAGATGAGCTCACAATACTCAATTTTCTGATTTGTTTTTGTTCAGATAAATACACTTGTGTCAGGTAATTTAAAAAGCAGAAGTTTAAGAAGTCTGGTAAGATAGGAAAAGAGAGTCTATGCTTTAAAGATGTTATGAAATATTGATGTTCATGCCAATTAGACTCAGTACAAAGCTGTGATTTTCAATGTACTAATTTATGACTTTGCCCAGTGGTTTTTCTGATTCAGTCTCCAAATATAAAATATAATATATAAAATATAAAAACTGGTAATAAACCTGCCTATGTCATAGAAGTATAATGAGAATTAAAAGAGATAATAACACATAAAACTTTGCCCAGTGTCTGATATACAGAAGACCTTAGTCAATGGCCTTTTTAAATATTCATAAAAATGACCTTGGTTTTGTATTAATTTTGCCTAAGTTATCTTATTATTCTGTTATTTCTTCAGGGGAAATTTTTGGTCCATGTGCTTTAGAGCAAGACTATAAATGTTTTGTTAAAACGTATTTTCATTACTAGAAACTATAAATTTATAAAATTCAGAGAAATAAAATATAATTTTTTTTTTGGAAGTGAAGTTCTAGATTCAATGAAAATTTAAGCAGTTGGAAATATAGGTTACAAGTGGCAAGCTTAATCCGAGCAAGATATATCAAGAGTACTGATTTGGTTGGTAGTGAGGATGGTGTTTCCTTTCCACTCTCTGTCTTCCAACAAAGTGTCAAACAGATTCATGCTTAACGTATTTGTGTGAAATCTGCATATAACTGTTTTTTAAATACTAGATACAACATATTAGAATAGAAAACTTAAAGAAAATACATAATTTCTGATAAAATTGTGGAAAACTAATGATGAGGCCAGGCGCAGTGACTCGTGCCTGTAATCCCATTGCTTTGGGAGGCCGAGGCGGGTGGATCACCTGAGGTCAGGAGATCGAGACCAGCCTGGCCAACATGGCAAAATCCCATCTCTACTAAAAATACAAAAAATTAGCTGGGCATGGTGATGCACTCCTGTAATCCCAGCTATTTGGGAGGCTGAGGCAGGAGAATCATGTGAACCCAGGAGGTAGAGGTTGCAGTGATGGACATTGTGCCATTGCACTCCAGCCTGGGTGACAGAGTAAGACCCTGTCTCAAAACAAATAAACAAACAAACAAACAAACAAACACTAATGATATATTGTGTGAAAAACTATGAGATAAAGGGAATAGTCTTCACAGCACTTCCCAAAATATTATCATATAGGAGATGCTGGCTTTAAGAACAAAGTGTCATGAAACTACAGAGAGCTTTTGGACTAATATCCAATTTATTTGCTTATTTGCATAACTACACATTAACCCATATTAATAATAAAAAGAGTATGCCTTTATTTTATGCTTAGTTCATCTGGAGGCTATTAGGCTAAATTTTTTCTTTTTGAGACTTTAGTAACACATGTTTAATATTCAAAAACATTATTGAAAAAAGGATGTCTTTAGTAAATTTGTTTTCAATATTCATGTTTTGTCTAAGTGGTCATAAGTATTGCTGCATTGGTGAAATCATGTTCCTTTTATGAGAAACCCAAAGTAGTCCATGCTTACACACCCTGAACATTTTGGTCTTTTATTGACTCTGGTTTTAAATTGTGAAATGTGTCTACCTGATATCACTCATCAAGTGTGTACTTAATTTTTAATACCATATTTCAATAATACTATGTGGCAGAAACTTTTGTAATAGTTTTTCACAATTACATCTGGGTTTTTTTGCACTTAGCAGAACATGTTGAAATTATTAAAAATGATGATGCTTATTCAGCCTGTGTCTTCAATCATGTGTGAAGAATGTCACAGGGGAAGAACAAATTACTTAATTAAACTCGTTTTATGTAAACCACTTTTGTGAATGATTTTTAATTCCTGAAAATAATAAAAGTTGTATGTATTTGTAAAAATATTGCATACTAAATTAACCTATAATGGCCTTGTCACATCCCAGAACATTGAAAATATTTTACAAAAGTTTGATGGGCTTGAGCTCATGACACAGCACTAATGGAGTTTACTTTATGTATGTCTTAGGAAACATTTTTTTAAACATTTTATACAGATCCACCCCTAAATGCATACTTTTTCTTACAATTAATCACGGATAGTGGATACAACTAAATCAAATTGACAAAAAGAGGTTGTACTTACTCACACTTAACATTATTTACCCATAAATATAAAATCGATGTGTCATAGAATTCTGTACTTTTATTTTGGTGAGAAAAAGATAAAAAGACCTTCTCTATTCTCTACTTGCTCCCCCTCACCCACCCAGAATTTTTGAATTGGATATTTTTAGAGGCAGAAGCATGTGAATTGATGAATTAACTGTTTATGGGGAACTGGTATTTATTTATTTTGTTGTTTTTATCATTTTTATCTGTCTCTTTTGGATAAACACAGAAATGACACTTCTGGGCCGGGCCTAGTGGCTTACACCTGTAATCCCAACACTTTGGAAGGCCAAGGTGACAGATTGCTTGAGCTCAGAAGTTGGAGACCAGCCTGAGCAACATAGCAAAACTTCATCTCTACAAAAAATACAAAAAAAAAAAAATTAACTTGGTGTCTGGCATGTACCTGTAAGTCCCAGCTATTGGGGAGGCCCAGGTGGGAGGATGGCTTCAGCCTGAGAGGCAGAGGTTGCAGTGAGCTAAGATCGAACCACAGCACTACAGCCTGGGTGACAGAAGGAGACCCAATCTAAAAAAAAAAAAAGAGAGAAGAAAAGAAATTGACCCTGAAACTTACATTTGTTTTA
This sequence comes from Homo sapiens, assembly GCF_000001405.40. Taxonomy (NCBI): domain Eukaryota; kingdom Metazoa; phylum Chordata; class Mammalia; order Primates; family Hominidae; genus Homo; species Homo sapiens. The sequence continues at coordinate 32,290,551 of NC_000004.12, read as the reverse complement.
TCTGAGTTTATTTCTCAGGAATGGACCCCCAGGCCTCTTTAAAAGTATCAGAGAACTAAAACCATATCCAGACAATAAGATGGCAGGCCCCTCATTCATCATGATTGCTTCCATACCCTTTCTGAGTTCCTGTTATTCCACACATAGTTACATTTCTTCCCTGCTATATAAATCTCTAATTTTAGTTAATCAGAGAGATAGATTTGAGACTGATCTCATCTCCTCAGCTGCAGCACCCGAATAAATCCTTCTTCCTTGGCAAAGTCCATCTCAGCAACTGGCATTCTTTGCTGTGAGCAACAGGACCTAGACCAAATCCCTAGTGTTTCAGTGACATGTTTTTATCTCACTCCTTGCAGAACTCATAGTATAGCATAAAACCAATATTTAAGAATATGCTACTATAGATTGCAGCTTTACAGAAAACACTTAATTATTATCAATTTCTTATGTGGCAAGTTTTAATATACAAGCAATTGGGCAAATAACATATAATCAAAGGATAGGCTGCCATTTGTAGTGATATTTTAGTTTCATTTTTTAACCATGAACTCCTGATAGTTGAATTGATTTCATTTTTTTCTTTTATTTTGGAAAGATAGCAATCACTTCTATCATGTTGTTCTGTTATATTGAGTGAAGAAAAGTTTCATGGTCTTCTCAAAATAATGCTGCCAGAAAATTTTGCCAATGCTTTGGGATTGGAATGAAATATAATTTATCCAGTGCAGTTTTAAAAGATATCAAGTACTACTTATTTTAACTATTTTAAATGGGAAATAAATGATTTTACTGATTATTTTACTATATCAATTGTGAATATTTTAATGGGAGATTGGATATCAGTAAACAATATTATTTATCCCATAAGATGTCACCTGTTAATTATCAGGAGCATAGACTACAGGGAGAAGATAATTTAAATTGCTGGTTAATTAATTTATTTCCCCTGCCCCACAGAAAATGGCCACACTACCAGCTTCCCCGGTTTTCCAGCTTGCAGATGACCTATTGTGTGGTCTGTCAGTTTCCATAATCCTGTGAGGCAATTCCCCTAATAAATTCCCTCTTTATCTATCTATCTATCTATCTATCTATCTATCTATCTATCATCTATCTATCATCTACCTGTATCTATCTATCTACCTTCTTTCTATCTGTTTATATTGGTTCTTTCTCTAAAGAACCCTGACTAATGCAGTCTAGTTGGAATAAAATTTCAGAATATCAGCTTTTAATGTAAATTTAAGTAATTTTAAAGAGCTTTTTTTGGTAAAAATTGTCATATAAGAGCTATAAATCTAGCATTATTTAAATCTTAGGATATCTGAATTTGAAGGTGCCTATAAAATTATCTAGAAATGCAACCAAAGGTCAGGATAGAATTGAGCTGTTTTACCTTGCAAAACACAACAAATCTTTGGACAAATATTTCATTTCAAACTTTATCCTTTTCAATTTAAAGTTGTATCAGTTTGCTCTTTGAAGATGCCTCTTCATGTAACAAAGTGATAGGAAGCCTAGAGATCAAAAAACAAACAAACAAACAAAAAAACAAAAATTCAGTAGTGCAAGAACATAATTCTAGAAAAACTCTCAAATAGTCTTTAAAGTTAAATGACAACAAATGTTCTGTATCTGAAGTAAAAAACAATACAGCAAATAAGGCTCATACTAGTTTAAACATATTTACTGTAACTAAGAAAAAAAGTTTTTTTTTTTATCTCTAAAAGCTCAGACAATGCCTGCAAAGAAGAGCCCGTACTTTAATCCTTGCACATAAATTAGTTTAATGCATCATGATAATCTAGATATGCCTATACTCATCAACAGAAAGATATATGTTCATGTCTCAGAAAAATAGAAGGAAATTTAGAAAGGAAAGAGAAATAAACAAATTTGTTTCAAAGTTTAGAATCCAAAGCTCAGCTTATGTTTCATTTTCTCTGACATCCAGGATTCCTTTTCCCTTCCTCCCTCAATTAGTGAATAGACATGCAAAAAAGTGTGAAATCAGGAGTGCATTAAATTTGTATTGAGAAAACCCAGACATTTAGGCCAACTGTAATTTCAAATCCATATCCTTTTTATTAAAAATTTTTGTGGTTGTTCTCTTTAATGAAATCTCTATCCTCTGATCAGTTGTGTGGCATGTAGAACAAAACAAGGAGTGCTTTCCAAACTTTACCCTCCTATATTAGCTTCTCATTTATAGTAGCTATTCCACCTTCTTAAGTCAGCACCAAGTCAGTTGTTTTTAAGATGATTTTCACGTTACGTATTTTTTTTCTGTAACCACAGCTGCATTGCATGGAAAGAAAATATGATTTATAAAGAGATTTGTCCTTTTCTAATCACACGTATTCGTATAGCTTACTATATTGTTTTTAACCTCATTTCTAGTATGAGCTTTATGCAAGAAACTTGAGTTACTCCTATGAATGTGAAATATGAACTGTAGAATTTGGAATTCAGTGAAATGTAAAACTCAGCTCAAAAAACCGCACACATATGTTAAAAACACAAGGAGAAAGTAAAACAAAGTGTAAAGAGCTTATGGTTTCTGTCACCTACTAATAAATTTTACCAAAGTTCCAATTTTTCAAAAATGTTAGACCATTTTGTTGAACAGCTTATAACAAAGCACAAGATACAATGCTTTCAAGAACTCTGGGCATATTAATTGAAGATAATATTCTTTATTTCTTCAACACTAGTTTCTTTTACAGCATCTTCAAATCTAGATTCACACTCCAAGTTCTAATCCTAGGCCTGACAGACACTTACATGCATTCAGCAAATAACGTTAGCATTCTGTTCTCATTTTCTTGGTTATAAAGTGAGAATATCAAACCTTGCTTTCAGTGTTATAAGAATTAATTATTTAATGTTTATAAAGTTCTTTCCAGCTCTAAAGTATAAAATTCATAGAAGAAGTTCTTATACTCAGAATAGATGGTCTCATAAATGCAAATCATAGTTAGAATGTAAAAATCAGTATTAGAAATGGAAGCAAGGAGAAGATGACATAGTGCATGATACATATTGCAATTATTTATTAGAGGTGTGAGTTTATATGTTTTATTGTTTTTTATTTCCAGCTATGCTGAATAACACAAATTTAAGGGATAGGTCAAGATGGTCTGATACAGTAAAGATGAGTACTTCTGTGAATCTAAAACCATTCAATGAAAACCAAATTAAATCAATAGAGTCACATAGTATAACTTTGCAGTGGACAGCTATGCAAGTTGGGAGCTGTAAAAGCAAGGCAGTGGGGAAAAGTCTTACCTGGATCAGGCTTTGATTATTAGACTCTGTAAACTATCATCAGAGGATGACTGCTGTTGGTATTTTTGCTAGTCTAAAGGTTAGTGCTAATCAAAGGCAATACATTTTGCTTGTTTGTTCTTTTATTTTGTTTATTTGTTTTGGTATGCTGAGAAAGGACAATAATAAGGATAAAAAGATGAGTTTTAAATAGAACTTATTTTTTCTCAATATTATATTCTTCCCAATTTTTTGGTTTAATAATTCACTATTGCTTTTATGAAACAATGGTAATAGTACTTTGTTTGTATGCTGTAATGTCTTTCACAAAAGTTTTAAACTAGATGGACACTTTACATTGGTCTTTTTCATTTTTTTTCCATGAAATGTTGTGTGTTCTGATATCTAACTCATTGAAGAGTAACCTTGTTGCTTGTGTATATATGTTTAAGGATTATGTTTCATAGATCTTGTGTTACAGGTGGATAAGACATAATCTTGTGGTTACAGAATATTAAAATTGTATTATTAATAATGAAAATATCTGGAGAGTTGACTGTCTGGATTTTGTGTATGTTAGAGAGGTAGAGTAGGGAGAAAGAACAATGTAATTTATTGACCATGCCACTAATTTAAATATTCTTTCAAAACATGGCTTAGAAGTCAAATATTTAACTTTGTGCAATCAATTTTGAATATCTTAGTTCAATCAAAATAAATTAGAATTATGATATGTCTTCTTATTGCTGTTTCATATCAAAATGACTTATTAAAAGAAAGTTAAATACAATTTAGATTTTAACAGTTTACAGATCCCAAAATATATTTGAATAAATGTTAAAAATAGTATATGAATATACATATGCAGTTTGTCTATGCCAAAAATTGGCAAGCTGATGAAAGTGTTAATCTTTCTCCTTAAACCTTTTTATTGGTAAAGTAGGGTTTTTTTATCACAATGAACTTTTGGGATTGTAATTTCAAGAACAATCAGTAACATGAAGCCTGTAGTACGAATGTCATTGCTCTTTTAGAAATGATTGATAGGAAGGGATGCTTTTAAAACCCTAAGCTGTCCAGTTTTGGTCTATGACAAATACCATCAACATAATTATATCTGGAATAAGAATATGAAATCCCTCCCAAATGCTTAAGGTCTGTGCTAAGTCAAACTCTAGAATACATATTAGCATTTTGTGTTTCTGAATAGCGAAAATTTATTGAAGTAAAAATGATGAACAAAAACAATAATGGCAATTTTTTTAGTCAAATTTAATTTAAAAGGCTTCTGATCAAACATACAACTTTGAGCAACAAATTATTTCCCACTTGGTAACTTTGTCAAATGTCTTACTTTGTGTTTAGCAGCTGCAACATAAAAGTGTCTATGTTGCCAATAAAACTAAGAAGGGGTAGTTACACTACATAAACCAATGTAAATAGGGTATTGTACTGTTTCAAGAAAATCTAGGGTTGATTTGATTTTTTATTTTTTTTCCCAGCTGACCAGTGTCTCTGTAAAAGCTTAATAGAGTCACAGACATTTTATATGAATTAAGAATTTGGTAAATTGTTATTAACTAATAAGCCAGCTTATTTTAATATCCAGTTATCTTTTTGAAGACTAATCTGCTTGAGTCATCTTTCTTTTAAAAAGTCCAATAAGAAATAAGTAAAATTGGCTGGGAACACTGGCTCATGCCTTTAATCCCAGCACTTTGGGAGGCCGAGACAGTTGGATGACTTGAGGTCAGGAGTTGAGACCAGCTTGGCCAACATGGCGAAACCCTGTCTCTACTAAAAATACAAAAGTTAGCCAGGCGTGGTGGCGTGTGCCTGTAATTCCTGCTACTCTGGAGGCTGAGGCACAAGAATCACTTGAACCCAGGAGGTGAAGGTTTCAGTGAGCTGAGATTGTGCCACTGCACTCCAGCCTGGGCGACAGAGTAAAACTATGTCTCAAAACAAAACAAAACAAAAAAGAAATAAGTAAAATTATGTTTTAATTTTTAGATATAAATGACATGAAAATAATTAAAATTACCTGAAGTTCCCGGAATATAGTGTACTGCTTCCTTGATTCAACCCTAAGAAATACAAAAGAGATATTCTATGGTGAAGTGTCTGTTTAAATATTTTGCCGTTTTTGTTTTGATTGTTCTTTATTCAGTCTGAGTGTTATTTATTTACCCAATATATGCTTTTCATTTTTTTTTTCCTGAGGAATCAGTAGCTATTCTTTTCATTCTTTTAGCAGTGCCTTTCAAAGAACAGACATCCTTTATTTTCATATTGTGAAATATGGATTGTGCTTTTGGTGTCATATCTTAAAAATCTTTTCATTATCTAAGATCACAAAGATTTTCTTCTTGTTTTTTGTACAAAAGTTTTATAGCTTTAGATTTTACATTTGGGTCTATGACCTATCTTGAGTTAATTTTGTATATGGTGCGAATTTCTTATTTTTGCAAATGATTATTTAAAGATATGAGGATTGTTTGTTGAAAAGTCTAGAATTATTTGCTGAATTACCTTTTTACTTCAATCAGTTGTCAAAGATTTTTTTAAAAAATCAGAAATAGACCCTCATGGCAGTCTATTTCTGAACTTCCTTTTCTGTTGATCTATTTGTTTATCTTGATGTCAATATCACACTGTCTTGATACCTATTGTTTTATAATAGTTCTAAAACTTAGGTTGTGTTAACCCAACCACTTCATCCCTTTACAGTGTAATCTGGGCTAGTCTAGTGATTTTTAATTTGTGTATTTTGCCTGATTCAGAATTTTAAAATCAGTTTCAATTTCTGCAAAAATGCTTGTTAGGAATTTGATTGAGATTGACTTGGATTTATACATCAGTGTGCGGAGAACTGGCATCTTAACAATATTTTGTCTCCTAATGTGGCAGGCAGGGTCTCACTAACAGCCGAACAGGCAGGCCTCCACGACAACTGTTTCAGCACTGACTGAGTGGTTAAGTTAAATATTAAAAGCTGATAGAGCCAGTGCCCTATACTAAGGCTGGAATGTAACAAAAGCCCACCAAGAGTTTTGCCTAGGTCTTTCCTGGGCCTTGAAGCATGAAAGATAATGAAGGAATTTTTAACAGGCCCCATTTAAGATTTAAGAAGTTTTGCTGGGGTCTAAAAGAACTCCCCAAACCTCTATGATTTAACAGTGAACATCGGGTAATCACCCCTGGCACCTGGACCTGCCTAGATTAAGTAAATTTACTGAGGCTTCAGAGGAAGGTCTTTAGGGCTCAGACTTTAGTTATAGATTAGAAGAAGTTAATCACTTATGTCTTTAGATAAATGCCCACTTACACATAGACATATAGCTTAGAAGGTATATAAGCTCTGGAAAACATTGGAATTTTCACTTGATCTGGTGACCTTTTCCTGGCTTTCTCCCTGTACCCAGTTAGAAAAATAAACTCTCTTCTTTCCCAGTTCGCCTGCATCTCATGATTGGGCCATGAGAACAAGCAGCCTGACCCTCAGTTCAGTTTAGGAACACTAACACAAAACCAAGTTGTTTCCCCATTTATTTAGATCTTCTTCAACTTTTCTCAGCGGTTTTATATTTTTCGGTATAAAGGTCATACACATTTATGTATATGACCAAATTTATCCCTAAGTATTTTATAGTTTGATGCTATCGTAAACGGTACTTTTAAATTCAATGTATGTTTTTTATTGGCAGTATAAAGAAATTGGTTTAATTTTTGTATATTTCTTTGAAAATAATGTCTGAAGACTGTAGTTAAATACCAGAGTAATAAAAGTAATAACCCGTAGACATCAATGTGTCATAAATTTACCCTGAAATGAAAAGGCATTTTATTTTTCTCTTTTTTCTGAGATGGAGTCTCACTCTGTCACCCAGGCTGGAGTGCAGTGGCACAATCTCAGCTCACTGCAACCTCTGCCTCCTGGGTTCAAGCAATTCTCCTATCTCAGCCTCCCGAGTAGCTGGGATTACAGGCACTTGCCACCACACCCGACTAATTTTTGTATTTTTGGTAGAGATGGGATTTCACCATGTTGGCCAGGGTGGCCTTGAACTCTTGACCTCGTGATCCGCCTGCCTCAGCCTCCGAAAGTGCTGGGATTACAGAGTGAACCTCTGCACCTGGCCGGAAAGGAATTTTAATGCTCACTGACATGGTGAGAAAATGCTGCTACTCTGCAGCTGATCTGACAGAAATGAGTTAACTTAATGGAAAAAACCAAACTGAAAAATCAGTACACCAAGTATAGGAATCGAAATAAAGGGAAGATATGATGGTGGTCAAACAAAAAATGAAAATAAAAGTATCAATGGGAAGCAGCAATGTAAAACCTTCATGCAGGAGTGTAGAGTCTGAAAAGCATGTGTAAAAAAATAATTTTGCTTAGGATGTGAACATATGTAATGTGACTTAAAAAAATTTAAGTACAATGCATTATTATATGGTGTTTCTATAATAATGACAGTAACAATGATAATATTATAAAAGTTGTTGCTTTACTAAATATTTTTATATGCTTACAGTGTTTATGAGGAAAAACTTGGATTATGTCAGAAATAAGTAGATGTCATTTATAAAACCTTAAGCATTGTGAAACAGCATTATTTTATGTAACTCTAATTGGAGTTATATCCATATAATGTGTTCAGAATCAAGAAAAGGAAAATATGGATAGAGAGAGAATAAAATAGCAACCAAGAATAAAAACAGCATAATAATGGCATTCTTAAGTTCATTGAAAATACTTGAATTCTTTTTCCTAAAACATCACATTTTGATCTCAAGTTTACTTACAGCAATTGATAATTGGGTAAATTTTTGTAACTTTAGGTTCTATTTCTGATCATGATTTTCAATTTTAACTTAACACATTCATATTGATATTTAAAGGTCTAGATTATTTTAAATTCAAAGAGATAAAAACCTTGAGGTCACAACTTTGTAATAAAAATCCTACAATTTTTAATATGCTGGATTTGTAGTATTAATATATTAAAATAATTCTCTCATTAAAATTAATGAGATTATGCCATATTTCATATAGAGGAGCAATTTGTTTTAGAAACAGCCATAGGTAAAATTATAAGCAATTTGGCAATAACAATGACAATGGAACTATCAAATGATAAACATTCCAAATCTATGTATATTTTATTTTCATTCTCTTTAAATTTTCTTGACACACTTCTGCGTTAGTGTGAAATAATAAGAAGAAAAGAGCATTTTTGTATATAAAAGGCAAAATATACTTAAAACATATACTATCATGTACAAAATACTTAATATCTATTTTACGAAGACTGACAGCAAAATGAAAAATGGTAAAAAGAGATATGTGAAAATATTCAGAATTTTTTATTCAACTAAGGTAATAGTGAAAGCTGATATTTTTGTCTATTTTTAAGACTACACGTATAATAGTATCACTACAGTATAATAGTATAAAAGAAAAAAGAAGAATTTTAAGAAGTACAGTAAAATATAGAACTTTTTTTTTTTCTAGAATGCTTGGAAGTTATGACCAAAAGAGCTCTTGACCTCATGAGGACCTCTATCTTTTATAAGAGCAAAAATATCTCAAGTGGCACCATGCTTCTTTTTCTAACCCTGGTTTCATTAATTTAGATACACAGTAAATGTTCTTTTTTAGTGTTCTTGTTTGGCCAAGTCAAAAGAGATTGTAATAGCTGTGGGATCATAGGAAAAATGATGACGGATTGGTGAAAGTGAAGTAAATCGGTTTTGGTATTGGCCTGTCAGTGGAGATGAATCAGGTTACAGCAGCCTCTTCTTTTAAATTTTTTTTCCAAAAAGAAGAGAGAGAATTTTATCCTTGAAGCAACTGCTTTCTTTTTTTCTCCTTACTATTGATCTTATTCATTATTAATGTGGACTCCCAGCTCAGGAAATTCTAGAAACTAAGTCTACATTTCAAATATTTTTAGTTAAATGTACTTGACATATATTTCAATGAGAAAATCAGAATGCATTCAGCCTCCCAACCCCAACTCATAAAAATCTGGAAATACCTAATTTAATAAGTATGTTATTTCATGCTAAAACCTAGTTAGATCATCAACCATGATGAACTTCGTATTTTTACTAAAAGAAATTATCAGCAAAATAAATCTCCAAATGTTTTTTTAGCTTAAATTAGCTATATCATAGAAAGGACATTTTTAGTTCAACTAGCTCTACAATTCTGCTATCATTCTCATTGGTTTGTGTTGTATAACCCTAATATAAGAAAAAGATATAAAATAAATCTGAGCCCCTAACCTCTTATGTATATTAAATCTATCAAAATTAGTAGTAGGGTTTCACTCAAATTAATCAACTAAAAAAATGGGGAATTTTTTGCTTGTTTTTATTGTACTTTAAGTTCTCGGGTACACGTGCAGAATGTGCAGTTTTGTTACATAGGTATACACATGTCATGGTGGTTTGCTGCACCCACATAGCCATCACCTACATTAGGTATTTCTCCTAATGTTATCCCTCCCCTTCCCCCCCACCCCCAGAAGGCTCTGGTGTGTGATGTTCCTCTCCCTATCTCCATGTGTTCTCATTGTTCAACTCCCACTTATGAGTAAGAACATGCGGTGTTTGGTTTTCTGTTCTTGTGACAGTTTGCTGAGAATGATGGTTTCCAGCTTCATCATGTCCCCGCAAAGTACATGAACTCAACCTTTTTTATGGCTGCATAGTATTCCATGGTGTATATGTGCCACATTTTCTTTATCTAATCTATTATTGATGAACATTTGGGTTGGTTCCAAGTCTTTGCTATTATGAATAGTGCTGCAATAAACATACGTGTTCATGTGTCTTTATAGTAGAATGATTTAGAATCCTTTGGGTATATACCCACTAATGGGATTGCTGGGTCAAAAGTTATTTCTTGGGGAATTTTTGTTTTTAACAAAAGAAACTATTTAACAAGTATATATACTACACAATAGTTTTTTTAATTTATTATGTTAATATATTGACAAACTGTAGTTGTATATGTGGTATGATTTTTGCATATCATTGGTATGATTGAATTATACTAAATAACATGTCCATCACTTCAAATATTTAACATCACATGTTTTTGTGATAAGAATATTAGAAAATTGCTTTGTTAGTGATAGTGAAAGGTACTGAACTCCTTAGCCTTTTACTCTTTGATGGACAGGTATAGGTTCCTTCCATAACTTGGTTATTGTGAAAAGCACCATGATGAACATGCAGATGCAGACATCTCTTAGACATACTGATTTCAAATGTTTTGGATAAATATCCAGCAGCAGGATTCCTGCATCCTATGGTAATACTATTTTTAGTTTTTCTTGAGTTTCCCACTGTTTTCCATAATAGTTGTACTAATTTATATCCCCAACAGTGTACAATTGTTCCTTTTCTTCACATCATCACCAACACTTGTTATCTTTTGGCTTTTTAATAATAGACATTCTGTTTTTTGTGATTTGTTCCCCCAAAACTATTTTTTTGTACTTTGTCACTAATTTACAATTTTGATTCCTTTTTAATGTGTGAAGAATTTTTAATCGTTTCTGAGCAGAGTGAGATAACTATGTGAAATGGAAACTTTAATGCTGAAATGAGGCCTCATGGGACTTTTGGGTGCTAAAGATTTAACATACAATGGTCTTTATTAAAAGGCTAGCTACATGAAAAGTAGGATAAGATTAATAATTAATCACACATAAAAATTCTATTTTTGGCTGTATTTTACTTAAAAAGTCAAGTTCTGAAGATTCAATTAAATTGTCCTATGTTTAACTTTAATATTTAAAATGTTCTAACTGTTTAATGATAGTGATCTTTTGACATCAAGACAGTCAAGTACTTTTCCTGGGAGCTGTTTTAAAGAGGAGCAAACCAACTTTTCAGAAGAGTAAAGAATCTGACTAGTAGAGAAGGGCTCTCTGCCTGGGTGAAACCATGCTAATTAGTAATACTTCACCTGGGTGCAACTGTGCTAATTAGCTATACTGTGCCTATCTAATGCCACCTTAAGTCCAAAACACTGAAGCAGATTGAATCTAAAAAAATGAATTGAATAAGAATCGGCTCGCCACTCGTTTTAACTCTATTGGAATTGAGAATTGATTTACAGCAATTCTGAGCAATTGCCCAATTTAAGGGAAATTATTTCAGATACTGTTCACTGTAATTTTAAAGTTACTGTCTTTTTTAGAGGTGACTGCATCATTGATAACTGAAAACTTTCTCAGAGATCTTCAATTACAAATAAACAATTTGAGCTTCATATTATTATTTATAATTCAATGATGTCAGGAACAATGAAAGAGATATTCATCTACTTGGCAGATTTCATAGAAACATGCATTTATGAAATACTGATTTTATATCTACACTGCATGATAGCAATATGTACTCAAGAATAACCTGTTTGGAAGACTATTGTATTATAATCTCCGTTCTCTGGAGAGTTATTTAATCAAAATAGCTCTGCTTAAGTACACTACAAGAGGAGACATGAAAAAATGTCAGAGGATCAAGGAGAGACAAAGGACTAGGAATTGTAATACTAAAAGTAATTTAGTGCCTTGAGGCATGGTAATTTTTTTCTTCTTAAACTTGAGGTGGAAAAAATCTCAGAAAAGTCAGGAATATCAGGCTTACAACTGAGATCTCAGTGAATAGCAAAATAAATTCTCATACCCATGAACAACTAAACACCTAGATTAAATGTGTTAAATAAAAATGGAAATGTAAATTGCACTGAGCTCCTTAATAATAAGTGTTAGTGAAACACTAATTGGTTCCATATGATTGTAGGCAACCATACTGGATTTTATTCTTCAATCTTAACTCTTCTTTGTATGCACAACTTTAAGTAGGCTTTCCAGTAATTCTAAGAGCTAAATTCTATCAATTATCACTTACAACAAGTTAAACAATGTAATGTCCTTGCATAATAAACCAGGCATTAAGGTATACACTGTTATCTTACTATGGAAATCTATGGTAATTACTCTATTAATGAGTAGCAGTAGCATGTGTTTAATCATCATGCCTAATTATCTTAAACTTTGATTATTGAGGTTAAAACAATATAGAATACACAGGATGTTATAGAGCAGTTTACTTCTATTTATTTTTGTGTGAGTTCATCGTCACCTTTCTCCAAAGTAAATGAATCCTTGTCAATACTTACTTCCAAACTATGATTTCGAATTCAGATTTTCTTCTTCATTAGTTGGAAAAGTCAACACCCTTGGCGTCATCTAATTGTTGGAATGACCATCTGCATCTTTTCAAGTGCTTTTCATAGCTAGTACATGTCCATGGGCTGTTTTTAATTTGTAATTCACCTCAAAGTAATCAAGAACAACACTTTGTTCTTCTCTGTTTCTGGCATTATCTGTTATTACTGAGCAATACTGTCCTAGTGCTAACTCAGTCAAACAGTTGGTTAGTAAGTGGGTTATATATAGAACATAAATTTTGGATATAAATTTGACCATATATTTTTTGTAGCACTTGGTTGCTTGGTCTTTGAGAAATTACTTCCTTGAACTTATACCTACGTACTCTTACACCATTGCTCTGATTTAGAGCATCACTTACATGCCAATCAGTGAGTAGCCACTGCTTCAACCAAACATGATTCAAAAATTACTTCTGACGAGATGGTCCTACACTGATGAATGGCATTTGAATGAAAAAAAATTACTTAATATTGGTTTACTCACTTTAGATATGTTTTTATATTTCATTGTTTAAGGGAGACTTATAATTTAATTCAAAGGGATTTTAAAGGGTAGTGATAATGATAGTAATGATGGATAATAATTTTGAACTAGTTTCCAGACACTTTGCTAAGTGCTTTACGTGAACTATCTCTTTCAATGCAACAACAATTTGAAGTAGAGCAATGTATTAATTTTTGATAGATCACATAGATCTGGGATCTAATTCATATTTTAGAATAGTTGAGTTTTCAGCCTCCAATAAGAAATCAGATCTGGGTTTATTAATGTTACTTTATTAGAGAGATCTCTGTAACTTTCACAGCTTATCTTTTGACACATGGTAGGCACAGGCTAATCTACCTGTGGCCAATGTAATATGACTGCATTCTGTTTATCATTTTTGAGTGGGTAAGTTTAAGAGCCAGTGTGTGGGCTACTTAATTACCTTTAATTTCCATGCTGACAGCCAGTTTTCCTGATGGTGGAGGCTCTAGTAACTCCAGAAGTGAGAAGACGTGGATCAAAACCCTTAATGTGATGAATACATTTCTTGGAAGCTACTAAGTTGTTGGGGATTCTTTTATATAGGAAGCAGGGGGTTAATTGTATGCTTATTCATTAATTCAACAAACTTTTTTTAGTACCTCCCCAGTATTAATAACTGCTCTAAGGGCTAGGAACATTACAATGAGCAAAAGAAAAGTCCATGCCTTTTTGAAGATTATTTTCAGGAAGAAAGAAGATAATTAGAAAAAATCAACACAAATGTAATAAACAAATTGATACAAACAGGAAGCAGGGAATACTGGGTAGAAGAGATCAGGGTCCCTGGTGAGGGCTCCACCCTCAACCCTAGACCCATGGCCCTAAATGAGAACATGCATTTCTGTTTTCCTGTCCAAATGTTGCCTTTCCCAAAACCTCCTGTCCTGCCCAACAAGATCGCCATCCTATAACCATAAAAAACCCAAGCTCCACTAGCAGAAGAGCTGAGCGGCATGGCAGAGAAGGAGAGAAGAGAAGAAGCGTCTGAACATTGAGAGGGGAAGAGGCAGCTGGACATTGGAGACTATGGTTGGAGAGGAGTCTGGCCAGGAATGGCTGGACTCTAGGGGAAGATTATGTTCCTACTCCACCCCCTTTGCAGCTTCCCATCCCACTGAGAGCCACTTCCATCACTCACTGAAGTCCTCCACATACACCACCTTTCAGTCCATTCATGTGACCTGATTCTTCTTGGACATCGAACAAGAATTTGGGATGCAATGGGTGTGGGAACCCAAAAAGGCTGTCATACTGACTCTTCACTGAGCTGTTTAACACTTAAGTCATCCATGGATGGCAACTATAAAAGAGCATCATTGGTAACATATGCCCTCTAGGGCTCCAATGGTTGGAGGTAACCCCTAGACTCTGCCGTGGGCTGGTATGGGGTTCATTGCTGCCAGCATCCAAAAGCGCTTGACCCAGCTCCTGCACCCTGCCTACTCCCCTTCCCGCAGGGGGTTTGAGCACAGAGGTTGAGTACATGAGCAACCCCTGTTGCAAGTCCCATGAGGCAGTCAAGGGAGCTCTCCTGTCTCAAAATTAGTCTATTAATAATGATAAATCATGAGGAAAAAGCTTGAGTGAAATTGTAGTAGTAAGTTGCAGAAATTCAGCTACGTGTTCTAGGAATGAGTTCCTAAAAAATGGTATTTGAATGAATAACTGAAAGAGAAAAGGAAGACTAGAATACAGTTATATGAAAGAAGAACATTCCAGAAAGGGGAACAGAATTCTATCATGAAGTACAGGAAGTAAGCCAACACAGTTGGAGCAAAGTGACAGAGGGGAAATGCAATAAAGATAAAAGTTTAAAGGTAGGGGAGGATCACAATGCATGGTTGTGGAATGAACAAAAGAATAAACACTGTAGTGAAAAGATTCAATGCTCCACTTCATTCTACCTCAAAACAAAAGGAAAACTCAAAGGTGGACTTGCCAGGTCCATATCAACTGAATGCAAGTGCTGTTCACAAATATTTGCATAGGCTTAGTAGGTGTATTCTAATGCCATTTGTCACTGACTCAAAATATTAATGAAAGAAAATTGAAAAAATAGAAACCTATAAAAGTGGGTTTCTGTAGATATAAGTTAATACTAATCATAAAGAACTACTGATCAATCAGGATGTAAAATGTTTTGTTTACAGGAACAGATTTTTTTTTCCAAATAGCTTTAGAAATATGTCTTTACCAAAGTAGTCCTGGAAGAAAAATCATTTTGTACCAAACAACCCATGACTGTTCTTAAAAGTAGCCAGCTGTGCTTTGACATTTGTATTATGATTCTTACCTCAACATGTTTGTTTCAGTATCTAATGTTCTATAACAAATCATCTCAAAATTTAGTTTTTTGTTTGGTCACAATCTGTAAATCAGCAATTTTGGCTGGACTCAAATTAGTGTTTCTTCTACTTGTTTATAAGGGTCTTCAGTTGGAATGTCTCTGATATTTCCGCATGTCCTTTCGTCTTCTAAATTATAGAATAGTCCTTTTTACATGAAGGTAGACACTTTTTTTTTTTTTTTTTGGAGACGGAGTCTTGCTCTGTTGCTTAGGCTGGAATGCAATAGCACGATCTCGGCTCACTGCAACCTCCACCTCCAGGATTCAAGCGATTCTCCTGCCTCAGCCTTCCAGGTAGCTGGGATTTCAGGCACCCACCAACATGCCTGGCTAATTTTTGTATTTTTAGTATAGTTGGGGTTTCGCCGTGTTGACCAGAATGGTCTTGAACTCCTAACCTCAGGTGATCCACCCTCCTTGGCCTCCCAAAGTGCTGGGATTATAGACATTAGCCACTGTGCCCTGCCTATAGACCCATTTTGAGAAACCAGAACAGAATTTGTTGAAAGACAATATTCCATGCATCTCTGACATTTCTACATGGCTAGGCGTTTATGATCAATTTAAGAATTTTTGCATAAGATGGTGAAAGATAGTAAAATCTCCTATTCCTGGAAGAACTTTTTACATTCCAGAGTAATAAATCCAATGTCTCATTTAGACCAAAATGTGGCAAGTTTTGTTATTGTTCTTAGTAGCTATAAAAAAAAAACAAAAAAAAAAAACAAAAAAAAAAACAGGGGTTTCTTAACCTCAGAGCTCCAAAGCTGAAGACAGATTAGCTGTGTGCTGAATACTCACCTGGGCCCATTCTGCATTATCCCCCTGGGATTTCAATGAGAGCATGAAGTTCAAGCTGCCTGCTATACCAGAAATAATTAACTGTCTAAATCCATTTGGTCTGGCTGTCTCCTTACTGACTAAATTTTTCCAAGTGTAGTAAACCAACTTAGCTGCTTAGGAGCTGCACAATTACTTGAAAGTTGCAAAGCTTTCCAAAGGTTAGGCTGCCATTTTTGCCACATTCTCTTGGTCAAAGCATGTTCCAGAGCTATACCAGATGCAAGCAATGAGGTAGCCTTTGTGACGATGTCACACTGGAAAGGGGTATGTATGTGTAGTAGTTGAAATCTCACTCTCTTCATGTCTCATAACTTCCTGTCGGGAACAAGCCCCCCAAAATCTGGACATAAACTGGCCCCAAAATTGGCCATAAACAAAATCTCTGCAGCACTGTAACATGTTCATAATGGCCCTAACACCCACACTGGAAGGTTGTGGGTTTATGGGAATGAGGGCAAGGAACACCTGGCCCGCCCAGGGTGGAAAACCGCTTAAAGGCATTCTTAAGCCACAAACAATAGCATGAGCTATCTGTGCCTTAAGGACATGTTTCTGCTGCAGTTAACTAGCCCAACCTATGCCTTTAATTTGGCCCATCCCTTCGTTTCCCATAAGGGATACTTTTAGATAATTTAATATCTATAGAAACAATGCTAATGACTGGATTGCTGTTAATAAATATGTGGGTAAATCTCTGTTCAGGGCTGTCAGCTCTGAAGGCTGTGAGACCCCTGATCTCCCACTTCACACCTCTATATTTCTGTGTGTGTGTCTTTAATTCCTCTAGCGCCGCTGTGTTAGGGTCTCCCCGACCGAGCTGCTCGTGGCACTTCCCATTTATAAATTTCTCTCTTTGGATGTCTGTCATATGAGCTTGTAATTACCTTAATTTATATTTTATTCTACTAATTCTCTTTTTAGCTCTATGTAATCTGCTGTTAAGCAGGTTCATTAAGATTTTCCAGCTTCTTAATGATACACGAAAACATATAGGAATATTCACACATCGCAAGAATACAGCTTTATGCTTATTCACAAACTACCAATGATAGGAACAGGAGGCAGAGAAATTCTAGTCAGAAAAGTGTGGGTCCCAGGTAAAAACCCCTCCCACAAGCCAAAAAGCCTGAAACCACAGCCCAAAGTGAGAACTTATATCCCAATTTTCCCTCTCAAATGTCCTTTTCCTAAACCACACATGGCCCCACCCCACCCCATCCTGTGCCTATAAAAACCTCACACTCAGCTAGTTGATGGGCCACAGCTGTATGTCAGGGAGAAGCGGTGTGACTTCAGAGGGACAGACTGATAGCATAACTTTGGAAAATAATCTGGCCAGATATGGCTGGACTTCAGGGGAAGATTACCTTTTGTCCCATCCCCTGTTCAGCTTCCCTTCCCACTGACATCCACTTTCATCAGCAATAAAATGCCCTACATTTACCGTCCTTCAATTTGCTCATGTGACCTTATTTTTTCTGGATGCCAGACAAGAGCTCGAGAGCCACGAGTGTACATACAAAGGCTGTCACGCTGGCCCTTTGCCCTCGCTGGTGGAGGGCAGCTGCCCCACACAATGAGGCAAAGGGCCCACTGAGCTGCTAACACTTAAGCCATCTGTGGATAGCAGAGCTAAAAGAGCACTGTAACATGCCCTCTGGGGCTTCGGTGTCCCAGGCACCCCTACCTGGATGCTGCTGCGGGAAGTTTGCTCCTGCCAGTGCTGAAGCAGCTGTTCAGTTCCAATGCTCGTGCACTCCAGTTCCCATCTTACTTGCTTATGCACTCCCTCCCGTGAGGAGTTGAGAGTGACGGGCTGAGTAAACACACTCTGGTCACGAATCCCACAAAGGGGTCAGGGAAATATCCTGCTTCACCAAAAGCCATGTAACTAACTCCTAGATCAAGAAAAATATATATTACCAGTGTTCTGGAAACCACTTCATGCCCCCATCTTATTGCTACACAGTTCTCAAGGATAAATAACAGTTTTATTGTTTTTGAACTTTATGTGAACGAAATCATATGTCTGTATTCCTTTTATGCCTGTTTTCCTTTGTTCCACGTTATGACTGCAAAGGTCTTCCATGTCGTGAGTCAATCTACATTCTCTGAACACAGTGTTATTATGTTAAAAAAGTATCTAAAATTAACATTTTTATAAAGGTTTTTTTTTATTTAAAACACGTTGATTATATATATAAATAAAAAGAATGTGTGGTTAGAATTAATATTTATAATTAAATAATTTTAAATGATTAGTCTTCAAATAATCAAAACTTGCAAGATAAAAATAAATTGTTATTGTATAAGGAATTTAAATATTTGCTTCTATATAAGGAGAAAAAGTAACTGAAAATTTAGGACCTAAGCATGTAACTGGACACTTGTAAACTATTATTAAAATAATGCCTCAAAAATGGCAGAATGCAAATAATTTTAAAATAGGGTAGAAATTAACAAAATATATGCACAGACATACGACCATGAAAACTGTCAGAGAGAAGTTAATTTTTTTCCTTTTCAAAGAGTATACATTTAAAACAAGTAAAACTAACAAAAGAAAAATTGATTGATTATAAAAATGTCCCAGATCCCATACCCTTCTTTTCTGTGTTCATGCCCTTGACAACATGACATTGTAGGTCCTTTGAAAGTGTAGGATCTTATTTCCTGAATCTTGAATTTGGAATGGCTTTGTGACTTGCTTTTAGAAAATAGAATATGAAAGAAGTGACAGTATTTTATTTCCAAATCAGAGTTCAAGAACCCTTGAATGCTTATGTCCTTCTCTTCCTTATTTCTCTGACTAGACTTTCAGAACATACCCAAGCTAGCTTGCTGGAGAATGAGAGAACAAGTGGAGGAGAGCTGAGTCATGTTAGTTGAGGCCAGACCTGTGAGAAACCAGCTAAACGAAGCCACCTACCTGCCTACTACTAATCACAGATGTACACATGAGCATCACAGGTCACTGAGACCAGATTATCCCCTAGCCAACCCATACGCATGTGAATTTAAAAGAGCTTATTGACTTAAGCATTGAGATGTGAGGTTGTTGATTACACATTATTGTAGCAATAGATAACCAATACAGAGTCCATTACATTGGCATATTACATATCTTTGAAGGATACATCAATGAGTAAAACAATAGTTCTTCTTAATAATTATTTGTTTCAATACATCTAATAAGAATTATAAAAATATGTGAAAATGATTAATGAAAAAATTTTAAAATAAGATAAAAGATATTCAACTGAACGACTCAAGTTAGGTTAAAAAATACATCATGATACCTGCAGTTAACACTCAACTAAGAATACTTCCAGAAATTTTCTACTGTAATTTTACTTAAAATCAAAAGTACTAAGTGGTAGCAATGCCACAACTTTGGAATCCATTGCTGGGATATAAAACTGTTAATATATGTGAAATATTTAATATCTCAAGTAGCTAAAAGAAGTTTTAGAACTGCTGTCTGTGTAGTCCTGCTAGACGCAGATTGTAGACCGAAATAATTAAGGTCTCAAAAAAATTATAGGTGGAAAAAATATGCAGCTAGAAGTGGCGGTTGCCTGTAATCCCAGCTACTCGGGAGGCTGAAGCAGGAGAATCACTTGATCCCCGGAGCAGAGGTTGCAGTGGACCAAGATCGCCCCACTGCACTCCAGCCTGGGGGACAAAGTGACACTCCATCTAAAAAAACAAAAAAAAACTTTAATATATGATCTAAGAATATAACTGACAGTATTTATGAGTAGAATTTAAAAACAAGCTCACAAAGGTGGTCAAGCTATCAAGCAGTGTGTTTTGGTAATGAACCATAAACTAAAGAAATAGGATATTTCAAATGATTTTTCTGTCATCTGTGCATTTTGGTAGTATTGCTCTTAGATAAGACAGGAATCTTTACATTCACAAATACAGGGCTAGGCTTTATAGATCAGAAGATATCTCTTCTCCACCGGCCTTGATAAATGCTGATATGTGTTTATATGCCAATCTCCATTTTTTTCTCTATTGCACAGGCTTCATTGCTTCTTGTCCAGTCAACAGAAACAAACTGAAAATAATAAAAAGGCTCTTATTATTGTTGCATTGGTTATATTCCAGGAACAATTTTCTTTTAAGTGTATTATTCCTAGGATTGAAAGTAAAGGTTGAGTACATTTCTGACATGGATCAAATGTATATATTTATGTATTACGACACACTCCACCTGCCTTTTTATTTGTAAATTAGTGTGTCTGTTGGTACTACATATGTTTGTTGTGAACCTTAAAAACATAAAGAAAATGCATGGGAAGGGCTTGGCACAGTAGCCAACAAACAGTAAATGATAACCAACATTTATTTATTACAAGTCATTCCTGAAGGAGAATTTTTGTAGATAATATATCCTATTTATTATACATTGCCTATTATAATCTTTTGTTTTAAAAGATGACTTTTCCATATCTTCATTCCCATCATTCAGTAGCAGTGGTCTTATCTGAACCATTGTTTCCAAGACAAAATTACATTTTTTACTCTATCAAAAGAAAACTAAATTAAACCATATGAGTAGGTTCATTTAATCAGCAAATATTTATTATAAATTTAATGCATCATCACTCTATCAGAGATTCCTCAGCTCTTGGGAACCAACAGAATATTACTCTTTTAGATTCTAACTTATTATCCACCCCACTATGCTCTAGATTACAGCACATCATAATTTTATTCAACATTGATCTGAAATGCTACTTCTTCCATGCCGTCCTTGCCCACCCCAGGCTCAAATTATCCTCCAGTCCTCTGAACTCTCACAGCAACTCGTCAACCACATCACGACACTTCTCATTTATGTGTGCATCAATCTTTAAACAATTATTTGCTGCTATGTTACAAATATATGGTAAAAGATTTCAGAGAAAATATGGACTCGGCCCTTTTCTGTTACAAGATTACAAAAGGAAAAATACGAGCAAAAAATTATTTTGTTTACTTTACTTTACCTAAGAAACTTATGGTATGCTAAATACACTATTCAGAAATGAATGGATACCAGGAAGTAATAATGATCTCTGTTAATTTTATCTCCATGTTAAAAATATCTCCTTGGAAAACAAAACAGAAGTAAATACAATACCACTAGGTGTCACTGGGGAAGGAGAAGAGACTAAACAAGAAGATTAAGGAAAAGTCAAGTTGAAGCCTTACCATAAATGCATTATTTACGGAAAGATGCATTGCAGCTTTTGCAGAAAAGATAACATCCCATAAACAGTTGCAAAGAAAAGTAGAAGTAGAGAGGAAAAGGAGTCTGGCTTCAATAGTTCTGAAAGCAGCTGCTGAGATGTATCAGGCCAGAGGAAGTCCAGCTGCTGGTTCTGTGAGCAATGCCAAAGGCTTCACATTCTAAATATGTATCACAACTCAGGAAGAATACCAATATTTTACAAAAATGTATTGATAAGTAGAAACTAGAGTTAAACAGACAGAAATGATATTTTGGTTCTTTGAGAGACATTGTAAATTTTGTATTTAGTTCTGAAATTTATTGTGTCTTTGTAACTTAGGGTGAAACGCTGAATAATTAATCAGTATAATCTTTTATACAATGAGAAAATAAATATAGAACCTGCCCTCTTACAGGCTGTCTGTGAAGATAAAGTAATGGTAGGTATTTTATAAACCACATTGTACTTTTTTAGAATTAATATTATTATCAATTTTACTCATTTATTTTTTCTTATATATTCAGGAATTAACTATTTTAAATTCACTTAGGAAAGATTTACTTATTGGAAAACAATTTGTGTTTTGAATCGTAAACATTATGATATTATAACTCACACCGTTGAAACCATTCTGAATTCTCTCAATGTTAACTCCTTTATTGTCTTCCGAGGGCCCTAGTTTCCCTAGCTATTTAATAACCACTACTGTGTATTGAAATAATTGTGAGCTGTGACAGGGTAAGTATGCTAGTAGGACAAACTAGGGTTATCAAGCAATATATCAGTGAACTGCTAGAATAAAGAGGCCTACAGCCCGGACTACAAATTCTATTTTCAAAGATTTTTAGTTAGTGATATTTCCCTCAAGGAAATTCTTTTCTAAAATGTATCCAAAGTACAAAACTCATCCTCTCCCCTTATCTCAAGCTTTTTATTTAGGTCGTGGAAATAAGCCAGGTATAACACCTCTGAAGTTATTTTTATGGTTTTTATTAGAAACAACCTCTACTCCAACTCCCCATACTTTCTACGCTCCAGCCCTGCAATGCACATTTTGCCCGTTGCATAGATGTCAGTGCAGTACTACCCAGGCTCTCAGGCTCTAAAACATTATACACACTTTCTGGGCAGGATGGCTGATGGTCTCATCTTCCCATCTTACAGAGAAGAAAATAGAAAGTACGCATTGTTTCCTCAGAATAACATCATAAATCAGTAACAGAGTGCTTTAGAAACTTATACCTTATTTATAAATTATCATTTATCTCCACGGAAGGCTAGTTCTAAAGTTGTCTTCTAAATGAATCCCAGAGTTGTTCTGAGAAACGCAAAATGTGCCGTCTGTCACTTTCCTCCATAAACATCCAAAGAACCTTAATGGCCCTACAGAATCTAACTCCAACCCACCCATCAAGCCATAATTAAATCATTCATTCATTCATTCATTCATTCAACACAAAAGGCAATGAAATTGATGTTGAGAAAAAAATGTAAATAATATAGAAATATTCTCTGCCTTCATGGCACTTCAAGTTTAATGTAGGAGAAAGACATGGCCCAGATGGTCACAACGACATTCTCACACAAATGATCGAGTCCTGGCTTTCTCATGCACACATCCTCTCAACGTCAGCCACACTACTCTTCCCATACAATTCCCTACCTTCCCTTTTCAAGCCCGGTTAATTTCCTGTGGCCTTTGCACATTGTTGGTGCCTTGGTGCTTTATCTGTCTGGAATATTCAAGTTTCTTTCCTGACAAAATCCTACTGTTTTATTCTACGTAATTATTACCCAAGCAGACATTTTCTCTACCAAAGCTGATCGTTTTTTATATTTTTTATGTTATATTCTTCTAGAGCCATCTTTTTTTTTTTTTTTGAGCCGGAGTTTTGCTCTTGTCGCCAGGCTGGAGTGCAGTGGCCCAACCTTGGCTCACTGCAACCTTCTTCTCCTGGGTTCAAGCGATTCTCCTGCCTCAATCTCCCGAGTAGCTGGGATTACAGGCACCCGCCACCATGCACGGCTAATTTTCATATTTTTGGTAGAGACCAGGTTTCACCATGTTGACCAGGCTGGTCTTGAACTCCTGACTTCAGGCGATCCACCTGCCTCAGCCTCCCAAAGTGAGCGTGAGCCACTGCGTCTGGCCTAGAGCCATCTTTTGACAACTGTGTCTTGTTCTCTAGGTAAGAGCAAAGTTCTAAAATAGCATGCATGGGTCTGAAACTTGTTCCTGCCAAGGTTTTACTGTGTTGATGAACAAATAATTTATAAATGATCTGATAATCAGTTTTATTATCTTTAAAATGGGGTTATAATGGCATTTACCTCTAAAGGTTTTCACAATAAGGGTATGAATTAATGCCAGTAAAATATAAGCTTGACAAATATTAAGTGTTTCTTTAATATTAGTTTTTAATGTTATTTTCAAGCCCAATTCCCTGGCTTAAAATAGTTCTCAATAAATACATACTGAAATATATATATAGAAAATGTAAAAATATAGGTTTATATTTAACATAAATCTGTCTACTGGAATTTAAGGAGATTTAAAACAAAAAAACATAAAGTGGAGCCTACAACTAAGCCTGAAGCCACCCAGCCTAATGGAAAAAAGTATCCAATGAGAATCAACATTTATTTCATAGCAAGCTTTCCAAACCTAACCCTATCCAAATGCGGAAGATGTTTCCTTTTCTTTTCTTTCTGAATTTATTTGTCTTCAGTTGGCTTTGATGATTTTATGAAGGTAGGCTTCTCTTGTTTGTTTCATTTTTTTTCCCCCTCACTGTATGGTTAGGAGTCTAAGGAAGTGGCACAGCTGTGTTTCAGGTTTTCTGTTCCTCAAAGGACAATGCATTTAATCACCTGAACACTTGAAACTCCATTGTGATGCAAATAAACAATTATGTAGTATAGCTTAAAAAATTAACAAACAATTTTCCTTAAAAACTTTAAAAAACATTAAAAATGAATTTAAGAAAAGTGTATCTATTTTGCCGTAAAATTATATTATTTCAACTTATTCAAATATGACTACATGTGTACCAAAAATAAATACATACATACATACAAGGAAAGAAAACAAATTGTGTAGTCATTTTAAAAATGTGTATTTCTGCTCTTGTTAAACAAACAAAAACTATGATGACTGCAGTTTTCCGTCTACATTGGTGCCATAATGTCTCATTTGGTACACTAGAAGAGAAACGATTACAGTTAAAAATATCACTAGTCTTATAGACTGCTTCTGGCCCCCTGAAAAACTAAAATATGCATGTAAAGAGGTGGATACTTTCTTTCTTTCTTTCTTTCTTTCTTTTTTCTGACAGAGTCTCCCTCTGTTGCCCAGGCTGGAGTGCAGTGGTGCCATCTCGGCTCACTGCAACATCTGCCTCCTAGATTCAAGCAATTCTCCTGCCTCAGCCTCCAGAGTAGCTGGGATTACAGGCACCCGCCACCACGCCCAGCTAATTTTTTGTATTTTTTAGTAGAGATGGGCTTTCGCCACATTGGCCAGGCTGGTCTTGAACTCCTGACCTCAGGTGATCCACCTGCCTCGACCTCCCAAACTGATGAGATTACAGGAGTGAGCCACCACGCCCGGCCTAGAGGTTGATACTTTCTTTACACATCTAGCTGGAAATTATCACCTTCACCTTCTATATTCTCCAACAAAGTCTGATTTTAGTTTTCAAAGTCAGGTGTTTATGGATTATAGTCTCTAGATTCTACATTACTATACTATGAATTTGAAAGAGATAGAATATTGCCAGTCTTTAAATATTAATCTTTGCCTCTTTATATTAAAATGACAATAAATAAAATCAAGTCTGAACATTTTAATGAATTTTGGTGTAAGATCTATAAAGAATATTTGAAAGATTTTAAGAGTTCTCAACAATTTATAAAGATGAAAATAAAATATTTTCAAGTTAGTGGGCAGGACAGTGGATTGTGATAGGGTCATTAACATCCAGAAAGAAGATATTGATTAATTGAGGGCCAGAGTAAAACACTGAGAAACAGTGAGATAAGGAAACAGTTAAGATTATTTTTATAAAAAATCAAAAATAACACCCTATACAGAAATGTCAGTCAGTTTAAATTTTCAAAAATTGGCTGAAATATTTTAAACTGTAAAACCTAGACCATATTAAAAGCTCTTTGGTATTGTTTCAAAAATATGAGCAACTTAACAATAGATGATAGTTACAAGTCGTCTTTTGTTTAAAAAAAGAATTAACAGCCACAAGCAGCAGGGTCTACACAAGGAATGTTCAAAATGAAATACAGTTAAATACCACATCTCATTCTCTGACACATAAGGTTGATGGCTCACTGCCTCTTAGACTGACACCAAGAACTGAGGACCTAACTTTTGCCTCCCATGTGAAGTCAGAGAAAAATAATACCAATTATTGCAATGTGCACAACATCCACCTTTATGTGTTCAGTGTTTGCTTGGGGGATGTCATTCTAGACAGCATTATCATCCTATGTGTTTCCTACATTAACACTGACATAGCCATTTAAGCAATATCACCATTTCCTTATCCTGGCAAGAGTATCCTGGATATAATCTTAAGTGCTCAAGTTTGCAGTTTTTCATATTCACTCTTTAGGTAGCCTATCAAAGCATCACACCATTACATTTTCATATATGAAAAATTTTGACCATAAGCAGTGTATGAGTTCATACCAAAGATCAGATTATTAGAGAGTCAGAAAATCACAGATCTTTCCCAGTAAGCTTTACTAACTAGATGAAGGATGCAATTAATTATGAAACACTGACAAAGCAGAGGAAGGCATCAACTGCAAATGCAAACAAGTTCTATGTCTGATCACTCTATACAGAAGGGAGTTGTTTTGGTCATGAAATATCTCCATTTCATACTTTGACAGGTACATTGCTTAGCTGACATTTTCTACAGATCAGTGCCCCATAAATTCATACAGTTTATCTTTGGTTACTATAAACCGGAGGTTAGCCAACTTCGTCAGATGTACTTCGCTTTTAATCCCATATTTGTCATTAAAAGTATTTGAGATTTTGGACTTATACTTCATTGTTCTAAGCCTTATATTTTTCATACATCAAATACAATTCTGTAGACATGATTAAATCAGATAATGTATGTAATACACTTAACACATTGCCTAAAAAGTAGGAAGAATTCAATTAAGATTGCCATTGTGTTGTAACCCTAGCACTTTTCTACTGTCTCCTTTTGAAAGTCTTCTCTCTAAAAGTTGGAACCTTATAATGGGAGCAGAGCCTAGTCTCTAACACATTTAATTTAATATATTGCCTTGGCAGTGTTTCTAGCAAAACGTTTAGGTTAGAGAGATACTGTTCTTCTACACTGGGAGCTACAAAATGCTTAAGAATGCATGATATAATTTTGTTTTTCAACTTGACTCAACTACACATGTTGATCAGGGGTTTCGGGTTATATTTACTGAGTTCACCTTTGCATCCAACCCCTGTTGAAGTTAACACCATTCTTTTGCTGCATTGATCATTGGTGAAACAAAGTCCATCTGGCATTCTTCCCAGGTATATCGGCTATAGCTCAAGGTCAAAACTTTCTGTGCTCCCTAAAGGAACCTGACCCCCTTAATGAGGTTTATTTCTTTTTACCTGTGTCTCAGGCCTCGAAACTCCCTTTAACTGCCTTCTTACTGGCTCAAATCCTAGTCAGTTCAAAAGAGATTTCACTTCTCTTATAACTCCCTTCTTTAGATTCACTTTATGTACGGAAAAAGTTTCTTGTAAGTGCCGCTTGAAGATCCCAAGTCATCACGACTGACTAACCTGAATCAGCTACCCCTTTAATTTTTCAAATTTTACCAGTCTTTTCTATTGTGACCTTTGAATCACTCTCATTTATACATCCATATTCCAACCTTTAGAACCAGATAATACTCTTCTGTTAAGGGATCCACAAATTTTTACCAATTTTTATATGTTACACGTTTATACTATTATAGTTTTGTCTCATAGTTTCAAGGTGTTAAGACACTTCCAAGAGGTTTCATAACATGAATGAGAAGTATAAGCAATTTTTCATTAGGATTTAGGGATGATGAAAATGTAAATATAATTACTCAGTGTTCTTTTCTATCAGCATTCATTTGAGTCTCCATGTGGTTATTGGACTGCAAAGAAATTCCCCTTCCTATCATCTCCTTTTGTTCTAAATATATAATAGATTTCTTATGGGAGGACAACATCCATATGGGAGAACAATGTCCAATGCACTTATAATTAACTACTCCTTCTCATCTGGTGTCTGGCCTTCTAGAAAATCTTACATACCTTTCACCATACTAATGGCAGGATTTTTATGATAAAGATCCTTTTTATCACTCTTGACCAGTGATCAAAATTGTGTCAGTTAATTTCTAATACTGTAACACTATGAACCATTTCTCTTTTGATATATCATGGCAAGCAAAGTTAATCTCTTATCCCACTGAGCCCCAATGAGTTGTAAAGTATCTAGTTTGTGTCATGTCATTGGAATGCCTCTATTGTTCCTCAATTATAATTTTTAGTTGGCTATATTTTTCTTTCAATTAGGTTATTAGGAACAAACATTAGTAAAGTTTCTAAACCAGTAGCATTCTCAAAAATCCTTTCCAAAACTAGGGAGTAAGGAAAGAAATGGGGTTGCAATGTATCCTCTCTCTCTTTTCTCTCTTTTGCAAATGTCAGGAGATAATGACAATAAAAATTATAGATCTTCTGCCTATGACTCTATGTCAACCATTTTATCTCTTTATATATTTTATCTCATATAGTGTAACATTGATCGTGTAACGTTTTATCTCATATATAAATATGATGAACGATAAAGATATATATATCTGACACATATATATATCTGTATATATATATATGTGTCTGTATATATAGGCGTGTCTAAAGCAAAAGGCATAATGTCAGTCATAATGTTTTTTCTACTGTTTTCTTTATAGAGCAGTTAACCACTCCAAGAGGTAGTTATTCATGCAGTCTTCACAAGGTCCTAGAGCAGTTTCAACTTTTGATTTTGATATTTGGTTTCAAGAACCATATAGTAAAATATTATGGTTGAAATAGTACTTGAAACATTCTGACATTGGGTATACCAGTGAACCTCATTATGATCCTAGGGTTATTCTACTCATATTTATATTCATAAGTATTATAAACATGCCAGGCACTCTAAAATTGAATAAAATAAATGACTCCATAATGTAAAACAAAATTATTGGGAATCTGTTTATTGTAGCTTGGTATAACCACATAACATCTAGCAAGAAAATCATGGAATAAATGAACTAGACAGGCAATCAGCTACCAGCTTTGGCCTACCATAAACCAAGGAGAAAAGTAAAAATAACGTTAATCATTGCTAAGGCTATTGTGAATAAGTAAACAAGCAAACATACTAACAAAATTAGGCCAGGTGTGGTGGCTCACAGATATTATCTCAGCACTTGCACTTTGAGAGTCTGAGGCAGAAAGATCGTTTTAGCCCAGGAGTTTAAGATCAGCTGGGCCAAATAAGGAGACCCTGTCTCTTCAAAACAAAACAAAACAACAAACGAAACAACCAAACAAAGAACTTAGCTGGGCGCAGTAAAGCACTCCTGTGGTCTCAGCTTCTCGGAAGGCAGAGGTGAAAGCATTGCCTGAGCCCAAGAGATCAAGGCTGCAGCGAGCCATGATTACACCACTGCGCTCAGCCGGAGTGACAGAGCGAGACGCTGTCTCAAAAAAATAAAATAAAATAGCATTTTAAAAAATCTCTAAATGTATAAAGTATATCAATTGCAGATGAGTCTTTGCAGAATGAACATGATTATCATCATTAATTTAAATACTTGACACTGTGTCAGGCAGTGTGCTACCTACTAGGCATAAAGTAACAAGTGACACCACTTCTGACTTCAAAATAACCTCATCTTAACATTCAAATTGCAGCAATTCATGTTTCAAATAAAATATTAAACATAAGCTTACTATTTCTTCCTTTAAAATAAGAGACAACGGAGATAAGAAATGTCTGTTTAAATTTGTATTTTGAATCTTGTCCTTGAATAACTGGAAAATACTAATGTTGGAATTTCCTTTATGTATCGTGTCTATAACTAAGTAGAAGTGCTCCATGGTTGTGTAATACTATACAACTATTTCAAATAAAAGGAGTTTGGATTGGGCTATTTATATTTCTAATCAAATTTCTAGCTTTGATCCTGCTGAGTCTAATTTTATTTGGAGTCCCTGAAAAGACCCCTTAGAATAGCTTATCTGTGTCATGTAGTCATGAGTTCTCACTACATTATAAGCCATTCAAAATTTTAGATTCACATTTTAATGGGAAACTTTCAGCATAAAAGCCACAGCACTCAAATTATTGCTGTGAATACCAAATTATTCATATTAGCATATTCATATCAATAAATTATCTTATTTTTCGACCCAAATCATTTTCAATTAATCTCTCATCAGGGCAATCAGAACTGTTTTGTCATTCTAGAATTAGAGGATTTGCCAATGCATTCTCCATTTCTACTACATTTTCATCATCCTTACATTTAACGTTTTTTTTCTGAAATGTTATATCTACAGCTGAACAGATTCAGGGAGTTGAGGAAATCAAGTAGCGTTGATACAAAATTGTCTGTCTAATTCAAGAAAAGAATGCCTAATGAACCAAGTGCATTTTTATTATCATTTAATAAATATTTTGCCCAATCCTGTCTATCTTTTGCAAGCAATTAAATAATTTTATACTTTTCTTTCTTTTTAGCAGTTTCCCAGCCATGGCACTCTTGTCATTTTGGACCAGATAATTTTGCATTAGAGGACAATTTTATACATTGTAGGGTGTTTAGCATTATTTGTGGTCTCCACTACATGTCAGTGGTACCTGCATATTTATGATATTCAGAACAGTCTAAAGAATTGTCACATGTCCTCCAGGGGACAAAATCGACCATGTTTGTATTATACATACATTTAATGAAATGTAATATAGTGAAAATGTAAAACAAGAATTAGTCATCCAGAATGTTTTCACTGTCCACTGTATGCTAAGCACTGAGGTGGCTACTAAGATGCATAAGATCTTCCAGAGGTGTAGACAGCAGGAGATTTAAGCCTACACTGTAAATGATACATTTCATTCTCAGGAAGAATCTAAGGAGCTTAAATTCTATTTAGAACGTGAGAACTTAGGTAAGAGCCCAAGAAAAATTTTAGTTCCTCATTCTTCCTACCTGGGACTCTTCAGATGGTTCTGCATGTGATCCAAAAATCATATAAAATCACAGGCTCTTCATAGTGATATCTTGAAAATCAAGTAAAATATTAAAATAGATCCATTTTATTATTGTCCAAAAAGATAATTGGAGAGGGGTGCTCAAAGACACCAAAGTTTTTGATAGTGTAAATTTATGCCTTCTGATTCCACTAATCCTTAAAAGGATAATAAGATGACATATAAATATATTTGAATATTATTTGTATGATAATTTAAAAGTGTTTCTTCATTATTTCATAATATTCTAACCTTCTTTTGTTATTCGACATGTTCTACAGAAAAGTCTCTCTATAGATAGATAGATAGATAGATAGATAGATGATATATATATATATATATGTAGAGAGAAAAAATTTCTCTACATAACTATATCTATTTCTATCTCTGTATTATCTATCTGTCTATCTATGTTAGTCCAGGAGTCCAAGACCAGTCTGGGCACAATAGGGAGATCCTGTCAAAAAAAAAGAAAGAAAGAAAGAGAGAGAGAGAACGAAAGAAAGGAAGGAAGGAAGGAAGGGAGGGAGGGAGGGAGGGAGAAAGAAAAAGAAAGAAAGAGAAAAAACAGCTGAGCTATCTATCTATCTAGAGGTATAGATACATATTATATATATACATATACACACATATAATGAGCCAAATTAACAGCTATTTACATACAGTTAACAATATATAATGAAGCAATAATTATACCGTTTTCTAAAAGAATTTGCTAGAAATAGAATATAAATCTTTTCCTAAAACTCTCTAAAGAAGAACAATTTGTGCCCACTTTTCTTACATATTTTTTTCTCAGAAAATTAGTTTTAATTTGTGAATATGTAGAATTATGACTGATTATCAGGGTTATTTGACAGGAGAAATTTCTTACTGTAAAAAGGAATCAGTAATAATTTGAAAATCAAATTAAATATTTAAAAATGACAGATTAATAGTTTACAAGCCTGCTTTCTAAATTACAACATTTCTATCTTGATTTTATACTCTCCCAATCATTGAAATGAGCTTTAGAAATGGCATAACAAGATTCCATTTTTGTGGAAATATCTGTATTGAGCACAGAGAATGATACATACTTTATTCTCATAAACATTTCTTCAAACTGTGATTTGATTGGCTTATGATCCTTTTGGTTGCCATGTTCCAAATGTGAATTAAAGATATTAAAGTATTTTGTATTCATAATACATTGTATTCATCTATAACTCAAGTAACGTATCTATCTATAACTTATTATTCTGGAATTTCTTTGTTTTAATATAGGCTAAATAAATATCCTGGAATTCAATGCATTTTAGAGTGATTTACTTATTAAGTTAGTACTTAAAACGCATTTATTGTCAGATCATACAATTCATGAATTTTAGAGCTAGATTTTACTTTGAAAGCCATCTGCTTGATCTCAACTCCTTGTTATAATGGCTAAATCAGATTAGATATTATATTAGTTTTAATTTACTGTGTAACAATTACCACAAACTTAGTGACTTAAAATAGCAAACATTTATTATCGCCCAGTTTCTGTGGGTCTGTAAATTGGACACCGTTTTGTTAGAGCTACAATCTCATCTAAGGCTCAAGGTCCTCTTGCCAGTTCCCAAGGCTGCTGGCAAATAGCTGAGAGGCTTCCCACAGTTCTCTGCTGTGATCTTTAATTCTGTGTGTCAACTTGCTTGGCCAAGGTGCCCAGATATTTGGTCAAACATTATTCAGAATGTTTCTGTGAAAATATTTCTGGATGAGAGTAACACTTAAATCAGTGATCTTTGAATAAAGCAGATTGCATTCCAAAATGTGAGTGAGCCTCATCCATTTAGCTGAAGACCTAAATAGAGCAAAATAATGACATCTCCCGAGCAAGACAGAATTCTCCCCTCCTGATGGCCTTTGGATTTCAGCAGAAACATTAGTTCTTCACTGGGTCTCAAGCCTGCTGGCTTAGCATAAAGATTTTGGATTTGCTAGCCTCCATTATTGTGTGAGCCAATTATTTAAAATAATCTCTCTCTCTCTCTTTCTCTCTCTCTCTCTATTTGTTCTGTGTCTCTGGAGAAGCCTGACTGATATACCTGCCATGTAACCCTTTCCACATTCCATACCTAACTTGATTTTCCCACTAGTTGAGCAGAAAATCCAAAGGAATGAAATTTTATGGAATGCCTAATGAACTGTTTCTGCTTTAGAAGTGGGGCTTAATATGTGATCTAGGGAAAGTCTCTTCTGTTCTGGCTCACTTAAGTTGGATTGCTAAGGTGGGCCATGTGACCCTAGGTATAGTCTCCAGGTTGACCATCAGCTTGGTGTGAAAACTGACATTCAAGACTATGAGGCTAGACCTCTTATCATGTGTCTTTATATTCAATAAATCTACACCACCAAAGGGTGAGTACATAGCCAGGTTAAATTCAGCTTCTTATCGATCAATCACATATTCCTCCTCACCTCTGGAGAATCAATTTAAGAGGCTGTAGTGAGATTGTAGAGTACAGGAAAAGTTCACATTCCTTATGGATACATGAGGAGGCAGTACGTTTTCTCTATTTCTAATCTTAAATAAAAATATTAAAAATAGTATATACCTTTCTCTGTCTTTCATAGGTTACATAATTGTTTTCACATCTTTCGTCTTCTCTCTCCTTCAAAAATTTGGTGGACAAATAAAGTATGCATACATTTGTCTACTCAAGGCATTTACTATAACTGAGAATTTCTTCAGCTTCCTGGTGACCTTTCAGAACAACCTGCTCCAGTGCTTCAAACTGAGATCTTCAGTGTTGGTTCCACTGAGTATGATAGGTATTTACTGATTTCTGGAGTTCTTCAGAGAAAGAGGATAAAAATCTAAGAAGAAAGTCTTTCAAACACAGAGCAGGCTCCTGGATAGTTTCACTATACTGAAGAGACAAAAATCAGAGTTAAAGAAAGATCTATTATCGAGGAGAAGTAACATTAAACACCTGATGTTTTCGATTGAAAGCCTAGATAGATACATTCTAGTAGGAAGAATAAAACAAAGGTAAATAGAGTCTTACAAAAACTACAAAGTACAATCCAGGTAGCTCAATTCCTAATTAGATTGCAATGATCTTTCTGCCTTATATTCTGGTTGAACATACTCTGAAGGAAAATAACATGATTCAAACCATCTACAATTTTTTTCCTCAAAATCTCTTACATGTTAATCAACAATTGCCAAGTATCTAAAGAAACAACATATAAATATAAAATATGGAAAATTAAAATAAATCAAAATATGTTTTAAAAATTAATGTAGCTCCAGAGATAAATTCAATTTCGGAAGTATAAAACATAGAGTTTTAAATAATGGTGATTAATAGGTTCAAGAAAATACATGATCAGATAACAAATTAACAAATGTTATCAGAGAACCAGAATTGAAAAAATAAAAGAATTGAAGATATTCTAGAGCTAAACAACACCAACTACAGACTATGAATAACATGCCTGTAGTAGGGAGGAAATAAAAAAGATTATTTTTGCTGTAGCAAAAGACAGTATAATAAAAAAAAAAGTGTAAAGCTTCTCAATAGAAGAAGTTTCTTAGTTTATAGGAATTTTAGTCTTAGCAAGATTAGGCAGAATTTGTATACTAACAAATTTGCTGGAGAAGTCAGTAGACTTATCTTTAAAATATTTGAGTGAATGCTGAATTACTGTTAATTCAAGTTTTCTGTAGTCTATTTTTATAAATATGGTTCTGAAGAAAGTGGTGTAAAAGGAGCTGGAACTCAGTCTATGATGTATGTCATAATTTGGTTTGGTATAATTAATCTGTTTTGAGACTCTTACTAAAGTCCATTTTGCTAATTATAATTTCTGGTTTAATTTCCAGTGTAGACCAAATGTGAAAAAAAAAAGCCAGAAGAGCAGGAAAAATAATTAAAATGAAATGATGATGTTGTGAAATGGTAACACTAAAGGTCTTCATGACTTACAGGTTTATGGCTCCACCACCAGGATAACGAAGTCAGGAATAAGATCAGAATGATCATCGTTAGTTTTTAGTATGCTAATTTTGATGTTATGAATTATGTAATATTCAAGTGTTAATCTTAAGTAAACATCGCATTCCTTCTATATAATGTAGAATTTGAAACATATAAAATATAAAATTTAATTAAATGTGAATTTCTTATTTTAGGGAACTGGCAGTTTTCTGTATTTAGTTTTTCAATAAATAATTTTTTTGCATGTTATGCAATGATTCTCAGTAGATCAATGTAAATTTGAAGGCTTAAAAAATTGATTCTCAACTTGTTTTATACCTACTTCTTTATCAATAAAACATGAAATAACAATGTTTATGTAAACACTAGCAAAGATAAAATGATCTAGATATGACAGATTTTTAAGTCTTCTTAGATGTTTTAAATAATTTCTAAATTTTGTTTACTCAATTATGAAGTGTCCTATGGGGTTTTGATAATGATGTAAATCTGTAAGACTAAGGATGACATGCTGAGTTATTAAATTGGCCTCTAAATTAAATTTTGAGTATATCTTAGTTTGACTTTGGCACAACATAAGTTTATTAAGCTCAGAAGTACCTTCAAGTACTTTAAAATGTTATAAAATTTATTTGAGAATAATCAAAAACTTTCTATATAGAATGCTTATTGCCCGCCCATTTTTTAAGAAGGTGGAAATCAGTATCCACTTATTGAAGTTAAACTGACTTGTTAGCTACATAAATAAGAAGCAGTTTCTCTATAATTTGTGTGATTAATAATTTTGCAGGGTTCATAATTCATGTATAATCCCATTTAACTAAGGCTGTGAATGGTATATATGTCATGATTGTACAATCTACTCTCTTCTATGTAATCTTCTTTACTGTTTTAAGTATCTATTCTTCTTTCATCTCTTGAGTTTCTGCTTTATTTTCCTGCATCATTTATTACACATACTGAACAATTTACTCTATTTTAATATCCTTTTAAGAGATAGTGAACTACCCTTTACTGACTGTGCACTATATGGAACCATGTGCAGGGGTCATGGATGGAAGATACAGGACAAATTATTTGTTTTGATGACCATGGGAAGTAGTTGGCCATAAAGACTGCGGGCTTTTCAGCTTTCGCCACATGCTCACAAAGCAGAATACAAACAAATGCAAATATACAAGGTGAAAACCACACTCACGGTTGCCTGAAGCGCCCAGAAGGAGTGTGTGAAGAGTTAGAAACATTTGATTTAAAAAAAAAATTTGGAGAAATTCAAAGAGAAACTGGATTTTAAAACAGACAGAAGAATATCAAGTGGGCAAAATTCACATGCACAATGGTGTCTAGCACTGTCTCACAAATGCCATCTGTTTGTTGAATTAGTTGCAGGTGGGAATGAGCAAGTGATACATAGTCAAAATCAGTCAAGTGAGTCTGCTGGGAGCAGGGAGTCTATAAGGGGAAGGACAAAAATTGAGAGATGAGGTTAAAATAATTTTGGAAAAATTCCAAAATGTTAGAAAGAGCTGCCTGCATTCTGTGTTATAAAGAGTCGAATTTAGAATAGATTAAAAGAGTGCGTGAAGTAGATGATTCAAAAGCAATAAACATTTCTGTGGTATATTGAAAATGTTGTCATTGTGATGGAAAAATGCTATGAAACTAGACAGTTGCAACTTGATTTTATAGTTGCATTAAAATATTTGCATAAGAAGTAGGTTGGCTTGAAGGAAAAAAGGTTGTATTAAAAATAATTCCAATTATAAGCTATCATTATTAAGAATAAGCACAAAGTTATTTTTAAAACAAAGCATGACTACCAATAGTAATACGAATCCAACAATAGTAATATGTGTGCAACCACAATGTATATGTTAATACTAAAAAAGATTCTAATATTATAGGAGGATAAGATTTATGTAGCTTTACTAATGCTTCTGTATTGTATTTAAGTGCTAAAATAATTATACAAGGACTTCATGAACTGTAGTGATTAAACTCAGGCCCATACACAGGCTGTCCATTCGCAGCTTGCTACGCCTGTGAATGATGAAGGTTTGGAATAAAACGGTACTTGTGGAAACAAATGAGTTCAGAGAACACGAATAGTTTTATTGGACAAAAACTAACAAATGTTAGGGTGATGGTGTAGGGTGGAGTATGTAATGAAACAATGAAGGGTGGGTGACCAGTTTATGACTGGGATTCTGAATGGATTCTGGTGCAGTCGCTGAGGTAGAATGTATATGCAGTCATGTTCGTAGAGGAAGTGTTGAAATGAATATTGAGTTTTGACTTTCCTTTGGGCTACTTTCTATCCTAAAGTAAGAAGCAATGTTGTTTTTATGGTACAGTTAACAATGATGAGACGTTGTGTACAAAGATCTAAATCAGGAAAAGAAATGTGGTTTTGGGAAGCCACTACAAATGGGTTGTACATGAGATCATTCAAAGAGAGAACACAGTGAGAGTAGATAAAATGACTCAAAGACGAAAAATATAAATCTGGAGGCTTACAGATAAATCGAAGATTTAACAAGAGATATCTGACAGAAGGCATATCTAATGGTTCTGCTGTTGCTTTCCAGCTTGCAGGATAATATCATACTATCTAATCAATATTTCACCATATTGACTATTTGGATTTTAAGGTGAATGTGATACAGAATGCTTCATCCAGATCATAGTTTCATAAGCCAGCCTTCATTTATTGCATATTTATTGAACGCCACTATATTTTAGGACTTTTTCTGGGATTTGTGGATACATTGCTACATGGAATAAATAGAATTTCTGCTCTTATGGAGTTCAGTAAGTAAATAATAAACAAATACACTTACAAAATAATGTTAGGGAGTGATAAGCACTCTAAAGAAAAATAAAGCAGGATGAGTAGGAGTGGAATAATGGGGAAAAGGTGTTATTTCATGGCAATGATGTGAAAGGCACCTTTGAATGTGTGCTATTTGAACAGAATCCTGAATATTTGGAGAGAGAAAATATACCAGTATTGAGACAGAACTGTGTAGAAAAGATGAATAGCATGTGAAAATTTCTTGAGATGGAAATGTGCTCAGCATGCTTGAGAAGCAGGAAAACTGGTATTGTGTTTGGATTACCTTGTTCATTGGTGGAAAATGCAAGGCTTTATAGATGAAGAAGAAAATTTTGGATTCAGGTAAGAACTATGAAGAAAAGCCAGTGGAGAGGCTGGGACAGGAGAATGACAGTATTGGATTCATATTTTTAAGGAAATATCCAGCCTACCAGACGGAAAAGTGCTTTCACTCCATGGTAGTGCAAGAGCAGGGTGAACAGTGACTATTACACAGGGAAATGATGGGGTCAAACTTTAGTCTCAGAATATATTATGAAGTTTAACGTATTAGTTTTCTATTAATGTCCTACAAATAGCCACAAGTTTAGGGACTTAAATTAACACAAATCTATAATCTCACAGTTTTTTGTTTTTTTAATTTAAGTCAGAAGTTTGATATGAGTCTCACTGGACTACAATCATAATGTCAGAAGAAGTGAGTTCTTGATTGGAGTCTCTAGGAAAGAATTCCCTTCCAGGCTCAAGCAGGTTGTTGGCAGAATTCAGTTCCATATGGTTGCAGAACTGAGGTCCTGGTTTTCTTGCTGTCTGTCTGCCAGGGGTTGTTCTCAGCTTCTCAAGCCCACCTGCATTCCTTGGCTCCTAGCCCTTTTGTTTTCAAAGCCAGCGAAGATGAATCAAATCCTTCTCGTGCCTTCTGGCTTATGCCTCTCTTTTGCCACCTCTCTTTCTCTGATGGTTTTGTCTTCTTCCTCTGAATTTAAGGGCCCATGTGATTACATTGGACCCACATGGATAATCTGGGATAATCTCCCTATTTTAAGGTCAGCTGACTACCAACTTTAATCCCGTCTACCACCCCTATTTTGCTATATAAATATTACATTTACAGTGGTAAAAAGAAAGGGCAAAATTCATAGGGACCAAAATATCCTGTCTGCTACATTTGATCAAATTGATAGGTGATTGCTGATATTTCAATATTTTTACATATGTAAAACATGTGTTTATATTAATAAGAAATAAATAGAAAAGAATCGTAGCTCATATATGTAAAATTCCTTCACAAACATTTAACAGCCATATGAAATTTGTTTTCCCTTGCATAAATACTTTTTGTCTGTATGGAAGAAATACAAAGTTTCTCATTCAAAATGTATATATTTTTTCCAAATAGCATATGTAATATTCTCTCAATTCTTCCCTGATCAACATAAAATAAACTTCCCTCACACCTGCTGCATCATTTATCTCCCAAGAATTACATATTTACTAACATTTTGCTTCTCTATCCATAGATAAGCATCTTACTGCAAAGTAATTGATGAGTCACTTTCTGTATTTCTCAGCCCCTTGCATATGGATGGGTCATGTGATGAGTTATTATCAATGACATGTGAGATGTGTGAAATGGGACACATTAATGTTAAGGCATTTAAGATGTGAGTGTGCTTTCATCTTATTTTCTTTTCTCCTTCTCTGACATTGGCAAAAGTGCCGGCAAATGTAAGCATTCTGATTCCCCAAATCATCTTATGGAGGAAAAGTAACCACTGGCTAGAAATATTAGAAATAAATAAAATTCCACCAATATTTTCTTTATTGTAGTTGCTAGTGCTACACTAACCAATATATAAATTTTTAATTTGAAAAAATTTCCATGAATAAAGTAATATCTAAATCAATTGGCAGTGGCAAGGTAATTAGCTGGGAGGTAGGCAACAGGGAAATAACTGGCACAGGCTGGGAAGATGTAAACCTTTTGACTCCGTTACTTCGGAAGGCAAAACCCATGCTTACTGAGTCTATATCTCGAAGGGAGGTGATTGGTAAGAGCCAGAATGTTACTGTGCATTGTTTGCTCTTTGCTACTTCTAGCAAGTTATTACATGGAATAGATTGACTCAAACAACAATGATCCACTTTGCTAGATAAAACTAAAAGGAAATAGAGTGCAGAATTTGAGGTCTCAGGTGGGCCTCTTTGTATAAAATTGCAGGAAATAATACTGGAATTGTTTTAAGTAATAAGATCCAATAAAATGTACCACTTAAGGAAAGAAATCCAGTAGTGAAGCAAAGATCACATTAAGGTGTAATCTTTCTATGTGAAGCCCTGCTGTTTAATACACCTGACATTTGAAAAAGAGAGGAGCATGAAGAAAAGAAGGTAAATAAGTAAGTACATAAATGAATAAGATGTGACTATTTTGCCCGGGAAAGAATCACGGGTGGTTGCTGACACATGAAATAGACTTTCTCATTTGCCACTCTTTTGTTATCATTTTTGAATATAGTATTTTGTAAGATTTATGCAAATTATAAAAGCATCTTTTATATTAAATTCCTCTAGAATTAAAGTATAGTTTCATACTTAAAAATCACATGCTGGCTGGCGTGGTGGCTCATGCCTATAATCCCAGCGCTTTGGGAGGCCACCGTGGGCTGATCACCTGAAGTCAGGAGTTCGAGACCAGTCTGACCAACATGGAGAAACTCCGTCTCTACTAAAAATACAAAATTAGCTAGGCGTGGTGGCGCATGCCTGTAATCCCAGCCTGGACAACATGGCAAAACCCCATCTCTACTTAAAAAAATACAAAAATTAGCCAGATGTGGTGGTGGGTGCCTGTAATCCCAGCTACTCAGGAGGTTGAGGCAGGATAATCGCTTGAACCTGGGAGGCGGAGGAGGTTGCAGTGAGCCAAGATGGCACCATTGCACTCCAGCCTGGGCAACAAGAGTGAAGCTCCATTTCAAAAAAAAAGAAGAAGAAAAAATCACATGCTATGCTATGACAAAAACATAAAATTATTTCCATTTTATTCACAGTCACTTCCCAATCAACTAAAACTTATTTGCCTTTTAGGAGCTCTTAACTGAAAGGCCCTGACATCTTCCCACTAAGTTTTGATGAAGTTCTAAGAACTACAGTATTTTGAGTGTTTAATATTATTATCAGTAGGATGGAATGCCAAATTCAGTAATCTGTCCTCTTATAGCCGACCCAATTTTATTCTACTCTATAACAATACTTAAAACAAATCGACCACAAGGTAACTTGCATAATACAAAAATGAATTGAAGAAATACGTTTATAAAACCTAACAATAACTTACTGAAAATAGCATGCATAAATTTGTAACAGCTCAAATACACACATTTTACAACTTTATGTCATTTTGAACTATGTGATAGAACTTCTAATCATAAGAAAATTGTGTACCTAAAAGGGCAGTATTCTTTTCTATTTTTTTAACCTGCCTCCAAACTCAGATTCATGGTTAAAATTAATGTCAAACTGAAATTGTCACTGGGAAAAGCACTCTCAGTAATATAATCAGCAGCAAATGATGAAAACACAATCACAAAATATATAGCCAGAGGAAAAAGATGTGACAACGCTGACAAGCAAATGGAATCCAACATAACTCTTCTCTGTGAACTGCTTACTTCCAGACAGATAAAAACCAAGGAGCAACAATGTTACCACCTCCCTTGAGCAATATCATTGTCTGTGAGTAACAAGAATGACAGACATTGACTGTGTTTCTAGATATGTGAGGCTGTAAGGACGTTTATGTATTTTGAAAGACACAGAGGTATAACTGACAGTATAAGAGACCTATATATTTCAAGTGTAGGGCAAAGGTAGACAAGCTTGAGAATATATTTGCCCAGACACTTTCAAGGATAAAAGCGAGTAAAATCAAATGAGACAAATAACATGATAAATTACTGGAAAATAAATTATTTAAAAATCTCTTTTTCCTTGGCTTTGTGCTCAAGCTTCCAGTATCATAAACATGATCTAAAACATAGACAATGCTAGATGATTAAAGAATAATCATCTAGCATTAAAGAAAAATAAAGAATAATTTGCCTGTGGTGACATAAGGATACATAATTAATTGTACTTATGAAGAATTAGTAGACAAGATTCCGTATATTCACTATTTTCTCCAGTAAAATTGCTGTTTTAATGTGCTGATACAGGGCAACTACAAAAATAGAGGTACCAAGAATCAGAATATAAATTTTAAAAACTAGAAATTCAAGAAAATATTTCTTGAATTGTATACTTATGCTTCACTAGAAATAAAGTTCAAAAACATGTTTGAATGTTTTGTAAAAGCTTTTAAAATTAGATTTAATTGCAACTACTTATTGATGAATTTATATCACTGTTTTAAAAATAATAAAATTTGTTTTATGAAATAAAGGCTTACACTAACAATATCAGGTGGTTTTGTGTGTGTGTGTGTGTGTGTGTGTTATTTTAATCTGGATGTACCTACATATAACATTATGAAGTCTACTGACATACTCAAAAATTAATTAAACTATTGATTTTATAGTTGAATTAATTAAAGGTGTTTTCATTATGTATAAAAGAGATCAAGAT
This sequence comes from Homo sapiens, assembly GCF_000001405.40. NCBI lineage: Eukaryota > Metazoa > Chordata > Mammalia > Primates > Hominidae > Homo > Homo sapiens. Next base: position 32,248,325 of record NC_000004.12, on the reverse strand, counting down.
TCATCTGCCAAGGAAGGTAGGATTTTATCTCCTTGGCCTTCACCTCATGTTACTTGTGTGAATATGTTACCTGCCATGCAAAAGAGACTTTGAAGATGGAATTAAGGATGCTACTGTACTTCTTGACTATAAAACTGTAAAATTATAAAGGTACGTTTTTGGAAACCTTTAAATTCGTGGTAGTTTTTTATAGCAGCAATATAAAACTAAAACATTCATACTCATGTGCATGCATATGTGTATACATATATATGATCCTATAAATATCTTTTTAAGTCAGGAACATAATAAATGGTGTCTTGGAGGACTAAAAGAGCTAATTCCTCTTCAGTTATTTCTCTCAGGGAGTACACTGCATATTAGTACGTGATTTAATTTAAATATTTTAGCCTACCTGCAGTTTCATTGTTCCTTAGGGGTAACTGACTTCACATCTTTTGATGCTCATTTCGCTCTGGAGATGGTATCTTTGCATTATTCATGTTTGCCTGCATCTATCTGCCCTATGAGAATTTCAAGAGCTCTAATTTTATGTGTGTGTGTGTGTGTATTTTAATTCTTTTTCGTTTAACTCTGGAGATCATTTCCGTAACAAATGAATGAAACCATTTTATAGGCCTTTCCACGTACAGTGACTACCTACTAAATTTATGAAGTATGAATTCAAGTTGAATTGTAAGTAGGTTCTTAGTAACATTGAGAATCTTCACTGATCATATTACACACATAAAAGTAGTGCAGCAATGGTCAGAGTAAGAAAATGACAATTTTAAAATAAGGGATCATGGCTGAACTACCAAACTACTTGGCAGCTATAGCAAATGGGGACTGCTTAGCAGAGGATTCACATAGTTAGAGTTTCAGAAAGTTTGCCAAAATATAATTATAAATAAAATTTTAAAAATATTTTATTCCAAAATATTAGGTTGGTGCAAAAAATTATGACTTTAGCCATTACTTTTAATGGCAAAAGTTAATAAGTGGCTTTATTAACCACACAATACCTTTCAAAGGGTTATTATAGTTTTTCTTGGTTTTTGAGTGTATATATGAGGAGAATAATGTAAGCATATTGATGAATTTTATTGAGAAGTTATATGATTTAAAACTTTGAATGAATTATATTATTGAATTTTACAACATTTTATGAGGTGTTTCCCCCATCCCCTATTTTCCACATAAGACTTGAGCAACAGGGATGTTAAGAATTCACTCAATCCTAGCTAAAAGGCTGAGAAGCAACGATGTTAAAAACTCAAAGTGAGATAGTTAGCAATTGACAGATTCAAGTTCTGAATTCAGAGCTTATAATTGCCAAACAAGTTGTTAAAAACAGCATACAATGTAAGACTTTTTGAAAAAAGAGGGTCAAGTTTGCGGAGTATGATTTTTTAACATAATTATGCAACATTTACTAAAGTGAAAAATATACCACATCTCAAGATGAATATGACAGAAATATATAAGTACAAGTAGTCTCCAAATAACCTTTCATTAACTATAAATATGATAAAATCACAATTTAGAAAAAGTATGAATGAAAAATTATAAAATTATATGAGCAATGATAATACAAAAATGTATATTCAATATATTTAAATATATTTTGTGAATGATTACTATGTGCCAGATATTTTACTAAGAATTTACACAAACTCATTGAATTTTCCTGGGTTCATTCCAGGGGCATCAAACAGCTTCTTTTCTTTCTCCAGAGAACTAAGGGATGGGGAAAATGAAACAAGACGGGGGGATATAGAGAGAATATTCAATAAAGGCAATGCTGCCATGACAATGGAAGTCACATAATAATCAATAAATTCATATGAAGCCAGTTATAATCACTATATATATATATAAATAGTGTAATTCTTACTTAAAATAATTTTCCTACTCATAGAGTTTTGGCTTCTTTTGGTATCTGTGATTTCCAGCATCATTAAAAAATGTTTGGTTTCCCAGAGAAGTTCTCTGATTTTAAATTTGTGCTAAAGTACGATCCAAAGCTTGCGTCTTTACCCTCTCTTAATTTAATACTTTACATTCTCCTATGTAGATAGTCAGGTGTAGTAGTAGTTCACTCTTCCTTTTTTTCCTTTTTTTTTCTTTTTATTTGTATATGTGTGGTTGGGATGGGTTGAGATAAGAGGAATACAGGGAAATATTTGGATACAATATGAAATACTTATAAAATTGGTTACATCTTAAAGAAAATTTAAGTTATGCTACTGTAGGTTGCTGAGACCAGCTCATTCGGGGAGATGCCAACCCAGTGGCGCTAGAGGAATTAAAGACACACACACAGAAATATAGAGGTGTGGAGTGGGAAATCAGGGGACTCACAGCCTTCAGAGCCGAGACCCCCAAACGGAGATTTACCTACATATTTATTGACAGCAAGCCAGTGATAAGCATTGTTTCTATATATTATAGATTAACTAAAAGTATTCCTTACGGGAAACAAAGGGATGGGCTCTGGCTAGTTATCTGCAGCAGGGACATGTCCTTAAGGCACAGATCTCTCATGCTATTGTTTGTGGTTCAGGAACGCCTTTAAGCGGTTTTCCGCCCTGGGTGGGCCAGGTGTTCCTTGCCCTCATTCCAGTAAACCCACAACCTTCCAGTGTGGGCGTCACGGCCATTACAAACATATCACACTGCTGCAGCGATTTTGCTTATGGCCAGTTTTGGGGCCAGTTTATGGCAAGATTTGGAGGCCTGTTCCCAACAGTAGGTGGTGCCTTATAAATGCTTCATTGGTATATGGACGTTCTGTTATTTGATCCCATATATGTTTGTAGGGTTGAGCATCATGTCAGCATTTTTTCTTTTTTATGCTGAAGAACTGTTGTCTCATGGACCTAGGGGCGTGTCACCTACCCTTAACCCTCCCAACTGCCTCTGATTTTCAATTATCTGAATGTACAGCAATCATCTGGATGATGAATGCTGGTTCCGTGAAACTACCACAACGTCTACCTCTTGATATTGAAAAGTTGCATTTTTGCTTACTGTGGCGAGAGACTACCCTGACAGAGTCTAAGCAGCAACCTAGAAGAGAAAGGTCAGATTCGAATATTTATATTTGGTTTTCTGGCTGAATTGTGTCTTTCAATCCAAGCACTTGATTGATATTAGAAAAATATTACAATAGTTTAGGATAGATGGAAATAGTTAATGTGGGGGCAAGATGTTTGAAGAATTTTGGAATGTAAACAATCATTTGAAGCTATATCTTGGAAAATTGAACAGTTTTAAACGGGTTTTCAAGAGTTCTTTAACAGTAATGTTATTTTCAAACATGATGTTTCTGGTCAAGAGTTCCCTAAAATAGTAAAGTCACATAAAAAAAGATCATGGAATAGAAAACTCATGATAGTGGAGATTGCTAATGATCAAATGATCAAATAATGTAAATAGTAAGGGGTGTGTGTGTGTGTGTGTGTGTGTGTGTGTACAGTTTTGGTTCTCAATGTGAATAGCTAATTCCAAATTTCAAATTAACTTGTCACTGCAATTCAGTTTAAGCCAACTACAATTAAAATAAAATAATTTAGGATAATATTTTTAAAAGTTGATTTGGGAGCTAAAAATCTTGTGAATCATGCATGCTAATGTATATCTATAAGCTCAGAAATGTCAGAATTTATTGTACTTTAAACTGACATCTTACACTTTTGTGACTAATTCTAGGAAACTTATTTACAGTGTTTCCCACTACAGTTAGGAAAGAACTGCTTAAAACGCTGAAAGGATTATTTTTTCCAAGAATATACTGATCTTTTAATAGTAGACTAGTGAATGTTGAAAAGATATCCTTCACAGATTCCAGGACATACATGTATATGCTGGAATACACACACACACACACACACACACACACACACACACACTCATATACATAAAAATATCACAGACACATATTTATTCCAAAAAGAGTAGGAAACAAGAAGAAATATGCTTACAATTAACTGTTGCCTAGAAAATTATAACTGAATACAAAATGTCATGTCCCTTATCTTGTCTCTGTTATTTTGTTTTTTCTTAACTCATCTCCTTCGCCGCTACTGTGATAGAGTATGTTCATACTCAGAACTAGAGCTTTTCACATTTTGCTGTTCAGAGGCTATTTAATTTTAATTGCTCCCCGAGCATAGGCCAATTCAGGATGGCAAGAGCTGAGCAAGAATCCTTCACAGATTCTTTGAAGTTTGGAGAGCTGCTATTCACATTGCCTCAGGCTTCCATTCCCACATTTGTGTGAAAATGTAAGCAGCTGAGCACCTCTGTCTACATGCCCATGTTACTATAGCTGAAAATATCTTGTGCAGATTGAAGATTTTTGTGGCTCTCTGCATAAAGTTTCAAATAAGGATATTAAACAGATGCTGTTTTGCTATATGTATTTAAAATTGCCTTAAAATACTTGATCAAGAAAGAATATCAGTGCTTGAATTAATTAAGCTAAAACAAAGACAAACATTGAACCTGTTATACTAGTGTTTGAGCTTGACAGGTGGGGCTTTGAAGGACAATAAGTCATTACCATACTGGCGAATAAAATCATTAACTGTACTGTGTAACTTAACACATTTAGTATATGCAAAATATGCTGAATAGCACTGATCTTTATAAAAGGCATAATAATTTCTTAAAGCATTCAATTTATTGTTTTCTTGTCTAAATCAACAAGAAAATCATGAGTACATTTTCCAGTTGCTTAAATGTATATATGTATACCATTCTTATCACGTATTTGTGGAAGATGGAAGCTGAAAATAAATAAATCCCACCTAGCTCAAATTAGCACTATAAATAATAACAAAAAACTATTATTTTCAAAATTAATTTTTAAATAATTCAAAAGGCCAGGAGACATGTAAAAGGCAAATTATTTGAGAGACACTGTTCATTGAGTGTTTAATTTTAAGTGATCATTATCAGATGAGAGAAGCACATTTGAAATTTGAAAACAAATATTTTTAGAGGATGACAAGAAGCTTACCAGAGTTTCACTGGAGACTTGCTTTTCTAACATCAAAATGGATTCTGTGCATTCAGTTCCATCTAAAAGGAAAACTAGTAAAAATAAACCACTAATATGTATACAAATTAATCAACAAGTATGGTTCATTGAAGTTGGAAGTTCATTTTATTTCTAAATTTATAAATTTGGAAACATTTTGTTTGAACCTTGTGTTAGCATCTTCCAAGAGCCCTTTTTATTACATTTCAGCAGAAGGGCATCAGTACATTATTTTTTGTTTATCATTTTTCCTAAGCAGCATTTTCCCAGGTTATTGTTGAAACATTTTATTTAGGTCCATCTAGGACATGTTATTCATCTTCCAGATTGTATTTCAAATGGGTATTGCATTCAGCTGCTATTTTTAATAAGAAATCAACAGAGAATCTACTTGTACGATGTACCTTGAACTGGTTTGTGTTTATCTTCCTAGTTCCTCACCTCTGTTCCTAGGGACATCATTGAAATCAACCACCTCAGTTCACTTCCTTGCATCATGGTGCTTTTGGGCACATGTGAACTAAGAAAGAAGAATCTTCCTCTCCAAACTCAGCAATTCAATTTTAAAAATACTATGTTTTGATTTTGTTTTGATTTTGAAGGTGTTTGGGGTTTTGATTTTTGTAATGTTTTGTTGTAAATTGCGGCATAACTAGAAATAAAATCACCATTTGTCTGATTCTACCTGGTAGTTTTCTGATAATATAGGAAAGATTTCTTCTTTCCATATTCTGTTCTAATCTCCTGATGGTCTTTGTATTCGATTCTTGATTATGTGACCAATCTCTTACACCACTAAACTGAAGAAAGAGTATTGTCACTCTTCCCTTATTACTCATTCTTTACTTTGATTGTCTATTAAAAGCAGCAATGGATTCAACATGGATATAAGAGAAACAATAAAGTTACTAGGTAACATATAGAAGAAAAAAAAAGGCCCTACAGAAACTACTAGACTCTATCTCTGCATACAAAAATGGGAGAATCTTGTTTCATTGGTTTTATTTCTGAGAGCTGGACAGGCATGTAAGATAAGGTAAAAGAAAGAATTGTATATTCAAACAACATGATGGTATAACAGAATGAATTTGGCTTAGATACATGATTTTGCTCCCTTTTCTTTCATTCCAATCAATCTTCTATCTTTGACTCCTGGTAGTCGTGTGTGAGAAGAAGAGGTAGGCCATGACTGCATTAATAAGAGGGAGCCTTTTTTTTTTTTAAGAAAACAAAGAAGGTGGAGGACAATGTTGATCAGAGAATAAAAAAGTAATAGACACGCCAAAAAGATAATAGAAGCACACCTTGTCTATATAAGAGGTAACTATCAGAATGGACATATCCTGGTACCCAAGCCAAGAAGTTACAAATGAAATTATGGAAAGGCAATAGAATAATATACATGATGTAGTTTTAGCAAGACCTCATTTGACAGTGATACTCAGCTGATATCTAGGTTAAAATGGCTAACTTTGTCCAAGATTATTGATATTCTGGTACTGTCCCAAACTGCACTTCAGATTAAATCCATACCTTGTACCAAGAAATATTTGGACATTTACCTGGGTCCAGACAAACACCTTATTTACCAATCAAACAAGTTACAATTCAAGGGACTATACTCTTTCTACCATGAGCAGGTCTGTCTTTGGGATATTACCACAAAGGTGCATTGATGTGAAAAGTACTCAGAGATCAAGCTTTAGCTTTTTTTTTTTTTTTTTTCATTGCCAGAATATATATATATTTTATTTTTTCATTTAAAAAATTCAAGATTTTTTACTTCTGTTAATTGACATTGAATTCAGCACCTGGGCTGAAGTCATTCTTTTTATTTTATTTTATATTATTTTTACTTTAAGTTATGGGATACATGTGCAGAACGTGCAGGTTTGTTACATAGGTATACATGTACCATGGTGTTTTGCTGCACCTATCAACCCATCGTTTAGGTTTTAAGCCCTGCATGTATTAGGTATTTGTCCTAATTATCTCCCTCCCCTTTCCCCCCACCCACCGACAGGCCCCAGGGTGTGATGTTCCCCTCCCTGTGTCCGTATGTTCTCATTGTTCAACTCCCACTTATGAGTGAGAACATGCATTGTTTGTTTTTTTGTTCCTGTGTTAGTTTGCTGAAATTATGGCTTTCAGCTTTATCCATATTCCTGCAAAGCACATGAATTCATTCTTTTTTATGGATGCATAGTATTCCACAGTATATATGTGCCATATTTTCTTTATCCAGTCTATCATTGATGGTCATAAAGGACTATTTGGATACATGATGAGACATCACATGTAATACATGGAAATATTAATTTCAAAGTTCAATGGAATTATATTCAAAATCACAATAAATTGTCACAGAATATTAAAATTTAAATGGAAGAATGAATGCAAAAACTAGTCATGACATTTTTGAAAAGTAAATGAAAAAGAATAATTTTTTTCCTGGTATCAAAATGTACAGGATTACGGAGTTACAATAATTCAAGCACTGGATGTGAGCTAGTGTAACACTTTTGGAAAATATTAGCATTATCTTGTGGAACTGAAGATACGTAGATTCTGGAAATTTCACTCCTGGGTATATTATCTACAAAACTGCTGTGAATTTACATGAAGAGACATGCATGTCATTGATTGAATAGTTTTTTAATAAATAGTTTTAAATAGTTTTAAAAACAGTTTTAAAATAGTTTTGAATAGTTTTTAAAAAAGAGACACAAGCTACTTGTTAAGTGGAGAGGGAGTAAATAAATTATGACGTGTTTACACGGTGAAGTTTTATTGAGTCTCATAAGAAGGTGAATACAAAGACATACATGAATCTGGGAAACAAAAAGCTGAATGAAAAATAATTTTAGCAGAATACATACGTTTGACACTATTTTTTAAAAGTCTTAGACAATACATTTAAAATCATACACATAGAATGTAATCCAGTTTAAAAAATTCAAAGGGATAAATAACTTAAAACTCAAAGTATATAGAGAGGGATATAAAGTTTTGGAAAAGGATCCAGGTAAATTTCACAGTTTTGGTTATGTTTTGTTCATTTTATTATTGTGATTCATGGCTTATTTCCGTGTAAAATATATTATTTTGTATGTGTCAAATGTTATAATGAAAAAATGCAAATGTAAATAAGGCTGCATTGCAAAAAAAGAAAATCTGAATATGTGCAAATTAAAAATATCAAAGTCTCCTCACAGGAGGAAACGATGATGAGCAAAGCCAATGAGCACATTGTGTGTTAAAAGTCTGCTCTATGGTATTATCTAAAAGAGGGGTACAAATTCCAAACAGATGCGGAGGGTCAGAAAAAGGTTATGACAAAGAGAATAGATGAGATTTCTTGTAATCATCTAAAGAAAAATTCAGAAGAGGAAGAGAAGATGGTGAAAAGAAATCCATTGCAATAAAAGTAACAAGAATGATATTTATTAGATTATTATGTTTTAAACATTATTATATTTTATAATAATATCTCTCAGACTGATAAAATTTTAGAAACAAAATTCAAAAACACAAGTCAAAAATCTGTGAATATCTTAAAAAGAAAAATAAGGTTGTCTAACATGTATGGATAATTAGATTAGGATCAGATTTGTGTTTTTGCCTTAATCACTAGTGGTAAGAGATAAGTCAAATTCCTGGAAACACTCTTTTTTAAAGTGAATTGTCACTAAAGTGTCCAAATCAAAAGGCAAAATACATTTTCTTCCAGGCAAAAATTTAGAAGTTTTACAGTGCCCTCTGAAAGAATTCATAGCTGTTTTGTAACAAATTAAAAAAATTAATCCAAGAAAGGGAAAGGTGTGGAATATTTTGTAATAATGTTTTTACACCAGAACATGCTTTTATTTATATATAATACTGAATTTTGGTTATTATACAACATGCACTATAACTATTTATGTTTTCCAGATGACCTCAAAATATTATATTAGGTATAAAATTCATTTGTTACATTAATTTTTTTTTTTTTTTGAGACGGAGTTTCACTCTTGTTGCCCTGGCTGGAGTGCAATGGCACAACCTCAGCTCACTGCAACCTCCGCCTCCTGAGTTCAAGCAGTTCTCTTGTCTCAGCCTCCCGAGTAGCTGAGATAACAGGCACATGCCACCACACCCGGCTAATTTTTGTGTGTTTAGTAGAGACGGGGTTTCATCATATTGGTCAGGCTTAATAAGCAGAGTATCAAAATAAATTTCTCTTTTCTGATGACTGGTATCTACTAGAAACCTGGAGAAAATATTTAGTTAAGGAAAAGAGTAGAAATATCTCCGCTAAATTCAATAAAAAGTCAAAGTCTTAATCAAGGAGAAAGGAAAAAAAAAGTATAATTTTTTCAGTGTTTTCATCATTTGCGTGATGTCATTTTTGAAGATGATATAATTATTTACCTTAAATATCTTAGCAATAATATGTAAAAGATAAATTTTAGGAGAAAATAGAAGAGGATTGATATAGCTTGGATATGTTTCCTCCACAATCTCATGTTGGAATATAATCTCCGGTATGGGAAATGAGGCCTGGTTAAAGGCAATTGATTTATTTGGGTGAATTTCTCATGGATGGCTTAGTTCTATCCCTTTGGTGCTATCCTTGCAATAGTGAGTGAGTTGTCAAGAGTGCTGGTTGTTTAAAAGTGTGCGACTCCCCTTTTCCCTCTCTCTCTTGCTCCCACTCCCACCATGTGAGACGCCTGCTCCCTCTTCACCATCTGCCATGATTGTAAGCTTCCTTAGGCCCTCACAAGAAGCACTGTTTTCTGTACAGCCTGCAGAACGGTGAGCCATTTAAATTTCCTCTTTTTCTATAAATTACCCAGTCTTACAGATTTATAGCAACACAACAATGGCCTAACACAAGGATATTTCTATAATGTTAAGATGATAATCTTTATCTAGATCAGTGTGGCATAAGAAAACTCTCTATGATCATGGAAACGTATTCCATGAAAATCCTTTGGCAAATTTCTCACCATCCTCATATCAAATCTATGCACTAATTTTTATCGAAATACATAGCCTCTGTTTTCAGCCCTGTTAATACAGATCCATGCCCTGCTCCTATAAGAGGGATTTATTTTGCCTGATCTCTGGGTCCCTTCTATTTTTGTCATCGCAATTTATGCCATCCAATTATTCTCTCATGCATGTGTGATTTCTCCCCATCCATTCCAATTTTCCTTCAGCATATAAATACGCTAGCACTTCAAATTAAGATAAAAATATATCCTTTGGTTTCATGTTCCTCTTTGGCTGCAACCCTGTTTTCTTCACTCCTTTTTTCCAACAAAAATTGTTTGAATAGCTGTTCATATTCAGCACCCTCATTTTCCCACATTGTATTTTGTTTTTGCCTTATTCTACATAATGTTTCACCCACAGCCCTCCATTCAAACTGCGAAGAGAGTAGACTCCACCTTCACCTTTAAATGTTTTCTTCTTTTGTCTTCTTAATTCCATAATCTTCCATTTTTCTTCCTCTTTCACCAGATACCACTACTATCTACTCACCTTCATCTACTCACCTTCTAAATCTTACCACCAATACTTGTGCATCTCCTATAAACTCCCATCTATACAAACAGGCTGCTTAATGTCCATTTCTCCCTCTCTACCAGTGATTTCTCTATTATTCAACATTCAACCACTTAAAAAACAGTTTAATCTGACAGTTTTTGTGAGTCAGAAATGAAGTGTAGCTTGACTGGGTGTCTCTTGCTCACAGTTTCTAGAGATATTGCAACCCAATTGCAAGAAGGGCTTAGTTATCCCAAAACTGGACTTAGTAAGGGTCGGCTTCCTAGTTCACTCTGCCTTCTGGGCCCTTGGTTCTGCTCGCAAAGCCATTTACTCTTTATTGTAAAAGTCAGCATGCATTAGCAGCTAAGTAGTTTTCACAGCCTGTTTTCTAAATGTAGAAGTTTTGGGATCCAAATGCCTCTTTTTCAGTTCAATCTGGTGATGTTTTTGCGTATGTAAGTGTTTAAAAGACTTTGTGGGTCTTTTATAAATCCTTTTGGGGTTCATTCCACTAGAAAAAAGACATGCCACAAATCTCCTATCTATACCTTTGTCTCCTATTGAGAAGGATGAGAGGAACCCCTCACAATTCTCAGAGATCCTTTGGTTGGATTGAAAAGATTTGTGTAAAACACCCTTAGTCTCCTTCAAGGGTCTTTTATTTGACTGAAGAGCACTCTATGATATCACCTGTATTAGTTGGGGTTCTCCAAAGAAACAGAACCAGCAGGATGTGTTTAAATATAGAAAGAGACTTCTTATAAGGAATTTGCTCGTGTAATTATGGAGGATGGGAAGTCTAAAAACTACATGTGGGCTGGCAGGCTGGAGATTCAAGAGAACTGATGGTACAGATGAAGTCTGAAGGCAGCCTACTGGAGAATTGCCTCTTGCTTTGGGAGGATAGTTTTTGTTCTACTTAGACTTTCAACTGACTGGATGAGGTCCACTCATATTATGGAGGGCAATCTACATACTCAAAGTTCACTGACTTAAAGGTTAATTTTATCCAAAAACACCCTCCAAGTTGACCCATAAAATGAACCATCACACCAGTTTTTATCTTTCTGAAGTATTAAGAAGAGCTTTTACAATCATACCTTCAGTTTTAGCCTCATACCATATTTTTCTGGCAGTTCCCTGGATTCGGTACTTTGAAGCTGTTTCTTAATTTAGCACCTAATTTTAGCATTTTTTTTAAAAAAAAAACAGCATCAGGTTCTAGCTTCTTTTTTTTGCTAGTAAGTAGATCACACAGATCATTAAATACACTTTCCTCTTTCCACATAAACGCAGATGACAATGTTTATTACAGTTCTTCAACTACATAACAACAATGGCCTTTCTTTCAGTTTTAATGTTTTCTCCACTCATCCACAAGCTCCTCAAACCCATAAAGTCTATGAATAGTGTGTTCGATGCACTTTAAGCTTTCATAATCACTCTCCTCAATGGCTACTACCTGGTTCCAACAACACTTCTGCAATTAAGTTAGGCAAACACTCCAACTCTAGGCACCAAAATCTTTCTTAGTTATCTATTACTAAATAAAAGATACCCTAATCTTACTGGTTTAAAACACACACACACACACACACACACACACGCAGAGTAACTCACAATTTCTACATTTGATCTTAGCCAAAAGGCTAAGAAGTGATGCCTCCTCAGTTTCTATGGGCAGGAATCTAGGTGCAGCTCAGCTGGATGGTTCTATCTCTGGTCTCTCAATCATCACAATTTAGCGAATCATCTCAAATCTCCACTGGGGTAGATTCTACTTCTAAGCTCCACCAATGAACTGTTGGCAGACCTCAGGTCATTGCTGGATGTTTTTCGTCCTTTTGGCTTCTGAGTAGGGCAGCTTACAGAATGGCAGGTGGATTGCTGGAAAGTGAATGAGCAAGAGAATGCTGAAAATCGAAGCCACAGTTTCTTTGTGATCTATCCTCAAAATTGACATCCCATCTTTGCTGCCAAATTGTCTTCAGGAAAAGCCAGTCAATAAGGCCAGCCTACACACACAATACAAGGGTGGGGACCTTTGGGAAGCATTTTACAGCCTGCCTGGTACACATAACCACACACTTACTGCTCACTTTTAAGCCACAAACAGGGTTTTCAAAAAGTCGATCTGTATTTTCTATCTCCTCTTCCACGCCTGCCAGTCATTCAACCTGTTTTGTCTTCTGATTTTGTTATTTCACTGAAAATGCTTGCAGTGTGATCACAATAGCCCTCTTATTGCCAAATACAGTGGGCCTTTCTTCAGACTGCCTTTTAGCAAAAAGATTAATCTTATCAATATTCTTCCAACCACATGAATTGCATGACATGACTCTAATTTCAGTTGCCTTTTAGATGCTGTTTCTTCTAGCTTCCTTTATTGTCCCTTCTAACTTCTGTTTGCATGTTGATGTCCCCAGGATCCATTGCCTTTCTCTATGTGTTTTCCTCAAGAAAAAATTATTTTATTCCATGGCTATCTCTTCTGAAATTTCTTAAATTTATATTTCCCTTCTGTGATCTTCATTGACATTCATATTTATACTTCTAATTTCTACACCAATCTTGTGATGTGTCTACTCAACTGTGATATAAACATCTCAAATTTAATTTGTTCAAAATCATGCACATGCACTCAGGCTTCTTAGGGATTGTGTTAAAATACAGATGTTAATCTAATAGAACATAGGGGAGTCTGAAACTACACACTTCTAAATATCCACCAGGTGATGCCAAGGCTTCTGGTCATCAGAATGCTCTCTGAGAAGCAAGAATCTAAATTACACTCCTCAATACGTGGTTCACCTTTTGTACTGGATCATGTAGAGAGATGACCATTTGCCCATATACCCAAGTTAATATATGGGATATCACACCAGAGTTGTTTTTTTCTCTTACTCCTTCTCTACCTTGTTGCAAAATTATGCACATCTAACTTCTACATAGTTGTCTAATGGTCTAATGGTTTCAGACCATTTCTACAATGGTCTCTGATTTTCATTCATAGCTATCAAAACTTTATCTGGATTATTACTGAAGAGTTGTAATCAATCTACTTGCCTTCCTCAAATACATTCTCCATATTACTGCAGGAGTAATTTCCCTATATAATATAAAGCTTGCTATGTGACTCTTCTTTGCTTGCAAGATACATTTTAAAGTCGGACTTTGTATATAAGATATTTCATGACCTAACTTTGCCTACCTCTGAAGTCCCTGTTTTCAGAAATTTATTTCCTGTAATTATTCTTAATTTTTAGGCTTTTTTTCCCTCAAGGGTTCACTTACTAGAGATAAATCTCCTGAAAAGTAACTGTCAGTTCTACAGGGTCAAGTGCTTTAATAATATTAGTCTTTTAATCACATGTTCATCTTTCCCATGCACACACAAAAATATTTATTTAATGAATACCTGTGAAATTAAACAGGATAAGGCATAATGTTTTTACTATTTATAATCAAATATTAAGTCTTCAGCATGTATTAATTATGGAAATAGATATTTTTATTCTCTTTCTAATGCTTTTGCTTTGGTTGTATCATGAGTGTCATTCCTTTTTTTACTTTAGGGATATATTATGTTATGGTGTCTAATTGTTTGGCCACCTGCTGCAACAGTGGCTCACATTATAAAGATATTTGGTCATTAGTCCATACAGTTATTTCACGCATGAGAATTATCATTTTTAATTTGGCACCAGTGAACTAACGCCCAGCATGTGTTCAAAACTACCACCTCCAAAGAGCAATAAAGAGAGTTGAGTAAGTTGATTAAGACAATAAAACTATTAAAATGACTTCAGGGCTAACAAAAATGCTTATATCAACTCATACTGTTTATAATTGCTAGTATTTTTTTTCTATTTTTTCTTAATGACAATAATACAAGCTACTAATTCAGGATGTAAATTTAAATGTACATAAAATAATAATGTAGTTCATAAATTAAAAAAATCACCCATTGAAACTTTAATTATCAAAATATTTCAATGTAAAATGCGCCATGATAAGATACTGAGCTAAATATATTCAAGTAACAGGCATTCAGTCTTCATATAAGAATACTGAGAGTATTAGGAAGGAAAATGTAAATGAAATGAAAATGTAATTGGAGAAAAAAAAGATGTGTTATAAAGGGACAATTTTGCCTCTTTGCTTCAACTCCAGTTCTCTAAAACTACACTGTCTTTTGATAGCACTCAAGTATAAAGTGGAATAGGAGTTTTGAGGTAAATCAAATACTTCTAGCTATATAAACAGTTAAACTATTCATTGCAAGAGGAAAATGGCATTTCTTATTAACATTGTGCATAAAAGTTAATAAAGTTTTCATTGACTATTGTTTATTAGTTACATTTGCAAATTTCACTTCTTAGCTTGTTATTTTTATATTTGATAAAGGAAATGTTAATATAGCATAGTTTTTAAACTTAAAAAATTAACTATAAAATTACATGAAATATTTGCTCCATATTTAATCCAAATATATTAGGAGTTCATCAATATTTATTTTTCACCAGGTAAAGTGAAATAATTTTATAATCAATAAAACAGTATCAAAACAGAAATTAAAAGAAGCAACTAATATATGTTTTATGGAAATTTTTCAGTCAAAAAACAAAGCACAATAATTTTATTAAATAAATAAATGACAGTTTGCAAGGAATGAGCGCTAGAATAATTTGCTTTGCTTTATTTGGTGTTCATTCTAGAGCATGGTTCACAGCAGTGACTATAAATTAGAATTACCTTGGAAGTACTTTATATCCATGAATACCAATCAAATAAGAATTGGTGATGGTGAGAACCAGACATCCATAGTCTTAAAGAATAATCAGATGTTTATCTGAGCAGCCACCAAGGATAATTTCCTACATAGGCTCTTTCCTTGCCATGATCCTATAATGCTTATATAAACAAATTATATGCAAGCTTATATTTATGCAAAAATAAGGTGAAATAAATAATTTTAAATGACTTTAATTTTTTTAAATTTTTTGTTTTCCAATTTGTCAAAATTTATTTTGGCATTTATTTTTTTTAAAAGAATGGTAAATCATATATATTCCATGTTTCAGCCCCACTTTATATAATTTGAACATTTTGTTGTTTTCAGCAGTAGAACAGTCCCAGGATGATTACATAAATGATACGACCAATTCTTAATAAAACCAGACATTCTGACTTTCACATTAAAAATTTTCAGACATTCCTGAAGTTCTAAGAAGTCTTTGAAGTGTCTGAGGCTCTGAGTGATAGACCTGTCAACTCACAGAAATGTCAGCTTAACGGGAGAAAAATGGCTTCCATGCACACAGGTGAGTTGAAATGAAGATTTTGTTTCTTTTAGTTATTTAAAGTTCCAGTTTCTCCTAGGTTACTGAGAGTGAATCTAGCCGAGCCTTGGTGAATTCAAAGGCCACACTCAGAAGAGGCCACAGTTTCTGCTGGAATTACAGCTAAAAACATAAAATACAGCAATGTAAAGCTTTCCTTTTGAGAACAGGATGGTGGGAAATATTTCTACTTTATAAATGTAGCATAGTTTGGAAGCAGGTGCACAATATTTAGGCTATTTCTCATTCAGATTTTTTTTATTGTTTTTAGTTATGTACAGTGCTCAATTTCTGCAATTAAGGATTACTTCAAATAGGGATTTAGATTTATTGTGAACATTTCATTTCCACAAATATAATAGTTCATGTTTGCCTAAGCATGTTTCATAATTGAGATGAAAAGCATTTTTAAATCTCATAACTAGAATCAACAAGCAAACATAACTGAAATATAAAACATATGATTTAAAAAGAGAATAAGAAAATGAATTCATCTTTTAAAAGATAGAAAGCGTGCCCTATGTTGTAGTAAGTTATGGTTCCCTAATGGAATAAATAAAAAGCAGTCATTGTCCTAAACATTTTTATAGTTTACTTGGAAAAGAAAGATAAATAAGTAGATCTAGGACATAACATACTAACAGATGGTAGAGAATTAGAATATGTATTGCTGTTCAGAGTAATTTTTGATAAGTTTTAAATATTTGTGTAGTCATTTTACATGATTAGTTTCAATAAGTTTTTGTGTACATATTTGCAATTATTTGTCTATCAAAGGACTGGCAACAAAGAAAAGAATGACACAGCCATGCTGATATGTTTTTTAAATTTGTGGTAGTTAATAATACGTATGTTCTCAGCACTGAAAATAGAGCAGATTGTAGTAGGCTACAAAAATAAGCGCAAGTACTATACAGCAATCTTAGAACATATGTAAAATAAGTCAAGTAGTTCATAGCATGATTGTTGATGCTATGATAGAAATATAAATTTTATTCAGGTAAAGTATCTCATATTTCATTAGTAATCTAAAATATTTGAACAGATTTGTTTTTAGTGTTTTAGCTTACCAACCTGACATTGTTACCTATCCCATCTCCTAGACAAGAACAAGCCAAAAATATGAAGTTGGCTTATTTTTGAATAAGTAAATACCAAATGTGTTAATCTGGCTCCATAATTCTCTTTTCTAACAAGTTAGTATGATCCACGAAATTACTGTAATGAAGTCGAAAGGTCAGGTTTTTTTGTTCTGTTTTGTTTTGTTTTTTACCATATGCTGAAAGTCCTTTGGGTTGAAGATGGTATGTTTAGCTTTGCTTGAAGGCCACAGTAACTTGTTCATTTAGTGGGCCTTCATATTTGACAATTCAAACAGGGTCCTTCTCAAGTTTTGGTTGCATACATGTGGCTGAAGAAATCCAATTATATCCAGCCACTGGAGTAAGAAAAGCATTAGATCCATGAACCTGAAGAGCAGAGCAAGTTTTTCCCCAACACTCATATTTATGTTTCTTGCTACAAAAATTAAATCTCTCAAAGATAAAAATTATTATTCCTAGTTATGGACATATTGCTAAAAGCTTCCAGGCAGATGGTGGGGAAAAATGAAGGTGATGAATTACATATTTGGAGGATAACAAATATTACAATTTGTAGTCTAGATTGTCTCATTACACATTCAAATGTCTATTTGGCCTTTGAAAATCTCTGACTGCAAAGTTATTGACATAAATATCCTCAATTTATGTAAATACTGGCCTACTAATTTTGCACAGCTTTATTATTGGTCTTGCCTCTATTCTTGAGATTGGTACAGCACAATCTTTCTTAACTACCACCACCCCTCAATCATTTGAAGTCTTTGTATGTATTATCAAGCTCTGTGAAGTTATAAGCAAACCTAAGTTTAATGTTATAAAAAAAATCACAAAATTTTTATTTTTAAGAGTACATTATTTGCAATTTTGAGACCGATCGAAAGGTTTTTATAAAACTATTAGTGTTTACACCTCCTAATTTGGAAATAAACAATATATTTTAAATAATTTTATGTAGATTTATTCACTCAAAAATATTTATTGAGAAAGTGTTATATGACACTGTCTTTACGATTAAAGTTATAAATTGCTAGTGTAATAGGTGTCTCGAGAAACACATTATTATTCTAGAGAAATATATCATCAAAAACTCTCCATGGACCATCTGCTTCAGAATCTTCTGATAGGATAATTTAAAAATATGTTTTCTGAGTCCCAGCTGAGATCACACAAATGCAATTATCTGTCTATGAATCCTGATAATATGCATTTTAGCAAATTCCTGAGGTACTTTATTGAAAAAAGAACAAAAGTTTTGTTTTGGTTCTAAATCTGTGTGGTTTTGGACATTAGAACCTTATTAGCCTAGTTCTATAGTAAAATTTGAGATGCTGAACCAATAGAAGAAATAGAGTAATGGTGTAATGGCCAGTCCCTGGCCGTGTTTAAAGGTTCATTTATACACTTCTATCTCAGTCTCCACAGACAAAATACCAACCCTAGCACCCTAGCATTTGATCATATTTTCTTCCTGGAGAATTATTTCCAATAGAAGGAATCTAGACTTTACTCAGATTTCTTTTGCGATTATTAATGGATGTACATTTTGCAGATGAGTGAATTTACTCCTAACAATCAAGCCCAGATTGATCCATTTATAGTTAATTACAAAACCTTAAGTAGAATAATGGTTAATTATTTCATTGTATTTTGTTTGTATACTCTAACAATTAAAAAATTGGCAGCTATTAGATATTTGCTAAAAGTTAATATTAATCCAAACAAGTTAATTAATTAAAATTAATATTAATGCAAACAAGTTATTTTTCTATAGTTGTAGGAGAAATTGAAAGTTATATGGGTTTTTCTGTTCCTCAATGAGGTGAAATGACATTTTAAAGGACAGGGATAAAAGTATCCCAATATAATGTTCTTAACATAGAGTTAGGTAAAATGAACGATGTGCGCTCTAAATATTCACCGGACAACTAGCATTTTCTAAGCAATTTTCCAGCTTGAAGAAAACTACTTTTCATTAAAATTGTGGCTCATGAGAAAAGTGTAGTCAGGGAATAAAGTGTGTGTGCATGTGTGTAGATGTGTGTATGTGTGTGTGTGTGTTTGGAGAGAGAGAAAGAATATGCTTTTTGAAAACTGTAAACAATTTAACACAGCAATGTATTGTGTTAGACATTAAAGGCCAATAAATGCTATTAGAATATGGTGTTTTGAGGCATATTTCTTTAGAGGTAAGGGGTTCAGAATCAAGACAAATACACATTTATTTTTACTGAAAACTAAATTTGTTTTAAAGTCGTTGAGTAATGTAATTAAAGTCATTCAATTCAATCATTTAGAGTCTTCACCGATACACCAAGAAAGATGAGAAGAGGAAAGCAACTCATAAAGATCATCTAAATATCATTTACAGATTGATTGTAATCAATTACCAATGTCTTCAGGGACTTCATGCTCATATACTTGTGGACTCTGCTGGAGTATGGCTGCTAAATGGTACACTAACGCAAATACAGCATTTATGTGCTTTGTAACATAATCCATCAACTGCCAACATCCATAACTCACCTGACAAATACCTAGGTATTTATTAATTTCAGGTTCTTCTTAATTTTTCTGTTCATTATTCTATCGCTATGCCTATGGATGTATTCATACAAGTCATAGTGTAGCAGGAGAAACTGTTAAAGCAATTTCTTTCCAAAATAACTATCTTTTGCAACAATGAATTCAGTCCAAAAAAGAATTTCTTGACAAAGCATTTTCTTCTTCATCTGGAGAAGAGTTAAAGAAAATAAAGAACAGGATCAAAAGAAAATTATATTAATACTGTTTGAATATTTATTGACCTTTATTATTGGTTTGATAGTTGTGTATAATTATTTCCTACTTTACAATTTCTATACTTTGAAGCCACACCAATTAAACATTTTACAGGTCCATGCCTTAAAAACATTATTGTGTAGAAAAGTTAATTTCCCAATGAATGCAAAGAAAAGCAAACTTTCTCAGACAGTTTTGCAAAGCTAAGAGCTTTATGAGCCCGACATATACAAATAATTATAATAATAATTGCAATGGTAATAAAGATAGATAACACTTATTCAGCTGTTGTAGATATATAAATTTTATATTTAAAAACTAAATTCCAAGATAGATACTATTATCATACCTTTTACATAACATAAACTAAGGCACAGAGAAGTGAAGGTACTTACACAAAGTCACACAGCCAGTAATTTAAAGATTTAACACACAGCCAGTAATTTGTAAGATTATAATTCAAAACCAAGCTGTCCGGCTCCTGCATAAGGTTTCAAATGTTGGATCAATTGCAAGTTGTCAGAAAGGAGCTCTGGGAAAAAATAAAATAAAATACAGTAAAATTAAACTTAAAAGTTCTAAGACTTATTTAGTTCTTGGTAAAGAGCAAAAACTTGGAATTTCTTTGAGGTTTAGGGCAAAAATGACACAGCGATTTATCATGAAAAATCAGGATTTATCAGCTGGCAAATTGATTAGGTTCTCTTTTAATTTAAAAAAAAAAACAAAAATGTAAACATTTGAGTTACTAAAGGGTTTATTACTCAGTAATTAGGCTCTTTGACTTCCTGAGATCAATACCAATATTTAGAACCCTCCATTTGATTGGTACCATGAAGTGCTTTTTTGCTTAGAAATAATGATGCTAGGAATGGTGGCAGAAAAGCAGTCATAAAAGAAGAAGTGGGAAAGAAGCAGCCAATGTCATGAGTTTGTTTGGGAAGATAAAATGAAAGAAAGAGTAGTTGAGGAAGTTAAGGATCTGGAAATTTATTTTATTAAAGCTATTCTTGCTTCCATATTTACCGTTTGGAAAGTCTTCATAAAACCCTTTCAGGTAGAGAGAGTACAAACAAGTAGTCCAATATGAAAAGTATTCAATGAAAGTTCCACTTTCATGTGGCTTCTCTGTATATGCTAAAAGAAGTCTGTAATCCTGGTAGCCAGAAAAGATCATATGTAATTGCATCTTTGTTGTTATTTTCCCCACATTTACCATGCAAATATATTTTTGGTTTACAGCTTTCCTAATGTTATGATATAAAAATATTCTGCAGCTTCTGCTACCCTTTCTTGCTAGCCAGACCAAAGTCATCACAGCAGTTAATTTTTTGCAAGTATTTATGTTCATAAGATCACCTTTTCCCATTTTTATAAGGCTTTGTAACAAGCTCAATAAACAGTAAAAGGATGTATGTACTCCTACATGGGCTTTTCAGCTCTGGAGTTAGTCGGCCTCAATTTTTGCCCAGTCTTCACCACTTACTAAGATGTGATACCTTGTCATCCCTCTGTGCCAAGGTTTACTCATTTGAATAATGGAAACAACCAGAAATATTCGTCTTTTAGGGTTGCTGTGATTATAAAGTAAATTATCATGTGTAGAGCAATTGGCTTGGTGCCAGGCACATAGTAAGTGGTCAGTAAAAAGTTAAGAAGCATTGTTATAATTTAGCTACATGGTATAGCTGGGCAGTTAATTTTCTTCTTCAATTTATAATATCTTATTAAGGATACCATTTATAGAGTACAAATTAACTTCTAGCCACTTGGCTGAGTTTTACATACACCATTTTATTTTAACATCTTAAAAATATTCTAAGGTATATATTATAATGAATTATTTTTACAAAAGAGGCTAAGAAAAATTAAATCATTTGGCTAAATGTACACGTCTAGAAATATGATTAAAATCCAACCCTGTCTGATTGTCCCCATTTTAAATACTTAAATAATTCTTATTTCTTTTAACAGATCCTCTACAGAAGAATGGCATTAAAAGCAAAACCAATAAAAAGCCATCTATCTTTGCATGGAACAACTCTAGTGCTTTCACCTAGCAGATTTACTGGCCAGATTCCTCCTCAGGACTGAGGCTCTCATTCCTCCACTGACTACAAAATGTGACTGCTGATAACTCACAGCTGAATCCCACTTCAATACAGAGGAAAATGCTTTAGTCATGGTTAAGTTCTTCAGTCCTCATTCAAATGCCTGGTCAATGGAGAGATACAAAATCTGGCTCTCCTTATTCCAATTTGGATATCACTGAAGGACCAGCCCAGGTCCAGTATTATCATGTGATCTGCTGGGTGCTTGTTGTAACCAAGTTGCAGCTTAATTTCTTGTTTTTTCCATTTCGGCTTCCCTCAATCTTTACAGTTATGATATCTCCAGTTCTCCCTCACAAACTACCTGCCCTCAAATATATGTCTCAGAATCTGTTTTTTGAAGAGCCGAAGTTCTGATAGGTCTCCTGCTGTTTCTTAGCAGTATATGTTAAAGCCTATGAAAGAAAATATATGT
Organism: Homo sapiens; assembly: GCF_000001405.40. Taxonomy (NCBI): domain Eukaryota; kingdom Metazoa; phylum Chordata; class Mammalia; order Primates; family Hominidae; genus Homo; species Homo sapiens. Next base: position 32,226,012 of record NC_000004.12, on the reverse strand, counting down.
TGCAGAAATTTCCAATACACTAATTCTGTGATGATTTATTGGAAATAAGCTAGTTTTTTAAAAGATATTTCTACTTCAAGTAAGTTTTAATAATTCTGAATTCAATAATAATTAGATATTATATGATAGGATTTTAAAAAACATTTTTCCTCTGTAAAATCAGTTAATTAATATCTGTTAATAGCTTTGGAAAAATGAAAAAAAAAGCTCATCTCTTCCTAAAGTTTTTACTATATTTCCACGCTCATTTTATAAGTATGAAAAAATTAGAGCTAAAACACCCTGTTTACAAAATGTACTCTGGCATAACTTTAGTAGACGTAACATTGGTTGCTGTTGAAATGAAAAAGACCATATAAAAATTGCAATTTCTCTAATATTTTAGAAAACAGTATTTTATCATCACGATTTAGCCTTTTGAAATAATTTGATACAAACTCTGCATTTTATAGATTTAAAAACCGAAGCTTAGTTCAAACAACAATTTCATGACAGAAAATGTATAAACATATTTATATGAATTTTTAAAAATCAGTGATAAATTCTGCTCTCTTATAAATACTATTTATCATCTGTAGAGAGAAAAATCTAATAGTTTAGGTGATGTAAAAGGGAAACTGTGCCCAAAATATATAAGAAATTTTTATAAATCAAGAAAAAGTTTCCAAAAATAGAATATGAACAGAAGAAAGAATCTAAATGTCCATTAAATAAACTAAAATACTTTAATTCCAGGCCATTTGCGGTGGTTCACACCTGTAGTCCCAGCACTTTGGGAGGCCAAGGTAGGCGGATCACTTGAGGTCAAGAGTTCGCTACCAGCCTGGCCAAAATGGTGAAACCCCGTCTCTACTAAAAATACAAAAATTAGTTGGGCATCATGTCACTTACCTGTAACCCCAGCTACTCAGGAGGCTGAGATGACAGGGCCGCTTGAACCCAGGAGGTGGAGGTTGCAGTAAGCCAAGATCGTACCACTACACTCCAGCCTGGATGACAGAGTGAAAAAAAAAATTAATTCCTTTTGATAATCAGAGAAAATATATTAAAATAATTATATGGTGGTATCACATTAGCATATATTAAAATTAAATTCAATTGAAGTAAAAAATATCAGAACATGCTACCTTAAAATATGTCACCTTAATATATAAATTATTTTGAGCTGAAGGTAACTGAGAATCAAAAGATAGAGAAAAAAACCTCTGGGACCTTCCTTGTCTTACTAAAAGCAGAAACTTCTAGGAAATGAGGACTGCCACAAATCCTGTCTACAAGGAGGTGCGTGACCATGAGAAGACAGGAAGCTAGTACTGGAATTAGTCTGCACAAAGAAAGATTATTAAAATAATCCTTTTCTTTAATTGGTTTCCACATATATTGACCTTCCCACAATTTACTAACCTCAGAAGTTCAAACTTCCCTTTCTTTTCTCTAGTCAATTCTCCACAGTTTATCACTTTTTGTTAAAATGGTATATATGTTTCTGAGTCAAATACTTCTGTAGGTTTTTTCTTCTTTTGGTGATACTCTCATATACATAAAAATATTAATAAAATACATAAGACTTTTTTTTTTTGAGATGGAGTCTTGCTCTGTCACCCAGCTGGAGTGTAGTGGCATGATCTCGGCTCACTGCAACATCCACCTGCTGGGTTCAAGCGATTCTCCTGCCTCAGCCTCCAAAGTAGCTGGGACTACAGGCACGCGCCACCACAGCCAGCTGGTTTTTGTATTTTTAGTTGAGACCGGGTTTCACCATGTTGGCCAGGATGGCCTTGATCTCTTGATCTCATGATCCACCCACCTCAGCCTCCCAAAGTGCTAGGATGACAGGTGTGAGCCACATAAGACTTTTATGCTATTAATTTACCTTTTATTAATTTATCGGTACAAGCCCGGCAACTGAACCTCAGAATGTAGTAAAAAAGACATTTTTTTTTCTCCTCTGCACTCCTATTGTGTCTGACAAAGTTCTAAGAGCTTTATCCTCATTGTTTCTTTTTCTGAAAATGTACAGCAAACTAAGGAATGAGTATCTTCTTCATAAACATGAGCAATCTAAAACTCAGGGCAGTTAAGAAATGTAAAAGAAAAACAAAGGTAAAATTTAAAACAAGATTCAATATTATTGAACTTCAAAGTCTATAAATCTTCATTAGGACATATACACAGCCGACTTTTGAAAATCACAAATTTGGATTGCATGAGTCCATTTATATGTTTTTTTAAAAATAAATATTTTGAAAATTGTTTTAGAGTTTTGCAACAATTTAAAAAACTCACAAACCATGTAGTTTAAAAATACTGAAAAAAATCAGAAAAAGGTATGACAGGAATGTATAAAACATACGTAGATACTACTGTTTTTGTATCATTATCATAAAATATGCACACACATTTTAAAAAGTTAAAATTTATCAAAACTCACACACACAAATACTTACAAACTGTCTATCAGGCCACTCACATTTGAAAGAAATGTAAGCAAATGTAAAGATGCAGTATTACATCATAACTGCATCAGATTCACTGTAGTACATACTGTACTTCTCTAATAACTTTGTAGCCACCTCCTGTTGCTATTACAATGAGCTCAAATGTTGAGAGTATCTGCTTAAAACATCTTGTGATACTCATCATCTCTGCATGACCATTTTGTCTCTCCAGTAATTTGCCTGCCATAGTAAAAAGTGATTTCTCATGGTTATTGTGTATTTTTAGCCATGTTTAGAGTAATATTATCAACCTTGAATAACATCATGAGACCCATAAAAAGTGTTGCTAGTAATGTAGAAGCGAAGTCATGACATAACAAGCAAAAGTTGAATTGCCTGAGATGTATTGCAGATTGATATCTGCAGCTGGGATAGCACACCATTTCAAGATAAATGAATCCAGCATAAGGAGTATTGTAAAAAAAAAAAAAAAAAAGAAAAGAAAAGAAAATTTCTGAAGCCATCACTGCAGCTATATACCCCAGGCATAAAAACCTTGCACTTTTAATAAAATACCTTTTTATCTCATATTGGAAATGCAGCTTTTACATGGGGGCAATATTGCTACAAGAAAGACATACCTATAGACTCTAATATGAGTTTTTAAAAATTTGAAGTCATTATATTATAAGATAAAACAAAAGGAAAATGAGAATCTAATGTGAAGAATTTAGAGTCAGCAAAGGATAGTTTAATACTTTTACAAAGGTGTTTGGTTTTTAAAAAATGTCAAGATAACAGAAGAAGCAGCTTATGCTGACCAAAAAAACAACAGATGGATTTCCAGATGCCGTTAAGAAAATCACTGAAGAGAAAATATTTGCTTGAACAGGTTTTTAATGAAGTAAGTGCTCTATTCTATAAAAAAAAAAGCCACAAAGATCATTAATTTGTAAGGAAGAGAAGTGAGCACCAGGATTTAAAGCAGAAAGGAATAGGCTAAGTCTACTGTTTTGTGCAAATGTTGGTGAGTTTATGATTAGGGCAGCTCTTATTTGTAGAGCTGCTAACCCCCAAGCCTTGAAGGAAAGTGATAAATGCCAATTGCCAATCTTTTGTTTGTACATGTTTCTCGGACAATGAGAATACATTTTCCAGATTGGCTCCACTGATGCTTTCTTACTGAATTCAGAACCTACCTTGTCAGCAAAGAACTGTCTTTTAAAATTGCTTCTAATATTGGACAATGACCCTGGTCACTCACAACTTCATGAGTTCAAAACTGAAGGCATCAAAGTGATCTTGCCACGAAAGACAATGTCTATAATTCAGCCTCTAAATTGGGGTGTCATAAAGACCTTTAAGGATTACTCTATGAAAAGGATTGTCAATGATACAAAAGAGAACTCCAATAGAGAGAACATGTTGAAAGTCTGGAGGGTTACACCATTGAAGATGTCATTGTTGTTATAGAAAAGGCCAAGTTTTTCAAGGACCAACTGTGTTTGTATGTGTTGGCTGAATTAGAAGATACAACTTTGTGAAAAAGAAAACTTTGAGCCTATTTCTTCTTAATTCACAAAGATAGAGACTATGCTATAATTATCTTTGTATCTCTAGTACCTACCATAGCAAAAACAACAAAGCTAAAAATTTGATTACATCCAGCACTAAAAGGCTGGTGTCATATTTTTATATCTACAATTTGTAATATTTTGATAACACATTCTAAATTGTGGAATATTTTTATGTCTAAATTTTGTAATATTTTGAGAACACATTCTAAATTACTACCTGGTTCACTGTGAATGGCTTAACCTGGTTAAATGTTTGGCTTGCAGAACACATACATAGAAAACTGGAATCATGCTCTCCATGATAGTAATTATGAAAAATGTATATGACAACTATTAATATATCAATGTACAAGGTACATTTCTTCACAGTATATTTTGACATATCACTATTTTTACCCCAAATAGTTATAAAGCAGAACAAATCAATGTTCTATAGTAGTTTTGATGCAAGATGGACACAGATCTGTCTTTCAATGAAGCCTCCATCTTAGCTTTGGTGAAAACTGCTACATGAAAACCAGAGGCATAGAAAGGAGCATTCAGATGAGAAGAAACCAAATCAGCAAAATACCAGGAAGCTCCAGGTGAACATTCTTTGTGCCAGAAGCTAATTATATGTGGTGAAGAAAACAAATTTCTGTAATACCTATCCCCAAATTTGAAAAAAATTAAATAAATTGAATCTTGGCTGTCAAAAAAAATACTCAATAATAGGTAAATATTCAAAGCAACACCTAGGTCAAGAGATATAATGAATTTTCAACAATCCCAAAGACATCTATATATATTAAAAATTATAATACAAATAAGGAGGCCGGGTGCAGTGGCTCACGCCTGTAATCCCAGCACTTTGGGAGGCCAAGGTGGGTGGATCATGAGGTCAGGCATTAGAGACCAGCCTGGCCTACATGGCGAAACCCTGTCTCTACTAAAAATACAAAAATTAGACAGGTGTGGTGGTGGGCACCTGTAGTTAGTCCCAGCTGCTCGGGAGGCTGAGGCAGGAGAATCACTTGAACCCAAGAGGTGGAGGTTTCAGTGAGCCAATATCATGCCACTGCAACACAGCCTGGGCAACACAGCAAGACTCCATCTCAAAAAAAAAAATAAATAAATAAGGGTTAACCCAATTTACTGTCACATTCTTGTTCAGTAAGAATGCCTTCTCTCTTATTTGTGTACCTAACACTTGCTGATAATTATAAGTTTATTATGATAAGTTCATTTAGTCAAGATTCCTTATGGAAGCTGATTTCATAATCAGAGTAATTAGTTTAAGGAGATTTTAGTAAAATAATTTTTTTAATGTGGGCAAGATTTAAGAAAACCAACAGGGAATAGTTCAGTATAGCAGGGTTAGCAAAAGAGAAGCTGTTACCAAACATGGGAAAGGCAAAAGCAAAGGAGCTATTGGAGAGAGACATAGCCCACAGCAACCCAGGAGAGATGAAGTATATATTTCTGAAAATTACTTTGGGCAAAGAACCAAAATAATACAAACCAGTGCTGGTATGGATACTACTTTCATCGTGGTAAACAGCAGCAGGCCACTTTTGGGAAAGCTTGAGGGAAGATTCACAATGTACATCAGCTGCCATGTTGTAAGATCTGTTCTCAGAAAGACCCGGTATGCCCAAGGTTAGGTCAATCCAAAGCTATGAAGTGGTTAATGCCTAGAAACTTAGTATGAGGCCATTTATCCTCACAACAGTGAGTTGAGTTAGGTGTCTACCTGCTTAATGTGGATATAGTTTTGCTGTTATATGTCAAGCAGCATATTAGTAGCTGATGTTCTATTTTGTTTCTAGCAATATTGTGATAAATTACCCAACACCACAGATACTTGTGTGCACAAATTCTGACCACCATTTTTTGTGTATGGCTTATTGTAATAATTCCTTCTACCTTATCTCTGGTAGTTAAGTCCTGTCACCCACCTCTACTACTTTATTATCCTCATGCCCAGTGAGATCAGAAAATTCAACTTTATTATAGCATCCCACAGTAATCTCTGGCTCACAGAAGACAGCTACCATTGAGCATTTCAAGGATGTTTACAAACCCTCTCATCAAAGCATTTCTTAGTATAATATCTTCCAGTTGTTATCATCTGACTCCTTCAGTTGGTATGAAAAGGCAATGCCTTAACAGATTTTACATGACACATTTCTGGCATTTTTGACTCGTAGACTATAGGCTATTACATTTACCAGGCTTTAGTTAGTTAATTGAACAGATCACTGATGCCACACCCAGGTTCACAAGATAGTACATTCATCTTGAATTTGAGGATTATGAAGCCATGTCAATAGATTTTACCCAATACAACATTACAGTTTATCCTCCTGGACTTTATACCCTGGAACACACTCACATAGATGCTTCTGCAGCCTGAGTGATAGAAATTGGGAATCTTTCACAATTTTTTGGCCCATGTCCTCCAAGAGTAGGCCACATAATTGTAAGATGCATGCCATAGATTATCAGTATTTTCTGGCAAGGAAGCTATATACACATTCCTCAAACATATGAGCGATCCAATCCCAGAATTCCATTTCGAAGGTCTGTTTCCTAGGGTCACTCCTGGGTACCAATTGTTGTATCACTTGTTATCTTAGCAGGAAGCAGTTAGACTGGGTAATTCTAGACAAGTTTAATAAAAGAAATATTGTAATATTCAGAGTTTATGAAAATCAAAAGGAAACGTACAGTATTCCAGTACTAATATGGTGGTTTTCAGATTAAAAAGATAGTCATCCTTAATCCCTGCAGTTCTAGGTGTACCTATTGCTCCTTTCATTGAGAGGCCATATATTTTTCCTCCTCTTCATTTCCAGCTGCCTTATGACTTGTTTTGACCAGGAAGAAAATGTCGTTAAAGTGACGCTGAGTCATTTTTGAGACCAGCTCTAAAGAGGCCTGACTGCTTCTGCTTTCACTCTCTTGGATCCCCGAGCCAATATGTAAGAAGCCTGGCTACCCTCCTTGAGGTAGAGAACCATTCAGGTCTCAGTATTTTCTGACACCCAAGCTAAAACTTCCAGCTGGATCCTGCTGCATGTGCTATCCTAGCCAACACAATGTGAAACAAAGATAAATGGCCCCCCAAGTCCCTGATACAATTAAAGAATCACAAAAAAAGTGAATATTTGTTGTTGAGTTACACAATTTGGGAGCTATTTGCTATGTGGATAACTGAAATAGCTAGTAACAGTGAATCACTGTATCACTCTCAGATCTGAAGTATATGTATTGTATATACCTTTCCAGGATGAGCACAAATTCCAGCTTCTCTTTGAAATTTCATGCAGAAGTAGCCTATGAAACCTCTGGATTTCAGCCAGGCACAGTGATTCACGCCTACAACGCCAGCACTTTGGGAGGCTGAGGGGGGTGGATGACTTGAGGTCAGGAGTTTGAGACCAACCTGGCCAACATGGCAAAACACCATCTCTACTAAAAATACAAAAATTAGCTGGGAGCGGTGGCACACACCTGTCATCCCAGCTACTTGAGTGGCTGAGGCAGAAAAATCACTTGAACCCAGGAGGTAGAGGTTGCAGTGAACTGAGATTTAAAAAAAAAAAAAAGAAACCTCTGGTTTTCTAAATCACTTATTGACAAAATAAGGACTGTATCCTTTATAACCAACATCTTAATTATAATTATTTTAATTATTTTTTCTCCCCAATTATGTTGTTGATCTATGCTATGGGAAATCATTTTCATTTGACTCTCGATATAACCTTGAAAACATTTCCATGAATTAGAGTAGGAATTAACACAGAAAAGACTTTGTGTAAAAATACATGACAAAGATGTTCATCAACAGTGGTCAAAATATTGAATTAGACATGAGATTAAATTTTCTTAACAGAATAGTAATTTTAAAAATTCAGTGCATTTATATATTCACTGGCCATTAACAAAGAGTAACTACTACATTCATAAAAATCAATAACTTTTATTTCTACTATTCAATAATTGCTATCTTTTATCCCTAAAGACTAATATGCTTGTGATATATATATATATATATGCATATATATATATATATGCATATATATATATATATATATATATATATATATATATATATATTCAGTATCAGAATTTGCATCTAAAACACTTACACAGAATTTATAGGTTTTTCCGAATCATTATTGGCCATCAATTATATATGTCACATTGTAATGAATACAGTTTTCAGACATAGTGATTTTCATCATTAGTATGATAGTACCTTTAATCTATGATGAATGAATATCCTGTTAGGAAGCATGAAATTAGTAATTGCTAAAATTTGAAAAGTACTTCCTATATACCCTGTGCTTTCCTAAGAGATTTTCACATTAACTCATTTAACCCTCACAGCAGTCCTATGAGTAATATTATTATGATCCCCATTTTACTAGTGAGGACACTAAGGTACAGAGAGATTATGTGAAATTTCTACATGTTAATTGGCTGCAAAACCAATAGGATGGAGTATTATTTTTTATAAGGTCCCAGCAGCTATGTGGACACACCTTGATATGTGAAGTTTATCATTCCATTTTCTTTTAACTATTATCTTTTGGAGTTACTGTAAAGGTAAGTTATCAAAGAAGCTCAGTGGTTTTTCTCCCTTCTTTTATTTTTGGGTTTTCTGTATCATTTCTTCTGTTCCATCTGAGAACATGCTATCTGTTTACATAGTGTGTAGAAACACATAGCTCAGGCCTCTTAAAATTTTTCACAGATAGCTTAGTCAACTTGCATTTGATACATTTGATATGCACTATTTGTTTGTAACACTGGCAAGAATATTTTATTTATATTATTATTATTATTATTTGAGATGGAGTCTCGCTCTGTCGCCCAGGCTGGAGTGCAGTGGCACCATCTCGGCTCACTGCAAGCTCCACCAACCGGTTTCACGCCATTCTCCTGCCTCAGCCTCCCGAGTAGCTGGGACTACAGGCACCCACCACCACGCCCGGCTAATTTCTTTTTGTATTTTTAGTAGAGACGGGGTTTCACCATGTTAGCCAGGATGGCTACGATTTCCTGACCTCGTGATCCGCCCGCCTCGGCCTCCCAAAGTGCTGGGATTACAGGCATGAGCCACCGGGCCAGCCTGGCAAGAATATTAAACCAGTTCACACTTCGTTATGATTGAGATAGTAATGATGGGAGTGATGGCCCGTCTGGAGTGGCCACTGCCACGACACCAGCTGCAGTGGGGAGGCATGGCAAGGGCCACACACTACACAGAGCTGGTGGGAACTGGGAACCGGCAGAAGCCCCACCCCCTTCCAAGTTGGAGGAGCGGGAGCCTCACCCTCCTAGGCACAGCTGTAGCTGCCCAGCAGTGGCAGTGGACCAGGGCATCTCTGTACTCTTGGGGACCCAGGAAGCACCTCTGCCCCCTCAGGTTCAAAAGTGCCTGCTCCCGTTGCCTGGCCTCTCCCTGCTTCTGACGACCCCACCGATTTTGGAGCAAAGTTGTGGCTGAGCCCAGGTGCTGTCACAATCTGGCTTGGTGTGCACGCATTCGAGGCAGTGCTGACAAGCCAGCCCCTGCCACCTCAGCCCCCTCTGGACATTGAACCCTGACGAGCACAGGACGGAGGCTGAAGGGGGCTGTGAATGGCTTGGTGTGAGCCTGCAGACACCCCTCGGCACAAACAGCCTGGGTGCCATGGGCACCATGGACGGCAGGTTAATGTTGGCAGGAAGCAGACAGGCTCCTGGGAAGAAAGGGATAGGTCCTCAGTGAAACCCCACCTTCAGGCCAGGGACGGCCTGAGACCTGGGGGCTGGGCTGCCAGTTCCATGGACTGGAGTTAGAAATTATGGTGCTCTTTCTAGGCCCACCCATGGCTGCCCATGGACCAATCAGCATGTACTTCCTCCCCTCTGAAGCCCTTGAAAACATCATAGTCAGCCAGACTCAGGCAAATGAAGGGATGAAATGCTTACAGAGAGGAAATATGTATTGTGGGTCTCCGCTCCACTGAGAGCTGGACACTTGGGGATGACCTACCTGTGGAGAGGAGTGATCCACTTTGGGTCTCCTCTGAGCTGTTCTTTTGCTCGACATAAAGCACCTCTTTGCCTTGCTCACCCTCCTCTTGTTCAGGTACCTCATTTCTCCTGGATGCAGGACAAGAACTCTAGGCCTGCTGAATGGCAGGACTGAAAGAGCGATAACACAAACAGGGCTGAGACATACCCCTTGCTTGCCACATTATGGGCCATGAGAAGGAGAAAAGAGTGAAGGAGAGAAGAGCTGCAGCTCTTCTGGGAGCCCAGATGTAGGAGCTCCCCAGGCCAAGTCTGTGACACACTCTTTGGGGCTTTGTGGTTCCTGGCATCTCCAAGCTTTCGGGTGCCACTGCATTTCCCAATGCCAGCTGTGGAAGCTGCTTGCAGTATGCCTGGTCCAGCTACAGCCTCTCAGAGAGCCAGCACCTGTGCCGGCACCTGGAGCTGCCAGCCCCACCACAACTGGCGTGCTTTGCTGTATGACCTGGTTGTGCCGCACGCTCACTCGCTCACACACCCCTTGCCGCTCTGCACCTGGTTGCCGCTCCGCTCCTGGCTTATCCTTGGCAGGTATGGGATCTAGACTGGTAGAGCAAGCCAAGTGCAGCCTGTCAGGCCACGTGAGCAGAAGGAGCCCAGCAAGCCTGAGCAAAACTCAGGCAAATGTGCCACTGGTCACAGAGGTTTCCAGCCAGAAAAGCAACACCCCAAGATCCTGTGACAGTAAGTTAGGCTAAAGAGAATCATGATTCGTAAATATCACAGTCTTCAAGCAGAGTTACAAACTAAAAAGCTAAGTGTTTACCTGGGGAAGAAATTGTGGAGGTGAGCCATGCTTCCACTTAAAATCTGTAGACCATATATGGCTGTCCCTACTCTCATTAAAGAGCAATACATGGAGCTATTTATAAATTAATTTTTCTATGCATTTTGAATTAAAATAATATTCCACGTAAAATATTCCAGTAACATTAAATAAATTTAAAATGTTCTATTTATCTTTCAGAAATAAATGTTACTTTTCTGCTGCGAATGTGTTCATGGAATCACGGTGCAGGTATTGCTTTGTATTACCTGTAATTCTGGTAGGTAGCATTTGTTACTTCCTCACAAAGATACAAAGAGAAAACTGATTTTAGTGCATTAAAAATACTGTGCTCCATGTAAATCAACCTTGTACACATTAAATAAATATAATGATGTTTTTGCCAGGTAGGTAATTGTCACCCAGTAGAGTTAACACACTTCGTTCAAATGAATGGAGAAGATAAATAAGTCTAACTGTGATAGACTGAAATAATTTCCATTTAGAGGCAAGGATGTCAATGAATAGTAACAAATATTTTTTGTCCTTGAATATATCGAAAAAGGTTTTAAAACTGTGTCCAAATTTGTTATATATTTTATATATACATAGAATGCTTTTCATGAACTCTTGATTGGCTCTTGTTCCCAAATCACTCTGACACTCCCACTGTGCGCTCACGGAATGGTGCCTATAGGACGCATTTGAAGGAGCAATTTCAGGCATATTTTGTCCTTAGGGAGGTAGGCAATCCAATCCCACATCATATTAATTGTTCTTCAAATTCAGTTCCATTGAACAAACCACACATCTGCCTGGCCTCCCAATTTCTTTATGACTAAAATCCTCACTGTGTATTTGAATAAAGTAACAGACTTTATTTAAATATCCATTAAATGAATTCCCACCCATGGCTAGGTGATATGCTAGAGAAAACATACTACTGTTATGACTGCAAAAATCAGTATAAAAAGCCTACATTAATTCTTATGTAATGGGTCTTATCTTTCACTCAAATAAATGTATAAAAAATTCTCTATACTCATAACAGCACTTTGGCCAGAAAAGACTTAAACAATGAAATTGGGCAACAGAACCAACTGCTGAGAAACTGATGAGTACTTAAATACAGCAAACATAAAATATATAAAGAAAATGAATCTGCATGCATTAGTGTAACAAGTGAAAACAGTATAGAAATGTAACAAGGTGGATAAAGTATAAACCATAGATTAACCTTCTTATTGGTTGTGTGTCCTTGTACTAGTCTACTATGCTCTCTAAAAATTGTTTTTTCTTTTTCCAAAATGTGAGAAATAATGCTTACAGGATTTTATATAATTGTAGAAATAATAGCCATCTTTAAGCAAATCTATATCAAATCCTATATAGGGTAAGCATTCAATAAATTATGAATAGTCATTACTATTTTTACTAATTTTACTATTATTACTAATAATACTGTTCACTATTGCAGATAACTTTAGCAATATTTAATTTTAAAAACTCTATATTTTAGTTAATTCATTTTATAGATATTTATTAAATACCTACAATATGATGGGCACCATTTTAAGTCTTGAGTTATCCAATAGACTTGGTCTCAATATCATGAAGCTTTATATATTTGTACAGGTAACCATAATTAATTAGTAATAAAATAAATAAAAAGTAAATAAATAGAAAATATTAGAAACCAGTAAGAGTGACAGCAGGTACTTAACTTGTGTGGTTAGGAAAAGCCTTCACAGGAAGCAGAAATGTGAGTTAAGGTTTGCATGATGAAAAAGATCAGCTTAAGTAAATCTCCTGACACTGGGTATATAATTCACCCAAGACATTATCTAACATTTCTCATCTTGTAGAGATTTAAATATTTTAAATACATAATGGACTTAGAGTTATTGATTATTAGCAGTGATATGTAGTGCATGGACCCTCATTAATGATATGGCTTACTTGTAATATGCAATTCATTACTTCATTCCTACTTCATGCTTCAATATATATGAAGCAGTTTTCAAACATTTTAATTTACATATTGAATGTGTTGCCTGTCATGAAGGCAAGCAGCATAGTGGCTAGGAATTTCAGGGCTATATCTGACTTCCTCGGTTCTCTTTCACAAACAACCCTATAACTTGTACAAATTATTTTATATGTTTAAACATTTATAGTGTCATTAAAAATCTAATAATAGTATACATCTTTCACAAACAACCCTATAACTTGTACAAATTATTTTATATGTTTAAACATTTATACTGTCATTAAAATTCTAATAATACTATACATGTCATGGAATTTTTAATACTATATGAAATGATATTCATAACCTAACCTCAGCATCTGGCATATGCCAATGATTTGGTTTTAAGTAATACGATTTAACAAGATAAGAGAAAGGAGCTAGACCACTCTTTTTTTTGTTTTTGTTTTTTTTCAGTGTGAGAGACACTATGATAAAGGCACATGCCCAGGGTGGATTGAAAACACATAGAAAAACCTTTACCTCTTGTTGAAAGGGGGTCAAAGGACAACTATCAGAGAAGATTTTACATGTCAATGAATGAGTGTTCTCTAAATGACTTACATTCATGGTTTTCAGAAGTCTATTGCAGATCTGATGCCACTTGTGAGAGTAAACTGTGAGGCTTGTCCAAGGACCTTTTCTGCTCAGATTAGTCATGTATGTGCTGTTTGAATCTATTTGACATTACAAGTTGGGGATGAATAATAAAATATAAACATTATGTGTAGTTATCTCTAATGTTTCCTTCTTTTTTTTTTTTTTGAGACAGAGTTTCACTCTTGAGTGCAGTGGTGTGATCTTGGCTTACTGGAACCTCTGCCTCCCAGGTTCAAGTGATTCTCCTGCCTCAGCCTTCCGAGTAGCTGGGATTACAGGTGTGTGCCACCATGCCCAGCTAATTTTTGCATTTTTTTTTTTTCGTAGTAGAGAAGGGGTTTAACCATATTGGCCAGGCTTGTCTCAAACTCCTGACCTCAGGTGATCTGCCCGCCTTGGCCTCCCAAATGCTGGGATTACAGGCATTAGCCACTGTGCCCGGCCTCCTGGTTCTAGAAAAATAAAAATAAAAAAATCTTAATTCCTATCATTTATAAATATAAGTTCAGGCCACACATTGAAAGACTAAATCTTTAAGAAGAGGGAATTTAAAAATACATCTGTATTTAGTACTTTGAACAAAACTGTTAAGTTGTGCCTTGGAATGAATAATCAAAATCCAGATGAAAGCCTACTGAGTATCGTCTTGAATCAAATAAGGCATCTAGAGAATAGACACAGTGTGCCCATCTTGTAGAGACAAGATTAGAGGAATGAGGTCTTATTTAGATAAGACATGATATGCCATTTTTATATTTAGCTAAAGTAGTCTATGTCAAGTAAATCATCATTCTACTTCTAGAACTAATCCTCAATTAATGGGAATATCTCTAATTATTAAATGTGTGTGTCCTTACAGCTTTAAATTTTGAAACCTGTTCTCAGCCTAAGCAATGGCATTCCAGTGCACTTGTTAAGACAGTCTCCAAGTTCAACCTCCTCCCCGTTTCTTCTAATTTTGTACCCCAGTTGCTGTATGTCTGCCTTATAGAATAGTTTGAATGCATTGGGCTCTTATTAGGTAACCTACCTCCTTTGTTGCGTGAATAACTTATCTGAGAACCTCACTGTGAACAAATCTGTGCTGTCAAACTAAATACCAGTAATGGCTGATTCACAAATCACTTCTTCTTGAATGAAATTCTGGATCTTACATTTAACTTGGACCATTGTCTAATGGTTCTATGCACTGGAACACCACGTCTTTCCTATCATTTTTTCGGACTGGGCTGACAGTTCATTCTTCAAACTACATTGAATCTCAAAGTATTTATCTCATCATTAGAATAACTGTCCCAGAGTTTATTTTTAGAGAACTCAATAATCTCTTTGGGTTGGGGAAACATACACAAACCAGCCACAATGAAATCTCATAATTACAAAGCATATTATTTGATTTATACCACAATAATCGTATTTCAACTCACATTTTCATATGAAGGGAAAATTTAAATCTATGTTTCACATTCTCCAAGTGACGTTCTGGTTCATTTTAATTTCAGCCACTGAGTTGATAGGGCTCAAAGGAAAACAAAATGGATTTATCCATCACTGAACACAATTAATCGTATATTGGCCTCTTTAGGAATGAAGTTAGATAAAATGACTTAATCACAATTTTTCAGAGGGAAATTATAAATAATTAACCACTCTGACTATGACTCCTATAAAAGAAAGTGAAATTCAGCACACCTAAGCAAATGACAATCAGATAAGGAAATTACTTACGAAGAATATTCCATTATTGTAACTGCTTCTGCCCCATATAGCAATACCTACTGGCTAAGGCTACTACTTTTTAAAAATAAAACTATCTATACTAAGAGTGGAAGTCAAATGTATCCATATAGCGGCACAAATAACTAAATAGTTTACAAATATCTCCATGTTTTACCAATAATTCTGCTTTTCATTAATTCATATCTAGGAAAAATTAAAAATGAATGTGAAGCTGTGCATTTTATCAAATCCCTAAAACTGAAATAGTTTTTATGTCTGAATCCACTACAGAATATGTTTTGGGCATAACCCTGTAGAATTAATCCATGGGGAATTAAGGATTTGTCAAATATAGCTATTTATTTGATACAGTTTTCTCAGTCTGCAGGTTTAGAGACATGCCCTGAAAAGAAGCATATTTGTTGATGATACATAAGAAAGATATAAATAATTTATTGTCATACGAATAATTTCTTGTCAGATGAAGCAAATATTAAGTCCTTTTGTTTTTGGCACGTGCAAAACTTTGATGGTGTCATATGCAGTAAAACATCCAACCAGAATAAACAAACAAACCATATTAGTTTGCTAGGGCTTCCATAGCAAAATACCACAGGCTGAGTGTCTTAAGAAGCACATGTCTATTTCTTCTAGTTATGGGGGCTGGGAGTCCAGGAGGCTTGGCTTGCTCTGAGGCTTGATTTCTCTCCTTGGCTTGCAGATGGCTACCCTCCTGAAGTCTTTTTCTCTTTTTATAAGGACATAAATAAAAGTGAATTAGGGCCCCACCCTAGTGGCCTCATTTTAATTTAATCACCTCTTTAAAGACCTTACCACCAAATATGTCTATATTCTGAGGTACTGAAGATCAAGATGTCAACATATTAATTTGGGGAAATAAAATTCAGCCCATAACACCAACAAAATATAGCAAAAGCTTACTCCTTAAATCCTTCAATTTGCTCTGCAATTTCTTTAATCTCATCTATAAAATACTTTCCAAAATCCTTTGTAGCTGGGTTTCAAAATATTAAAAACATGCTGCAGCTGAGATGCAGCAGGTTTTGCCTCAAAGTTGATGGCTGATGAATGATCAGGATAATGGTTGCTGAGAGTTAGGATGGCTGTGACAATTTCTTGAAATAAGAAAATGATGAAGTTTGCCACATCAGTGGACTCTTCTTTTCATAAAAGATTCAAAAGAACTTTTGCACAACAAAGGAAACTAAGAACAGAGTAAACAGACAGCCTACACAAGGGGAGAACATTTTTGCAAACTATGCATCTGACAAAAGTATAATATCCAGCATCTATAAGAAACTTAAACAAATTTACAAGAAAAACACCAACAACCCCATTAAAAAGTGGGCAAAAGACATGAAAAGACATTTTCAAAGAAAACATACGTGTGGCCAACAATCATATAAAATAAAGCTCATTGTCACTGATCATTAGAGAAATGCAAATCAAAACCACAATAAGATACTATCTCATACCAGTCAGAATGGCTATTATTAAAATGTCAAAAAGTAACAGATGCTGCTGAGATTGTGGAGAAAAGGGCACACTTATACATTGTTAGGGCGAGTGTAAAGTAGTTCAATCATTATGGAAGCCAGTGTGGCAATTCCTCAAAGACCTAAAAACAGAAATTCCATTTTACTAAGCAATCCTATTACTGGGTATATACCCAAAGGAACATAAATCATTATATCATAAAGATACATGCATGTGTATGTTCATTGCGGCACTATTCACAATGGCAAAGACAGGGAATCTACCTAAATGCTCATCAGTGATAGACTGGATGAAGAAAATGTGGTACATATACACGATGGAATATTATATGGCCATAAAAAAGGGCATAATGTCCTTTGTGGGGACATGGATACAATTTGAGGCCATTATTCTTAGCAAACTAATGCAGGAATAGAAAACCAAATACCACATGTTCTCACTTATAAATGGGAGCTAAATGATGAGACATACACACATGGACACACAGAGGGGAACAATACACACTGGGATCTATTGGCAGGCAGAGGGTTGGAAGAAGGAGAGGATCAGGAAAAATAACTAATGGGTACTAGGCTTAATACCTGGGTGATGAAATAATCTGTACAACAAACCCCCATGACACAAGTTTACCTATAGAACAAACCTGCACATACCCCTAAACTTAAAACTTAAAAAATTAATGAACTTTCAATAAATAAAATTAAAAATAATTTTAAAAAGAAAAGTATAAATCACTGCAAGTTCTTCAATGGAGCATACATTTATATGATTTATTAGAAACATTGGAAGGAGAGGACTGAAAGAAAGAAGAAGGGGGTCTCTTGGGGAGCAAAATGAAAAAGAGTTGTTACCCAAAGATTAGGAAGCTGCCTAACAACCCTAGATGAAACCTACAGTCCACAATCAGTGAAGCCACTGAAGGCTTTTGCTACAATTGATACTGGTGTTGAGCAAGATACCGAGAGCCCACCTCTTGCTGATGGGTGTGTCACAACTGGCAATTGCTTTCAGTTCCCTGCCATTGTAGAGATGTCACTGTTACGGGACATGTGAAAGAGAAAAGAAGATATTGTCTACTTTCTTCTTTCTAGTCTCCACCTAGTGCTTCTCACTGGCAGAGCTTCATAGAAAGCCAATGGACAAAGGAGTCATTTTTGCGTAATAATTTTGGCTTTATAATAAACCTTGATATTTGCTTAACGAATAAAAAATATTTGTAGCATGTGATGCTGTTTGATAATATTTTACCCACAGAACTTTTTTCATAATTACAATCAGTTCTCTCAAACCCTGCCACTACTTTATCAACTAAGTTTATTTATTGTTCTAAATCTTTTGTTGTCATTTCAACAATGTTCCCAGCATCTTCACCAGGAATAGATTTCACCTTAAGGAACTATGTTTTGTGTTCACCCATAAAAAAATGACCCCTCATCCGTTAAAGTTTCATCATGAGGTTATAGCAATTAAGCCTCATCTTCTGGCTCAATTTCTAATGCTAGTTCTCCTGCTGTTCTCATCACATCTGCAGTTACTTACTATATTGAAGTCTTGGATCCTTTAAAGTCATTCATAAGAGTTGGAAACAACTTCTTCCAAACTCCTGTTGATGTTGACATTTTGACCTCCTCTCATGAATCATGCATGCTCTTAGTGGCATTTAGAGTAGTGAATCATTCCCAGAAGCTTTTCAATTTAATTTACTTATATCCATCAGGGAAATCACTATCAATAGCCTTACAAAATGTATTCCTTAAATGATAAGACTTGAAAGTCAAAGTTACTCATTGATCCTTGAGCTGCAGAATGGATGTTTTATTCACAGGCATGAAAACAACATTAATCTCCCTGTGCATCCATATCAGAGCTCTTGGGTAATTAGGTGTACTTTTAATTAAGAGTAATATTTAGAAAGAAATCTTTTTTTTTTTCCAAGCAGTAGGTCTCAACATTGGGCTTAAAATGTTCAATGTTCAATAAACCATGCTGTAAATAGACGTACTCTCATCCAAAATTTGTTGTTATACTTATGAAGCATAAGCAGCAGAGTAGATATGACATGATTATTAAGGGCCCTAGGATTTTTAGAATGCTAAATGATCATCAGCTTCAGCTTAATGAACTAATTGAATTATTTCCTAATGAGAGTAATGTAGTGTGGTGCATGCCCCCACCCAAATCTCATCTTTGTATTATAGCTCGCATAATCCCCACATGTCACAGGAGGGACCCAGTGGGAGGTAACTGAATCATGGGTACAGGTTTATCCCCTGCTCTTCTCATGGTAGTGAATAAGCCTCACGAGATCTGGTGGTTTTACAAAGGGCAGTTTTCCTGCACACAGTCTGTTGCCTGCTGCCATGTAAGATGTGCCTTTGCTCCTCCTTCAACTTACACCATGACTGTGGCCTCCCCAGCTACGTGGAACTGTGAATCCATTCATTCAACCACTTTTTCTTTATAAATTACCCAGTCTCACATATGTCTTTATTAGCAGTATGAAAATGGACTAATACAGAGAGCCAGCCTTTCCTTTGAAGCTTTGAAGCCAGGCATTGAGTTCTTCTCTCTAGCTATGAAAGTCTTACATGGCATCTCCTTTCAACATAAGGTTGTTTCATCTACATTGGACATCTGTTGTTTGGTGCAGTTATCTTCATCAATTATCTTAGCTAGATTTTCCAGGTAACTTGCTACAGCCTTGAAGCCTTGACATCAGTTCTTGCTGCTTCACTTTGTATTTTTATGGTATAATGATGACTTCTTTCCTTAAACCTCTTGAAACAATTTCTATTGCTTCAAGTTTTTCTTCTGCAGTTTCTTCACCACTCTCAGACATTATAGAATTTAAAAGAGTTAAGACCTTACTCTGGATTAGGCTTTGGTTTAAGGAAATGCTGTGGCTGGCTTGGTTTCATCTTCTTTCCACATCACTAAAATTTTCTCTACATCTAAAATAATGTTATTTTATTTTATTATTTGTGTGTTCCCTCGAGTAATACTTTTAATTTTCTTCAAGAACTGTTTAGCTGAACATGGTGGTTCACATCTATAATCCTAGCACTTTGGGAAGCTGAGGTGAGAGGATCTCTTGAGACCAGGATTTTGAGACCAGCCTAGGCAACTTAGCAAGACCCCATCACTACAAAGTAAAGAACATTAGCTGGGCATGGTGACATGTACATGTAGTCTCAGTTACTAAAGAGGCTGAGGCAGGAGGATTACTTGAGCCCAGGAGCCCAAGGTTTATAGTGAGCTAAGATGGTGCTACTGCATTCAAGCCTGAGTGACACAGCAAGATCTTGTTTCTAAAAAAAATTAAATGAATAACTTTTTATTTGCATTCGCAAGTTGGCTAGATGTTTGATACAAGAGAGGACAAGCTAATGGACTATTTTAGCTTTCAACATGCCTTTTTACTGAATTTAATCATTCCTCACTTTAGATTTAAAGTAAGAGTTGTGACTCTTTGCTTCATTTGAATACTTAGAGGCCATTGTAGGATTATTAATTAGTCTAATGTCAATATTGTTGTGTCTCAAGGAATACGGAGGAGCAAGGAGAGGAAGAAAGATGGAGAAAAGCCAGTGAGTAGAGTGAGTACTTACAACACACATGCTTATCAATTAAGCTTGCTGTATTAATTGGGTATGGTTTGTGGCACTTCAAAACAATTACAATAGTATCATCAAAAATCACTTATCACAGATCACCATAACAGGAATAATTATAATGAAAAAGTCTGCAACATTGCAAGAATTACCAAAATGTGACTCAGTGACATGAAGTCAGCACATACTGTTGAAAAAGTGATGCCAACAGGCTTGGTCAACATTGGATTGCCACAAACTTTCAATTATGAAAAATGGCAGTATCTGTGAAACAAGAATGAGATGAGGTATACTTATGTTATGGACACACTCCTTTACACACTCAGCTCATTCATTCAACAACTATTGACAGAAATCCATTCTCCTCCACTAAATAGTTTTTAGTTATCTTCATATCAGAGGCCACTCCTTGACCATCTCCATTATTCAAACATTAAAAGTTGTCCTTTCCATAGAGAAATGTCTAGAGCTCTAGTCATGTTTCTTTTCCTGTTGTTTGTTTCTTTGTTTTTGCTTTTTCTAGAACGTATCTCTGTGTTGGTATGCACTACACATTTATTGATAAATTCCATCTTTCCTTTAAGTTCCACAGCCACCTATTTATCTCCATAAAATATTTATGTCCATAAGAGTTTTATCTGACAAGCACCCCTGTGTAGTATATTCTAGAATGAATTATTGCTTTAAATTGCTGAAACCTATTTGTCTGCTTTTTCTTTCATGCTATTAAATCACATAACCATCTATTAAAGACAAAATCATGCACACCTACCTAAATTCAACCCATCTAGGGACACTAGATGTAGAAATTTAATCCCATAGCAAATTCTATCAAATTTGCCCTTAATGTATGTGTGGATTTTACCCAGTTTTCTTCAACTCAACTTTTAACACAAATATCTCTCACTGGGACAGCGGCACTCTTTTCCTACCAGGAATCCCTTCTTTTTACTTTTGTTTCCTTTAATTTATTCTCCAGGAGTCATGCCTAGAACTTTTGAAAATATGTCAGAACTATTATTCCCCAATTAAAATTTGGAGGCAGGACTTCCAGAATGCTGGTATAAGATGCTTAGAGAAACATCATTCATTATGCTGCTGAAATTTAAGCAAAACCAATCATTCAGATTACTTGAAGATTGCTGAAAGGACTTACAGCAGATTGAGAAACATTTATTTAAGAAAATCTATGAAATCTTGGTAAGAACATTGAGAAGCTACGGCTTTCTAATAGGTATTCCTCCCATCTCCCCATGGCTTTGCTTTGTAGAAGATATGTTTTAGCAGGCTCAGGGCCATGTGGAAGTCTGCTTTGCTATCACTTCACTAGGATGAAAGAGCTATTCTGGATGATTTCAGAAGACAGAAGCTATCAGAACATCCTATTTTTCCACAGCTTCATTCTGTAGAAGGACTACATCAAATCAGTAGCAGCAGACAGACAATATCCTACCCCCACCACGAACTCCCACGATGTAGGCAGGAGCCAGGCAAGACAGCTGGTAAACAGCATAGTACCTTTTTTCTGCACAGCACTATGTAGCAGAAAAGCTGAAAGAGTGGGCTTGGCAGCTGCATGGTAGTTCGTATCTTCCCTTACTTCCTTGAACAGAAAATCTATTTCAGGTAGATGCAGCAGCCAGTGAACACCAGCAGATCCCACCATCTGGCTGGAAAATATTCATACTGGTATTTTAGCCCATTGTCTGCTGCTATGACAGAATGCGCAGACTGGGTAATTTATAATGAAGATAAATTTATTTCTCACAGTTCTGGAGGCTGGGAAGTCCAAGGGTATGGTGCCGACATCTGGTGAGAGTCATCCCATGATGGAAGCAAGAGACAAAAGCCAGCATGCAAAAGGAAGAGAAATGGGCCCAAGCTTATCCTTTTATCAGAAATCCAGTCAAGCAATCACTAACCCACTACCACAATAATGCATTCACGAGCACATAGCCCTCATGATGTCATCACCTCTAAAAGGTCCAAACTCTTAATATCATTACAATGGCAGTTAAATTTCAACATGAGTTTTGATGGGGACATTCAAACCACAGCACAAACCATGTTTATAGCAGCCAGGTGTGGTGCTAGTTTTAAGCTCACCTGCACCCCTTCCTCATATGTGCATATGCACAGCTCCTGCTCACAGTGGGGTAGCACATAGAGAATGAGCTACTCATCTCCTTTCCTCCCTCCCAATTGCTACTGTTCCATGAACAGAAGTTCTCCCCATGGAGGGCCTGGCCAAATTTCAAATAGTGGTCTTTGCCAAAG
This sequence comes from Homo sapiens, assembly GCF_000001405.40. Classification (NCBI taxonomy): domain Eukaryota; kingdom Metazoa; phylum Chordata; class Mammalia; order Primates; family Hominidae; genus Homo; species Homo sapiens. The sequence continues at coordinate 32,203,408 of NC_000004.12, read as the reverse complement.
GGCCTAACTACAATCAATTAGAACCAGGAGCAACACATTCTCAGGGATTGTAAAAAATAATATACAGTGGAGGCATCATTTAGAAATTAGTAAAGGCTAGGCCATCAAGAAGCTTAATGGGGAACTCAAGGAAAATGATATTTAAAGACAGCATGGCTTAACCCAGTCAAACCTTGAAGGGCAGAAGACTGTGTACATACTCATGTCCTTGGGCTCTGAAGAATATCAGAAGCTTTATACTCTTTACTGAAATAGTCTAGCCAAGTAACTAAACAAATAAACAAGAAAACAACAACAAACTCTAAAGAAGGGGAGATCAGTCTCCAGAGTTGCTATATAGTGTTTTGTAAAGTGCACAGTTTTCAGTGAAAAAATAAGAGACAAGCAAAGAAATTGGAAAGTGTGACTTATCAAACGGAAAAAAAAAAATGCAGACAACTGAAATTGCCTTTGAGGTGGGTCAGATAAGATGTCAAAGCAGCTGTTATAACATCCTTTGGACATTAAAGACCTAAACTAGTTTAGTTTTAAAAAATTAATATTACTGTAGTTAGCATATTTAGTAGACATAAACTATGTTTAGAATTTAAAAATAATATAATGACAATGTTTTATTGAATAGAGGATGTCAATAAAGAGAAAATTATAAAATATAAGGTATAAATGAAAATTCTAGAGTTGAAAAGTAGAATGCACAAATAGGAAAAACTTCATTAAAGGAGCTATAGTTTTGAGCTGGAAGAAGAAAGTATCAGCAATATTGAAGACAGATGAATGACTATTATGCAATATGAAGAGCACAGAGACAACAGAATGAGGAAAAATGAATAGATACTCCCTATCAAAATTCCAGCTGCTTTTTGGAAAATAATTGACAAGCTGTTTCTAAAATTCATCTGGAAATCAAGAGAACCAGAATAACCATTATAACCTTGCAAAGGAAGAAAGAAGAAAAACATACATTTCATCATGTCAAGACTTTCAAAAGCTACAGTAATCAAAACAAACAGTCATTGACATTTGGAAATTTGTGTGTGTGTGTGTGTGTGTGTATAAAATTGAATTTACTCTTCAAAAATAAATCCGTAAGTATATGATCGGTTAATTTTCATCAAGGGTGCCAAGAGAATTGAGTAGGAAAAAAACAGTCTTTAAATAAATGATGCTGAGACAACTGAATACACACATGCTTTTTAATAAAGTTGAAGCTCATAGCACACACAAAATCAACTCAAGATGACTCATAGACCTCAATTAAAAGCTAAAACTATAAAATCTTAGAAGAAAACACAGGGTAAATCTTTATGACCTTATGTTAGGCAGTGATTTCTTAGATAGAATACCAAAAGCACAAGTGACAGAAGAAAGAATAGATAAGTAGCTTCAAAGAACACCATCAAGAAAGTAAAAAGAATCTACTAAATAAGAGAAAACGTGTGAAATTATCTATTTATAAAAAATGTGACTGGGCGCCATGGCTCATGCCTGTAATCCCAGCACTTTGGGAGGCCAAGGCAGGCAGATCACCTGAGGTCAGGAGTTTGAGCCCAGCCTGGCCAACATGGTGAAACCCCGTCTCTACTAAAAATACAAAAATTAGCTGGACATGGTGGCAGGCACCTGTAATCTCAGCTACTCGGGAGGCTGAGGCAGGAGAATAGTTTGAACCCGGGAGGCGGAGGTTGAAGTGAGCCAAGATAGCGCCACTCCAGCCTTGTGACAGAGAAAGACTCTGTCTCAAAAAAAAAAAAAAAAAAAAAAAGAAAAGAACATGTATCAGGATATATATATATATATATATATATATATAGAAAGAATTCTTGAAACAAACTAATACAAGATAAATAAAAAAATTTAAAAATAGACAAAGGATTTTAATAGACATTTCTCCACTGAAGTTATGCAAATGACCAATAAACATAAGAAAAGATGCTCAACGTTATTAGTCATTAGGCAAATAAAAACCAAACCACAGTGAGATAATATAATATGATATATATTTATTAAGATGGCTATACTCAAAAGCACAGAAAAGTGTTTACAATGATGCAATCTTACTCATAATAGTGCAGAAGGAGAAAACTACAAAGTCCATCAACTGATGAATAAAAAAAAGGTATAGTCATGCAATGACATATTATTCAACAATAAAAAGGAATTATGTACGTGATATAAGCTATACCAAGGAAACCTTGGAAAGCATTATGCTAAGTGAAAGAAGCCAGTCACAACAGACCACATATTATATGATTCAATTTAAACAAAATGTCTGAGAAAAATCCATAGGCACAAAAAGTAGATTAGTATATTCGTGGTGGTCTAGACCTGGTGAGGAGAGAAGGATTGAGGGGAATGAAGAGTGCTTGCTAGTAGGTGCAGGGTTTTTTGGGGAGTAATGAAAATATTTTTAAATTAGATCATTTTGATAACCTATAAACATGATATAAAACCATTGAGTTGTACCCTTCAGATGAGTGTATTGTATGTTGTGTCAATTCTCTCTCAATAAAGCTGTTTTTAGAAATAAGAATAAATATATAAAGAAGAAAAATTTTAATTTATTATCAATACATTAAAATAAATTAAAATTACTTCCTCCTACATCCATATAAGATCCTTTAGTATCCATTCCTGCTTACTTCTTCTTTCTCATTTCTAGCTACCTATCTATCACTCATTTTCTCTAGCCACACTGGGCTCTGTTCATTTCTGAAAATCTGCCAACGTTTGTGTGTTTTTCAATATTAATACAATTGCAAAGTTTATGTCATCTGCTCTCAACTACCCCAACTCTATACTAATGTTTCTTCAGCATTGCTAAAGTCCCAGAAGTAATTTAACAACTCAAACAGGTTTTCTCTGACCATGCTTTTATAATCAGTATATTCTGAACACTGTCTTCATGATACTTCAGAGGACTGTTTACATTTTTAACCTTTTTATTGGCAGTTTCCTTTCACTAGGATTTAGTCTTAATGAACATAATCATATGATTTTCACTCACCTTAGTATATCCAGTGGCTAGTATAACACTTGACATGAAATAGGCTTAATTGTTTGTTAATTGTTATTAGTTGTTAAATTAATAAAAAAAAGCAACTTCTGCATTAGCTGTGCCTACCTAGCACCTACTATCTAATAGTGAACAAAATATTAGGCTAAATATCAGAATGAATAGTAATTCCTCTGTCAGCAGTGAGTGGATGAATAACTTTGGAAAAGTTTGTTAAAATGCAAAATTTTCATTTTTCTCCACTCCAAAATGATGTCTCTGATACCTGTTCTTACAAGTCTTACAAAGACCAGGCGTGGTGGCACATGCCTATAATCCCAGCTACTTGGGAGGCTGAGGCAGGAGAATTGCTTGAGGCCAGGAGGCGACAGAGCGAGACTCTGTCTCAGACAAACAGTTCTCAAAAATAAAACTGTTCTGACAGCTGTCAAAATGAAATCGTACCAAAGATCTCAAAAAAGAGACACGAAAAACAATCTTGCAATTGTACCAACCACAAGTTTTGCAGAAGTTAAAGAAAATAGCAACCTGAGAAAACCCCAAATCACATCGCCTTCTCTTCTCTAACCCTATAAGTCGCTTAGTCTTAAGTGTTACCTAGATTTATAATGTTCTCTGCTGTGGATCAACTGATTTAAGCCTTCAACATCTATTTGAGTCATTTTTTACTATTTGTTTTTCTACTTCGACACTTCTTAAGGGCAGAAAAAAATATTTTTGTATATTGCTCGCACTCCCTCAGACCTAATCAAACTCCCTTGCTCATAGTGGGCTCGCAATAAGGTCAGATGGTTTCACAATCATTTCACAATACAACAAAGCCAAGTTTTGGGTTTCTAGACCTTGTGAATTTTCCACATATATTTCCCATGTAGGTAAAATGAGTTTTTACTCTACATGCTCAATATACGTTCCATATTTTTTCTAGCTAATTAATATGTTTTTAGCATCTGTGTGGTCTTCTCTGCCCTTATTTATTTGTATGTTTTTTATTTTTTGAGACAGAGTCTTGCTCTGTCACCAGGCTGGAGTGCAGTAGCACAGTCTCAGCTCACTGCAACCTCCACTTCCCAGGTTCAAACGATTCTCCTGCCTCAGCCTCGCCAGTAGCTGGGACTACAGGCACACATCACCATGCCTGGCTGATTTTTGTATTATTTAGTGGATATGGGGTTTCACCATGTTGGCCAGGATGGTCTCCATTTCTTGACCTCGTGATCTGCCTGCCTCTGCCTCCCAAAGTGCTGGGATTACAGGTGTGAGCCTCCACCCACATCTGTGCCCTTCTTTTACAATGACCTGTCTCCATTCCAGAATTTAAGACATTGACCTAATTCACATCTCAAAATCATTTACTAATATAAGAGTTTCCTTGAATACTTCTGAGGTTAGTATATTAAAGACTCAACTTCTTCCTATACAACATTACTATTATGGTCAAATTACACAATTTATGTAGAAATCCCTAGTTACCTTTTTAAAACTGCAAGTTGTATAGATCACACAGAATGCAATTTGGAATTATTTTAAAAAGCTTCATAAAATAAGTATGGGAACTTGAGGTCAATAGATTATGAAAATTAAATATGCAAAGAGAGAAAAGGACCTGAACCAAATTAATATTCATGCTGTTAATCCTGGTTTTATGTAATAAAATTTAGGAATATTTGCCAAGAATGAAAACTGAAGCCTGCAAATATTCTAGTATTTATGATTTATAGACCAGCACAAAATACAGTCATTTGAAGAATACAGTTGATACAATAGCATCCATAACAATATCGGAAGTATTTTTATATTTAAATGTAAGTATTTCTTAAGAATATAGAAAGGATCTATATCAGAAGGCTCACCGAGTTTGTAATAGAAAATAATCCTCCAAAGACACCAGATTCCTGATTGTAAAATATACTAGAAAATTAAATATATATAGTTTTATAATAATGACTGATGTTTGAAACTCACTCTGCACTCATTAAAATTGAGCAAGCTATCTGATATCTATAGATAAATCTTTCTATTCAATTGAATCTAAGTAACATTCTTCTGTGCTATGAATATACAGAAAATACTTATTTGATGGAAAAGATTATTTTCAATACAAAAATGTTTTCTAAAGGAAAATCTTTACAAACACATTATAAAAGTGTATACACACACTTGTAAGATTGACATGTTTAGATATAGTTTTGAAATTCAGGTCAATAACAAAAAAGTTTAAACATACAACTTACTATATTTATAAGCATAGTAGAATAAAATAAACATTATTTGAAACACACCAGCAGTTTTAATGCCCACATAGAACCTACATCAGTATGAACAAGCTATGATGTTGATGTGATGGAAACACATGTTATATAGTATGTTGCATCTGGTAGCTATGTGAGCTTGGGCAATTCACTTTGGCTGTGGAAGTTTCAGCTTCTTCATTGCTAAAAATAATACTTCTATTAATGATAATAAAAAGATTTGTTTTTTAATACACAATGTCTGGTGCTCACTGTGTAGGGCTGTGCTCTGTGTACTTTCCAAATACTATTTCACACAATGCTCCATAACTTAGTGACATGAGAATATTAATACCTCCATGTTTTCAGATAAGAAAATAACTTAGAATGGCTAAATAAGCTATCCAGATCAAACAGATAGAAAGGTTTGACTATAATTATAATATTATCACCTAACTTACAAAAATGCTGTGAAAATTAAATGAGACAAGAGTCATGGATTTATTTTGTAAAATAAAATCAACACATACAAAAAGTGTAATAATGGTAATAGACTCAATTTTTAAAGTAATGTTTTAGAATAATTATTTAGCATAAAGCCAAATGAGACATATATATTCAAGTGTATACATTGAAATACACATCGCAGGCTCTCAAACATTTGAAGATACAGGAGTCAGTGCTCAAAGAATTTCCCAAGATAAACAGCACAGAAAAAATATACTGTGCATAGAATTTTATTTCTTCAATTAAAAAACCGAAACTTTATTTATCCTGGCTTTTTTATACATATTCTTCTGGTTCTTTTATTCACCTATTTTATGGATACAAATCAGTGATTTTTGGTAAATTCACAATGTGCAACCATCACCACAGTTCAGTTTTTAAAATATTTTCGTTACCCCCAAATATTCGTTTTTGCCCTTTTGCAGTCATCTCTGTTTCCATCCAACATTCCAGGAAACCTAATCTACATTGTGGTGTTTGTTTTACGTTTTTTAAGCGACAGTCTGGCCGTCACCCAGGCTGCAGTGAACCGGCACGATCATGGTTCATTGCCACCCTTGATCTTCTGGGCACAAATGATCCTCCCCTACCTCTGCTTCCTACGTAGCTGAGACTACAGGTGACACTGCTATCTATGCCTGGCTAGTTTTTGTGGGAGCTTTGTTTGTTTGTTTGTTTTTGGGATTTTGTTGTTGTTGTTGTTAGAAATTGGTCTCGCTATGTTGCCCAGACAGGTCTTAAACTCCTGGACTCAAGTGATCCCCCTGTCTCTTTATCCCAAGGTGCTGGGATGAAAGACATGAGCCACTGGCACCTGGCCTTCTAATATTCTTGTCTCTAGATTTGCTTTTCACATTTCATATAAATAGAATTAAACAGGGTATGCTTTTTTGGAAGCACGGCCATATTGTAGCATGTGTTGATATTTAAAAAAAAAAAATTGCTGAACAGGCCGGGCGCAGTGGCTCATGCCTGTAATCCCAGCACTTTGGGAGGCCGAGGCGGGCGGATCACGAGGTCAGGAGATCGAGACTGTCCTGGCTAACATGGTGAAACCCCGTCTCTACTAAAAATACAAAAAAATTAGCCGGGCGTGGTAGCGGGTGCCTGTAGTCCCAGCTACTTGGGAGGCTGAGGCAGAATGGCGTGAACCCGGGAGGCGGAGGTTGCAGTGAGCCGAGATGGCGCCACTGCACTCCAGCCTGCGCGAAAGTGCGAGACTCTGTCTCAAAAAAAAAAAAAAAAAATTGCTTAACAGTATTGCACTGCATGGATATACCACATCTTGTTTATTCATTCATCAGGTAACAAACATTTGGATTATTTATAATTTTTAGCATTCTTAATAATGCTGCTATGGAAATTTGCTTATAAATTTTGGTGTGGACATACAGTTTCATGACTCGGGTGGGTAGATATCGAGGAGTAGAGTTACTGGGTCCTATGGTAGATTTAAATTTAACTTTTAAAGAAACTATCAAACTCATTTCCAACGTGATGTTGGACATCTTTCCATGTTTTTCTATGGGGAAATATCTATTCAAAGATTTTGCTGATTTTTCATTGGGTTGTATGTTTTCTGATTTTTGAGTGGTAAAGGTTCTTTAGATATTGCAGATATAGTAGTCCTTTTATAGACATAATTTTCAAATATTTTCTCTGAGTTTATTGCTTGTCTTTTAAATTTTCTTAGATGTGTCTTTTAAATAGGAAACGCAACAGTTTTTTTTTTTTTTTTTTTTTTTTTTTTTTGAGACGGAGTCTTGCTCTGTCGCCCAGGATGGAGTGCAGTGGCGCCATCTCGGCTAACTGCAAGCTCCACCTCCTGGGTTCATGCCATTCTCCTGCCTCAGCCTCCTGAGTAGCTGGGACTACAGGCGCCCGCCACCACGCCTGGCTAATTTTTTTTTTTTTTTTGAGACGGAGTCTTGCTCTGTCGCCCAGGCTGGAGTGCAGTGGCATGATCTCTGCTCACTGCAAGCTCTGCCTCCCAGGTTCACGCCATTCTCCTGCCTCAGCCTCCCGAGTAGCTGGGACTACAGGCGCCCGCCACCACGCCCGGCTAATTTTTTGTATTTTTAGTAGAGACGGGGTTTCACCGTGTTAGCCAGGATGGTCTCGATCTCCTGTCCTCGTGATCCACCTACCTCGGCCTCCCGGAGTGCTGGGATTACAGGCGTGAGCCACCGCGCCCGGCTTAATACATTTTTCTTAACCCATATTCACATAGCTTTCTTCTATGCACATGACTTTGATTTGGAACTAAGTTAAATCACAAGAAAGAGTTTGAGTACCTATTTGCTAGTGTGATTTGTGGCAGACATGGCATGATCTGCAACAGAGATAGTTACTTACTGATCTATCACACAGTTTCTTAACACAGCGGCTTAATGAATGGTTCTGGAGTGTCAAATAGTAAATCATTTTCAGATTGCTCATATTACTTGAGACAACAACTTTCTTAATGGCCCAGTTCTGTCACATAGTTCCGTCTGTTATGTCTTTCAGTGACTATCAAATCACTTCTGGCTTAAACTAGTTAGAGTAGACTCTGCTGACTGCTACTAAGAACCCTAGTAATATATATGCCTGCAGAAATTAACCGCAAAACTTTAGTATTCTACCTTGGGGAAAAAGGAACCAATAAAGTGTATTTTATGAACAACAGAAAGTACCTACTGTAGTATTACTATAACTTTTCCTAATATCACTTAATAATGCCACATTTATGAACATCAATATTTTTTATAGTTCTGAATATGTACACTCAAATCTACAGAGCACATAACTATAAAATATCTAAAATTTGAGACATTTAATTTTTTTTCTTTTTTATGTTTATTTTTACATAAATTTGAGATCATATATCTGCTTATATATTTCAGATTATTTTGATGTGTAATGATCATTAAAATTAATGCTGTGAAATTATTGTGAATGATTCTGCAATGAGGATGAAGAAATTAGTCACTATGAAGGCAGTTCAAAGGTTCACTTTTAGCCTATGATTTGATTGATGAGAAAGTCAATTAAATCATAAAAATACAAATTCTGATTGAAGAGAAGGGAAATTCATCCAACAAAAAGAAGAATGAAATTGCCCAAAGAGTAAATTTCTATTTAAGGGAAGAATAAGAAACAAATATAGTTTTTAAAAATATAAACATAAAAATTGTGTTTCTCTTAGTAGAGACAGAAAATAATATACATAAATTAAAATATGTGTGTATATATAAACACATATGTATGTGTATAACTTTGCATATATATTACTTAACATATGTTACTTAAGTTTGCTGTGTCTCGACAGGGGTTTGAAAAGGAAGAACAAGTTATTATGACTATTTAGAACAGAAGTGTTTACGCTTCTGTCTAGATGAGTTGAAAAATATCTTTTAATGACAGGTACCATTCCCTGGCAATTCTTCTCGAGGATTCACCACAAGGCAGATCTATATCAGCTTTATCTATATTAAGTATGTAGGTTATAGTGAGAATGCTGGGCTTCTATCGCAAAATTGAAAAGAATGCAGAAATTAAAATTTTCCGAAATGAATTACAAAGCTGATGCAATTATTTTCTTTCTCTTCTAATCATCTATTATTTCTATACAATTGATAAATTATTATAACATACATTTGCCATTCATTCATTTATTCAAAAACATGTATTGTAAACACGTAAACTATTTGGAGCATTTCTCTTTACCTGGTTAAATAGTAGATAACAGAATCCGTATGAACATTCTTCATCCTGTTTCTCTGTTTTGATTTTTAGAGACAGGTTTTTGCTAAGTTGCCCATGTGGGCCTCAAACTCCTGGGCTCTAGTGATCCTCCCATGTCAGCCTTTTGAGTTGGTGGGAATACAGGCACACACCATCATGCCTGTCCTCCCATCCTATATTATGAATTAAATAACATGTTATTTAAAATGTAAAATTTTCACAAACTACCTGTCAAAATAGTCTTTTTTGAGGGGGATGGGATTCATATTTCTATTTTCCACATAAGGAGACATATAGTATACAGGCTCATTATTTAAAACTAAGAAACAGAAAATATGGTCCACACTGTCTTACAAAAGTAATTCATTTTTTCTAGTTGTCGGTTTCCTTATATAGAAAATGAAGATAATAAGATCTCTAAGATGAGTTTATTATAATTTTCTATAACATTATGAATTCTAGCATTGGAATTTTTAAGCTTCAGAACCAACCAATTTTGACTTTTAAGTTTAATATCTGTAGATAATGAGTTTGATTTTTAAAAATAATGTAAGGAATATAGGGTCAAACATCGCCCATAATCAACTTTAAAGTGATTACTACGCCTGTCTCTTTACATTCTTCCCCATAATTTTTCAGTTCTGATATTAAATTAAAACCCCTAATGTTGCACACTAATTTTCTAATATTCTTGCTCATATAATTTGGTTTACACACTTTCCAGTGCTGATTTTGCATCTTCAGCATTATTTCACATGCGAGAGAATGTTAACTTGCAAAACTGAAATGAGATTTCTATACTTTCGGGATTTTTCCATTCACTACCACATAAGGTTGCCACAATAAATTTTTAAATGCATATGACAATCAAAAATTATGACCAAGAGTTATAAAGATTATATAGACAATCCAAAGTTTTTCTTTTCTCAATTGGTGTTAATAATAACACATCTTACAAATTCAGATAAATTAACTAAATTGTTTAAATCACAAAACTAGTAAATATAATATCAGAGTGAGGAACCCAGCACCAATTTTTAGCTTCCAGGGTCTTGGTGCTGGTATAAAGAAGGATTTAGGTTTCCATCTGAAAAGGAGAAAATAATTAAACATGAGGTTTTGTAAAAAATATTATATTTGGTCTCATCTGTTTCAATGATTTGAAAATAAGCTCCAATATACTCAGGCTACAACAACAAAACACCATAGACAGTGTGGCTTAAACAACAGAAATTTATTTCTCACAGTTATGAAGGGTGGAAGTGCAAGATAAAGGTGCTGATGGAGTCATGTTCTGGTGAAGTTCCTCTTCCTGATTTTCAGACAGCCACCTTCTTGCTGTGTGCTCATATGGTCTTTCCTTGGTGTCTGAGCACACAGAGAGAGAGAGAGGCAGATAGGGAGAGATAAGAGAGAGAAAAAGACAGAAAGAGAGAGGAAGAGAGAGAGAGGGCTTCCTCCTCTTATAAGGCCACCAATCCTAGTGGATTAGGACCCCCACACCATGACCTCATTTAACCTTAATCACCTTCTAAAATGTTTCCATATATTGTCACATGAGGGGTTACAGCTTCAATATAGGAATGGGCGTGGGGGGTGGCGCAATTAAGTTCACAGCAAAGCGCATACTGACTTTCATAACTGCCATATAATCTCCAAAATGATTCTGTCTGGGAGCCAGACAAATTCCTGGAAGACATATGTATTATCTCACAATGATAATTTTAGCTCTTCATTCTTCTTACCAGAAAATGAAACAAGACAAAGTTTGTTATTTTTAGACAAAATTGACCTTTCTGTTCAAAATGAATTGGCACTCAATGGTCTCTTATGTAAAGCAACAGCTAATAAGAGGAAAAATGAAATGATTAAGGAACACTTAAGAATTAGGACTCAGACCAAAATTATCCACAAGTCGAGACCAAAACTATGAATAATAAATATCAGATAAGAGAGGGTAGAGCTAATGCTAGAGGAAAATGTTGTCTGAGTTAATTAAGAGTACCAAGATAAGGAGTTTTCAATAAAAGAAAAATGTAAATTTTTTATTAGCCGTCTATATTTCCTAAATTTATTAAATACCAGCTTCTTGGCCAGTATGTAAATTTAGCAGTTTCATAAACTGATTCTTACAAGTTAGATATGGCTTTTGATTCAAGATAATATGTCCCATTGAACTTTCACCATTAATTAACAGCGCTATGGAACTTTTAGCTTTGTCATTTTAAAATAAACCTGTGAAGCTTTACACTTTAATTTACAATGTATGTGGCATTTATGTTCTCTCAAATTTTCTTTCTTTCTTTCTTTTTTTAAAGTGCAGTTTTCCTTTTGCTTGCATTCTTTTTTTTGGGGGGGGGCACATTTATTTATTTATTTATTTATTATACTTTAAGTTTTAGGGTACATGTGCACAACGTGCAGGTTTGTTACATGTGTATACATGTGCCATGTTGGTGTGCTGCACCCTTTAACTTGTCATTTAACATTAGGTATATCTCCTAATGCTATCCCTCCCCCCTCCCCCCACTGCACAACAGGCCCTGGTGTGTGATGTTCCCCTTCCTGTGTCCGTGTGTTCTCCTTGTTCAATTCCCACCTATGAGTGAGAACATGCTGTGTCTGGTTTTTTGTCCTTGTGATAGTTTGCTGAGAATGATGGTTTCCAGCTTCATCCATGTCTCTACAAAGGATTTTGCTTGCATTCTCAGCATTCTCAGGGTATTTGAGTGAGTTAGCAAAAATTTTTTTTTCCCCTCTGGCTTTTTTTAATTTTTTTTTTTCCAGATGGAGTCTCGCCCTGTCACCCAGGCTGGAGTGCAATGGCATGATCTTGGCTCACTGCAACCTCCGCCTCCCAGGTTCAAAGGATTTTCCTGCCTCAGCCTCCTGAGTAGCTGGGATTACAGGTGCCCGCCACCATGCCCAGCTAATTTTTATATTTTTAGTAGAGACGGGGTTTCTCCTTGTTGGCTCGCCTGGTCTCTAATTCCTGACCTCATAATCCACCCCACTCAGCCTCCCAAAGGGCTGGGATAACAGGTGTGAGCCACAGCGCCCTGCCTTCTCCCATATTTTCACACCATTCTCAGTTTCTCTATGCGATAAAATAGTGATCAATTCATTGATTTCTAAAATGGTTTACAAAATAGAAATTCTCTCTAAAAGCTGAAGGTAGCATGAGCCACAAAAGCTGACTTCCTCTCCATTTTCTGTTCATGAATCAAATAAGACTCCTAGAGAAAGAATTTCTGAATGGTAACATCTGAAATTATATTGTTGCTCTCTCTCCTATCAGGTTCAGTTCTCCATTTTGAGCTATAATTGTAGATATTCTCATCTAAATTCCATCAGGACCACTAACCCAGTTAGTAAACTTTCAGCTAACTATTTTTCTTTTCTTTTCTTTTCTTTTTTTTTTTTTTTTTTTTTTTTTTTTTGAGACAGAGTCTCGCTCTGTTGCCCAGGCTGGAGTGTAGTGGTGCGATCTCAGCTCACTGCAATGAAGGAGCTTCATTGAGCAACAGAACAGCTCTCAGGAGACCCAAAATATGTCGCTCCTTTCTGCAGGCAAGTCATCCCAAGAATGTCCAGTTCTCATCAGGAAGTAGACCTGTGATGGGTAGCTCCTTTCCACAGGCAGGTCATCTGGATGATTCAAGGAGACCTGAGATGGCTAGCTCCTTCCCGCAGCTGGTAGTCCTGATGTCTGTGTGAGTCTGGCTGAGTCCAGGGTTTTTATGGGCTCAGAAGAGAGGACATGTGTGCTGATTGGTTCAATGGTGGGCAATGAGCAGGCCCAGAAAAATCACCATAGGTTCTCCAGGCCACAGACTCCACTCTGAACTGGCATGGCAACCTGGTTCCCAGGCTTCAGGCCGGCCCTGGTTGGAAGGTGGGGTTTCACCAGGGACTTGCCCCTTTCCACCCAGGAGCCTGTCTGCCTCCCACCATCAACGTGCTGTCCATGGCACCCAGGCTGTTCCTGCGGAGGGATGCCTGCAGGCCCACTCTGAGGTGCTGTCAGCATCCCCTGCCTCCCTCTCATGCACGTGAGCACCTGATGTGGTTTGGCTGTATCCTTACACAAATCTCATCTTGAATTGTAGTTCCCATAATCCGCACTTGTCATGGGAGATACCTGTGGGAAGTAATTGAATCATGGGGATGATGGTTTCATAACGGCTTTCTCCCTTTGCTCGGCTCTCATTCTCTCTCCTGCCACCCTGTGAAGAGGTGTCTTCTTCCATGATTGCAAGTTTCCTGAGGCTCCCACAGCCATGTGGAACTGTGAATCAATTAAACCTTTTTTCTTTATAAATTACTCAGTTATAGGTATTTCTACCTAGGAGCATGAAAATAGACTAATAAAGCACCCAAAATCTGGAGGGGGCTGAAGTGGCAAGAGGTTGGTGTGTTAGCATCGCCTTGGGTGCACACACACCCGGCCAGGTCGTGACAGTGTGCAGTCTCGGCCTCAACTTTGCTCCACACTACAGCAGGCACCAGGAGTGGGCAGAGGCCAGGGATAAGGAGCAAGCACTTCTTAGCTTGAGGGAGCAGTGGCTTCTCGGGCCCCCTAGAGTGGACGGATGCCTAGGTCCACAGCTGTGGCTGAATGGCTGCAGCTGTGCCCAGGAGCACCGGGCTCTCACCCAGCCAACTCGGTAGGGGGCAGGGCTCCCACCTGTTCCTGGCTCCCGCTGGACCTGTGGAGCGGGCAACCCTGGCCACACCTCCCCTGCTGCAGCTGGCTTCTTCACAGGGGCTGCTTTACATGGGCTGTCACTGCCATTATTAATAGACCCTCAATTTTATTATGTTGAATTTTCCAAAGCACTCAAGTCTCTACCAAAACGAGTAAGAAACCACTTACTAATGAGGCAAGTTTCTGTTTATTCCAAGTGGGAAAACAAACATTTTAATAGCCAATTATTTGGCTTTAAAACAGGTAAGTAAAAGTGTGATTGAGTCTGTTTGCTAAGATACTGCTATCCTTGTTTCTTTTTTTTTAAACAATCAACATAGGGCTTGTGGTCATGAGAGTATAAAAATAATATAATTTTTAGAAAAATAATTTATTTTTCTACTAAAACTTTATTAACAACTATACCACACTAAAGTGTAGCTACAGACAAAGTTTAGAATTTTGAAATTCACCCACATTAGAATTTTTGTGACCCCTGGAAAAAAATGAAAACATGTACTTCCTCCCATTTCCTAATTGGAAAGTTATGAGTGGCACTAATTTATGGCTTTGGAAATTAATTACTTCTGGCCTAGTGCAAGGAATAGAAAATACAAACCATAATTTAAATTTTAAAGAAAGATTCAAGAAAATTAAAATAAGACTGAGAAAACTTTTTTTCTCTTACAAATTCCCACACTATTCTTTATAACCAATTTATTACAAATATTCATTCAAAAGTTCATTTTAGTTACTAACTCCAACTGCAGAAATATGCAAATAATATCCAACTTTTAGTAATAACTTGATTATTTTTAGTAATAATTCATTCTTTTTGAAAGAGAATCAGTTCAGAGCTAATAAGTAAAGTACAGTAATTTGCCTATTATTATGTATCATAAGCCTTAAAGTTATTGCTCTAAATGAGTATTTCCTGGGAAAGCTATAACTACTTAATTCAAATATCTTTAAAAACTCCAAAATATACTGTGAAACACAGTATTTAGATACATAAGAAAATCTACAAAGACCGAAATAGTTTTCTGATTACTCCATTTGCTTTGTACTTGAATTTCTAATTACAGTGGTTTTTAATCACAAATGTGTCCTGAGTGAGCTGAAGTTTAGATAAGGCCCTATTTTCTGCAGTAAAATAATCAGTTAAAAACATCCAACCTTTATACTAAATTCCATTTGCTTAGATAGTAATAAAATTATGCACTTTAAATAAAAGTAGGGGGTATTTGATAGGTTGAGCATTTTAGCATAGAGAAAAATCTAGCATGCACAAATAAAGCAGAAAATTGTAAATTAACAAAATCGGGGGCTAACAGTGCTCCCCCTCTTTGCAAAAAGGCCATTTAAGATCACTTAGTCAAGTTAGAGATTTTTCTGTTTCATATTATTGGGTTTTCTAAAGTAATGGAATTGATTATAGAATGCTTAAATTTCTATATTACTGAAGAAACAAATTGAATTACTATAAATATTTAGTCAACAAGAATACATTGTTTACCAGTGCTTTTTTTTTTTTTAAGCATTATCTTTGGCTTTGTAATTGACACATAGTTTTAGTATATGGTGGCTTATATGATCATTAAATTAAAATTTAGTAAGTCTTTAAAAATGCAGACAGATAATTAGAATTACCAATAATACAAAAAATAGAGTAATTTGACCCTATTAAGTTAGAATGTGTAAAGTTGGAAGGATGTCTAGAATTTGTCACAGTGGTCATTGCAATCTCTTCATTTATTTCCATTGGGGTATAAAAACATCGCTTTAACTTCCTATATGAGTTTCAAGTATCTAATGAATACTTCTATGTAATAAAATCCCATATAAGTACACTATATGAAAGACTTACTTTATTTTATTCCACTGGAAACATAATGATTGAGAAATATTTTCAAAAACTTGAAACAACAGCTGATGTATAGTATTATCTATTAATTGTACAAATAAAAATGGAATAGAAAATATTAGCAGTATCAGAAAAATATTTAACATAAATTTTCACCGACAATCTAGTCTAGGTTGCAGATTCTAGACTAGATCTGTAGAGTCTACAGATGTAGCATACATCAGTCTGGAAATTCCAAATTTAATTTCCATTCAAAATGATTTGAAATACTATTTCATAGTAACATGTGATAACACATTTGCCAAAATGCCTCTCAATCTGTTTCAACAGATGTTGAAAAATAGCTACTTCCAATTTTATAACAACTAAAATAAGTGGGGAAAAAACTTAGTGGAAATAATCTTATTACCAGGGGGTGGAAAAAAAAGAAAGAAAAACAGATACTATACAGATTTGGCACTATATTACTCTCAAATATTCACTGAACGTACAAAAGGTGCCGGTGTTGTGATTAATACAAAGCAATAGATATTCTGACAAATCATCACCATCTGGCTGTGAATTATATTTCTGTTGAGCATCTCTGTATTTTGTTACACTTTCAACCAAACTATATGATGATATTTGGGAAACTCCTCTTTCCCATGTTTTAAAATGTTTTTAAATTATGTCTGCTTATCATTGGAGCAGAGGACATTTCTAAGAAGAGCATCAAAGCTTTTGCATGCCAAACAGTATCTTTCAAGAAAGCCTCTTAAATGGCACTGTAATAAATAAAATAATAATAATAACAATAACAATAATAAAATCTTAGAGTACAAAATCAATGTTGAAAAATGCTCATGCATAACCAGCAACATGGTTCTAAAAGTCACATCACTCAGCCTGTACTAATAAGAAAAATCCTTCTGATGAACTATTTAATTGAGTTTAACAAGGCTGTTTATAGCTAATCTTAAATGCACTAATAGGAAATTGAAGGCCGATACTCAATGTTAGTTTTTCTCTCTTTAGATCTTGGTCATAATTACAGTTTGCTCTTTAATTATTCTGCCTCTCATTTTCAATTTATGGTTAAGACCAACAGCATGCCCCAGAGATCAAAAGTGCTGAGGTGGACAGGAACAGAACAGAGGACAGCAATTCCTTTAGCCTCTGGCATATGTGGCCCAAACAGATTCTTTTTTATTTTTTTTTAACTGATTGTTCCAAAATAAATATGAAGATCGTTCTAGGAAATCAGCGTGTAGCTCCTCAAATGCAGGCCAAAGCAATATTTTATAGCATTTTAAATATATTTTATTGTGTGACTAGCATTGAATAAACCCATGGATCTTGGGCTATAACACAGTTTATCTAATGCCAACTCTGCAATTTACTGGCTTCATGCCATTGTAGAAGTTTCTTGAGCTATGTTTCAGTCACCACGAGTTTAGGAATGACAACATAGCACCAGTTACAAGAGTTGTTTTGTTGACTACCTCAATTAATATGTACAAATTATTTTGAACAATGTGTAGTACATTGTAAGCCCTCAAATTTATGTAAAATATTACCATTATTTTTTATCAAAATACTTTTTGTGATCATTGGAAGATCTTGCTAATTCCAAATTGGAGGTATTTTCAGTTGACTTGAACACCTTCCTTCAAATAGGAGTGCATAGAATTATGTAATCAAATATTTTTCAGCATAAAACTGAGAAGTTAATGGATACAACAAAATAACAACATTTTAAGTCATTTTATTCATATAACGCATATTGTGTCCACTCAAAGAATCCATAGGCTGCATTGTGAGCTGCTTTTCCATTATAAACTACAAATATCTTTCTAAACTGCCTCAAACATCAGTTCATTGTAACAAAAGAGGAATGGAAAAATCCCAAAAAAGAATTAAAATGTAATTAGACTGTAGGAGTAGCACATATGCTTGACCCTTTAGTGATATGAATAATGAAATAGGTTTAAGAGATTAACAGGACCAGTATAAACCAGTCAGGATAAAGACAGAATCCATTGAGCAGATGATATTTTAATGTCAATCAGGGCAAACAGAACTATGCAGGATATGACATGAGGACATTTATTGATTCATTTGTCGTTTCATGTGGTCTAAAGGAATAAAATGTTAAAAATTAGTTACTCCATGTGAAATAGTTTATTCCTATAGGACTGTTTGGTGTCCTAAATTGTGTTCCTCATAAGATTTTCAAGCTTTCTCTTGTCTCCTTTAAATGTTCAGGTCAGTTTGATGTGTGAATTATGTATCCTTCTAAACCCTGATTATATAATCTGGTCATTCTGTCTTTCCTGATGTCCTAATGCCCAGATGAAAGTAATCTTTCCCTTATCTAAATTCTTATAGTATTATGTCCATGAATCTCTCAATTCCTTTCACTATCATGCTCTAAAAATTATGTAAAAATGTTTGCAACCAGAATTCCACAGATCCTCACAACCTTTGTTAGGAATGAGGCCATATGAAATCGATGGACTCAGGCTTAATTGGCATGTTTCCCCAATATGAATGTTGTTGGGCCTCAACTTTCTCCCTGAATACCTCCAAAATACTTTTGGAGTCCTCATTCCTGAGTCCTTGAGGTATCAAAGAGGCACAGCTTTCTGTAGTAAACAAGGCATGGTGACTTTTTTCTTTTTATCACAAATTATAGGAAGGGCAGTCATAATATAACAATATATTTCCCTGATGTATTGCAAAATTTAGTAAAACTGTTGCTTCAATTTTTTTTTTCTGATAGTCACCTAACTCTCACAGCCTCATATGATAATACTAATTGCTAATACCTATTAAGAACTTACTATCTTACCATGTGCCAAACACTGTTTTAAATTATTTCCATGAATTGTCTTGTTTACTCCAAATCCAAATTCTTTGAGGCAGGCACTATTATTTTCACTCCCTGACCCTTTTTATAAACGGAGAAAATGAATCTCAGGAAGGGGAAACAGCTTACTTCAGGTCACATTCTTTTCCAGTGGCAATGCCAAGATTGGAACCCAGGTGGTCTGACTCCTGAGCCTGCAGGAAAAGAAAGAGGTGGCTGCATAGGGGGCAGATTAGAGTTCCAGTCATTGCAGTCTACTCAGAATTGCTCTACTAAGCTTGTGTACCGGTTTCATCTTCATGCCTGTTTTCTTTCATTGGGTATCACCCTACATTCTGAGAAACTCCAAATAAAGGTATCACTAATGATAGTCCCTCTTTTGTTCAGAGGTCTCAAATTTATAACTCTTTTGGACTCTAAATCAGGGTGGGCAAAAGGTTTACATAAATGGTCATGGAGTTAATATTTTAGGATTTGCAGGCCACACAGTCTCTGTGACAATTACTAAACTCTAAGGTTGTAGAATGAAAGTAGCCACAGAGAATATGCAAGCAAAGGGCCTGGGCTAGACTGTGATGTGAATGACTGGGAAACAAAACTTAAAAGAGGCACTCATTTTCAGGATCATTTCAATGCAGGCTATTGAAAGTGAATGTCTCCTTAAATTTTTTGCCTTGGGGCTTTATGTGTTTCATCCTAGTCCCTCCCCTGAGTATACAAATGGGTGAGGCTGTGTTCCAATAAAATGTTATTTACAAAAAGAAATGGCTAAGCCCTAAGGTGGCCTTTGGGTTATGGATGGCAGATCTTTGTACTACGTGCACTTGATTTCTCATAGTCTCTGAGTGTCTAATTATTACAAAATATATAATTCATACCTGAGTCATTATAATAGTCCATTCTTACATTGCCATAAGGAACTATCTGAGACTGGGCAATTTATTAAAAAAAAAAAGAGGTTTAATTGACTCACAGTTCCACAGGCTGTCCAGGAAACATTGCTGTGCAGGCCTCAGGAAACTTACAATCATGGTGGGAGGTGAAGGGGAAGCAGACACATCTTCACTGGTGGGGCAGGAGAGAGAGAGCAAACGGACAGATGCTACATACTTTTAAACAACCAGTTCTGATGAAAACTCACTATCACGAGAACAGCAAGGGAGAAGTCTGCCCTGATGATCCAATCACCTCACACCAGGCCCCTCCTCCAACATTGAGGATTCCAATTAGACATGAGATTTGGGTGGGGACACAGATCCAAACCATATCAGTCATCTTTATATCCCTTAAGCTACTTAGAAGGAGAGCATCCTGAGCATGAAAGAAAGTGAATCAGTAAAAATAAAAGAACATATCTGTACAAAGATGTAATTCTTTATAGCCTTTGAAATTTATCAGCTCTTAACAACTCACCAAAATACAAGTGACTCTGAGTTGAAAAATCTCAGATGGAGAAATAAATTTTGAGTGAGAAACAGCTGTGTTGCTTCCTTATGTCTTACAGAGTTGTAGGCTGATTTTTGTCTTGGAGGATATTGAAGGAAAGGAGATAATTCAGTGTTTTGACTTCAGAAGAATATGGAAAGAAGAAGAGGGAATATGGATTTCAAAGAGAAGTGGAATGAAAGAGAACATGGCAACAGCTTGGGGAAAAGTGAATAAATACAAAGTCAGGAATTATAATAAGAATTTCAGCCAGTCATAGTTGGCTTGTTCTCTCCAATATCACTACTGCACACTTGGACAAGTGGTTCAAACTTGAACCTGCATTTGGTCTACCACAGGATTGAGATATTGCCCTATGCATTTGGCAGGATTAGGAGCAGTCTTACCAAGAATTCATAAAACATTTTCTCCCACAAGAGTGAGTTTACAAAATAAAATAAAATGCACTGAGGTATTTGGCACCTAAAAGGTGATCACACCTTTTGTTGGTGCCATCATTGGTAGTTATAGGAGAGTGGCAATGAGGAAATTTCAACAAAGTTTCTCAAAGTGATACCACATGCAAAATGATACCACATGAAGGTGCTCGTAAGTGCTGTAAACTATATGACATGTTAATGTTATCAGATATGTGAAACACACTAAGAGAGTCCCAGAAATAAGTAGGCAGTTAGATCAGCAGGAGATTTACATTTTACATGAGAATTTGAGAGCAAGAATAGGACTTATGAGTTTCATGTTTAATATCAATATAGTTGGTCTACATTTGAATATATATCTACTATAAGTATCAAATGATAAAAAAAGCAAAAGACATCTCCTTCTCTGAAACTTCATTCAACAAAATATGTAAAATGGCAGACAAGTATATTAAACATGATTTTCAATACACTTTATTTCTATTTTCCGCTGAGAAGTGACATCAATGTATACTCAAATGTTTTTCTTTCTTTTAGTGACTTGATTTTTAATCTCATCAGAGAAACATTCAGAAATAAGATAGTTATAAAAAAAAGTTGGTATCCTATACACGGGGTCCTGCATACCCTGTGATACCTCAAGACAAAGGGTAAAACTAGGAAAAGTTGCCAGAAAAAGGTCTTCAAAAGTCTTCATGGTTTGAATAAGCATACAAATGAAATCTTATTTCCTATAGTTAATAAATCAGTTTTAAAAATGATGACATTAGGCCTTGTCCATTTTATATTCTGAACGTACAGCACATTCTGAGGAGAAATAATCAGAAGAAAACATTTATAGTATAACTGGGATGAATCTTATTTTACTAATCAACTTTAAAAATAAAACATATTAATTCTTCCTTTCACTACATCTATTCAATGATGCTCAAAGCCATGATAAACTTGGACGTTGGGGTCACTAGATTCCCTCTATCTTGGATTCTTAAAAGAGAGTATGATAGAGTTTGCCAATGTCACTGGACAATTTTTAATATTTCAATATATTTGAAATTAAATGTGTAAGACATGGAAATAGTCTTATTTATTGTGTGTATGTTTTAATTTTTCCTAATAACTCTAAGTTAGAGTCCAGATTTCTTTAGGTTATTTCATCTAGAACTTTAACTACACCCAGTAGGTAATTTCAACTGAACCAAGTGAGAAATTCACTTAATTCCCAAAGCTAAGACCAATTGATAAATGCTGACTTTGAATAACATCTTCCATTGTACTCTGTCAGTAATAGAAAAAAAAAAGGGAGGGGGGGAATCAAGAAGTTACAAAAATGCAAAAGCAGACACAACTTAAGAGGAAGAAAGGTAAGGTGGATGTTGGTGTCTCCTAAAATTTTGTTTTCATTTTCATTCTACTTTAGGGCTGATTTCTTCTCCCTCAGAAAGCACATTCCTTCTAATTTAAATTACATTTATCCTTGTCTATTATTTCAGCAGTTGATTACGTTTCATGTCACTACTGTACTAAGAAAGGACCAAAAAGTTTTTCATCCCCTGCCCAGCATGCATTATACTTTTTTCTTTTTTATTTAGAATTGTTTGTACATTACAAGGAGACTCAAGTGGCCCTATGCAGCACAAGATGACCATTTCTCTTACTAAATCAAAGAGAACATCTCAGTTGCACAGCTAAGAGATTTTGGAAAGTTTTTTGCAAGTTATATCTCCATGCTTTCTAACAGGCTTAAAATAACTGGTCCTTTTTACAGTTCTCCTTTTTGCCCTTACTTCTCTACTCACTTAACTGTTACAAATGTATACTGCTGGCAAACTCAAATTGAGTCAAATCCCATAGGAACTCAAGTTCAGAAACTTTTTTTATTCTTTTATATCACTTATGTTGTGTGATGAGCATAAGAGAATTGATAAATGTGCCCTTTCGTGGGATGGGAGTTTAGCATAATACAATACACTTTTTTTCTTTAATCACCTTACATATCAGAAATTGCAGCATAAAGTAGGATATGTACCATATTTACCTGAAAAATCTGACCAGTTTTAAAATCTAGTAATACAGTTGAAACACAGCTGTGAGAATTTTACAAGTGCAGAATAAAAACAAATTCTAGATAATTCTGAAAAGATGGTAGTGTAGGAAGCATCAGAAATCTATCTCCCCATTTAGACATCAGTGGCACTGACAGAATCTGACTGATGTAACTATTTTGAAATGTTGGAGTCCATTGAAGGCATTTAAATTTCAGGAGAAATCTTAGAGGTTAAATTACAGTTAATTTCAGTCAATTTTAGCTCTTAGCACAGTAGCAGCTACCCATCCTTTACCCCAGCCATGTAACAGATGGCTAAGCATGCATTCCAGGAACAGCTGGCACATAGTTTGAGGGAGCCAGAATGGGTAAAAATCAACCTGTCCTCCAAATATCAGAGATCTGTGCTCTTATATCTGGTTGCTGCTTGATGATCACAGAGGAGTAGAGAGACAAGTGACCATTGTTGTTACACCTTCTCCCATTGTTGCAAGCCCTGCCTCCCTCTGTTTGAATTGACTTTTAAGGATTTAGAGAGCTGGTGTCCTTACCCTTCCCCCTTTATTTTTCTCTTTTTCTTCTTTGGGTAGACAGACATTAAAGACTAGGACTTTCAAAAGTAACTGCATATATGGGGAAAATTAGGAAGTGGTTGTGCATGCCCAGGGAAAGACACAGGCCCAGAAAAGATTTGGAAAGGCTTAAGTTTACACCTCAGGGTGATTACTGACAATCAACTACCCTACAATAATGAAAAAGACAATAAAGAAAATCAATAACCATAAGCAGTAGCAATAGGAAACAGAAATAATCTAATTTCTAGAGTTACCACATTATTAGATGCAATGCTCATTTTTCAACAGAAAATCACAAGACATACAAAGAAAGAGAAACGTATGGACTATTCAAAGAAAAATAAATAATTACCGTAAACGGTCTCTGAAAACACATCATGGCAAGTCGACTAGACAAAGAGTTTAAAACAAGTATCTTAAGGATACTCAAAGAACTGAAAGAAGATATGGAGGAGAAGTAAAAAGAAAAGAAAAGAAAAGAAATTCTGGAAAGTTCTATTGATAAAAGGTACAATAACTGAAAGAAAAACTTACTAGATGGATTTAAAGACAGATTTCAGCTGACAGAAAAAAAAATCAGAGAACTTAAAGATATGAAAAATAAAATTATTGAGCCTGAGGAACAGAAAGAAAAGAGATTAAAGATTGGAGTGAATAGAACCTAGAGGACCTCTGAGACACCATCATTCAGAACAATGTACACATGTAGGAGTTCTGGAAAAATAGAGAAAAGTAAATCGTAGAGAAAATATTTGAAGAATTAATGGTTGAAGAAAATTCCAAAATTTGATGAGAGACATGAATATAAACATACAAAAAGCTCACTGAACTCCAGGTAAGATGAACCCAAGAGACTCATACTGAGATATATAATCAAACTTCCAACAGACCAAAAGAGGAATTCTGAAAAGCAGTAAGAGAGAAGCCACCAATCACAAAGAAGAGATCCTCAATAAGATTATTGGAAGATTTCTTATCAGAAACATTGAAGACCAGATGTCAGTAGGCCCATATAGTCAAAGTACTAAACAAACAAAGAAACAGTTAACTAAGAATTCCATATGTATAACCAATTATTCTTTAAAACTGATAAATAAATTAAGACATTCTCAGATAGATAAAAGCTAAGAGAGTTTGTTAACACTAGATCTGCCCTGCAAAAAATGCTCAGGTCCTCTTGGGGAAATTAAAGAGTACTAGACAGTAACTCAAAGTTGTATATATAAAAAAGAACATCTCAGTAAAGCTCCAGTTAAAACTGGTAGAGGAAGACTGGTTCCAGTTTATCTGGGCTTTGTCATTCTGAGCTCTCAGTCAAATTATGCACAGAAAGATGGCACACTAGTCCCAAATTAATGAAAGGTAGGCCAAACACTTTATACCCCCATCTTTACATATCTTTCACAGACTACTTCAACCAGATGTGAACTGATAAGAGACAAATGGAGATGGAAATGCTCCGTATCTGTCTTTTGAAGAGTAAAGCAGCGGATCTCTCTGACAGCACAATATTCCATTGTTTCTTAAACTCAGGGACTAAGCTGACAAATCTCTAGAAACTGTGACTTTTCCATCCTTCCAAATTCCCAGAAAGTTCCCCTGGAAAGAATGAGGCCACCTGTAATTAATGTAACATAAGAAATTATGATAGACAGTCCTAATGAAGAGCAGATAGATGAGGCTTGGTTCTCCCTAAGCCAGATGCTGGGACGAGGGTTTGAATGCAGATAGTTTTCATAGGATGTGATTTCATGTAAAAGAGTGGGGAGTAACATAAGAAAAGGAAGGGATAAAATGGAGATTTTCAATTTGGGCAACTGGGACTCACAGTGAACCTCTAGGAGATTGTGTAGAGCATGCCTACAACTTGTCACACCTGAGGGCAAAGAAGCTTGGTATTTATCTACTACTCTTTTCCAGGAGTCACTGAAGACTGTTCCTGGGGGTGTTATCTCCCTGTCATGAATGCCTTCTTGCCAAGCATGCTCCAAGCAAAGAATGCCTTTAAGTGCAGAGACCAGGTATTTGCAGGAGAAGACTGTTAAAAGGTAAGGGAATGGTAAATGCAGAGAGGATAAATTTGACACATCAACTCTGTCTGCCACTACCAGGTGGTTCCATTTCAGCATCATTAGTCACAAGTCTGGAGAAGTGAGGAGAATAGAAAAATACAGAGAGACAGACTCTAAGGAACATGATGGAACCATCTATCCATCTGTAGTCACTTTGGGCAGGAAATTATTTTCTTTGCCATCTCATTATTTTCTTTACTCATCTGTTAAATTAGGATATTAATATTTCCTACCCCATAAGGTATATGTGACGTTAAATGAGTTAATATGTGTGAAGCACTTAGAACACTGTTTGGCTCATGATAACTGCTCAATAAATAGCTCAGCTCTGCCTAGTCTGTAGGATCGAGAATACATCGGAAGTCTCATTCCCACCCATGATACAGAGATTGGACTCTCTCTTAATTATTTTAATGTCTTAATACTGGTTGTACAAGCGTTTAGGAGACTCTTGCCTCACTAAGTTGGATAGAGAAAGCCCTTGGATGGACCTAACCTCCTGGACACTTCCTTTCTTATTACAGTTTCTCCTGCTGAGCAATCTATAGGGCTAGCTTCTGCCTTAGTGTCCTGCCCAGTGTTCACACCCTCACCAAGGCTGGATCCTTGCCCCTTCCTTGCCCGTGGACCTTATTGGCAGTACCCTGAGCTCTACCAACCTCTCCACTGGGGGATAGACATTGAATCCCCAACCCCAAGATATTCTGGAGTTTCGATCCAAGGAGATAGGCCCCACTTGCCTTCTAGTATCATGTACTACTAGATATCTCATCTGTTTGTGTCACCCTACCATAGGCCCTTTACATGAAACCCTGAAAGTACAGAACAACAGATTAACTGGATTTAGTAATAGGATCCACAAAAGCCTCTACTCTTAAGCCCCAAACCAAATACACACAAGCAGGATGGGAGAGTGATGAGCAATGACCTAAGACTTGGCAAAGACAGGGTTAGATGGCATGGCAAGCCCATAAGAAAATTGGCCAATAGTCCAGTCTCTATTCCACGTAACCATACTCTACCAACTCACACAGAGCCAGGAGAAGCAGCCTAGCAAGCTGAGGCTGTCCAGACCTATCTGGAAACCAAAACTGGGCCTTGAAAAGCTGCAGTCAACTATCCTTTGCAGGGGTGAGACCTCGAGGCATCAAAGATCCTGAGGCCCTGGTGACAAACCAGGGTACACCTTCCTGAGCCACTCCAAAGAGGCTGAAAGAGGGAGGCCCAGCATAATCATCTGAGCATCTTCTGCCTTGTCCTGTGATGTCACTGCTAAAGCTCCCATCTAAATGAAGGCCACCAAATTTTGTCTGTATCTGATGCCCCTGGTTCTGCAAGCTCTTTTGTAGCACTGGACTCTGTCTCTAGCCTCTCTTGAGTCACCCCTGACAAGGCTTAGCTTTCTATCTGGTATTCTGGTTTTCATTCCGTGCTTTTCCTTCCATGCAGTTCCCAGCCCTGAGCCTGTCTGGAGTTGAACTTCTCTGGGATTGGTCTTCTCCTTAGGGACTGGTGGCCACTGATAACGGCTCTTCCAGAACAGGGTTTGCAAAAAGGTAGGGAAGCAAGCCTGAGGACCAAGGGGAAATACTACTTTCACCTTAGTGGCCCTTTTTCTACTCAGATTTAGAATAAATGTGTGCTAATAGTAGTCTTTTTTTGAAAATGCATTTGCATGTGCTGGGACCTACTAGTGGACTGAAACTAGCTGCAAAGTTGACTGTTTGGTAAATGTAAAGAGTGATGGATTCTCTTAGGTGCACATGACTAACAAGAGATAGTGTCTATCTTAATCAAAGATCTGTTTGAATGAGGAGTGTACTTTATTTTTTTAACTTTAAAAAATTTCACAGGTAATAAATGTTTATTATAGAAAAAGGAGATAGGTCAAAGCAAAATTAAGACAAAAATCTCTCTTCTTCCCACATCTCTGAAATAATCAGTTATGTAAACATTTTTGTGCAAACTTTCCATATCTAAATGCACATATCTAAATAAATGTCTAGCTGAAAAACAGCCAAACAAAGCAAAAAAAATTCTAGCAATGTCCTCATTAAATATCATTGCTTCAAGGCATCAGTTTTCTTTAACTCAACTCAACTGCCATTTTGTTAGGAAGTGAGCTGACAGATACACAACATGAGCAATGGAACCTCTTGCTTAGCCCTGGGGTGTGTAAGCCAGTTCAGACAAGCATCATGAATCTGAAAGGGACTTTGTAGTCCAGTGAAAAGTAGGAGGTAGAGTGATTGCAGATCTGTAATTGGCTCTGTATCCATCAGGATCTGAGGTCTCAATAGGCTTGTCCTATTCCAGTTTGCTTTACCTTGAAACAAAAAGTAACCTGAGGATTCAGGGACTGAAAATCTTTTGTGGGAATTCAATGTATGAGGGAATGTATATAGGAATACACAGGAGCAGAACTATGAAGAAAATAATCTTACTGCTTTTTCAGAGGTTGGCTTTTATCTGATAATGGAAGTCAATGACTTAGCTTTTTTTGCAATGGAAAATTTAATGCCAGTTTTACCTGGGGATGACTTATTCATTAAGTATGTATTTATTGAGCACCTATTTTCAAAGAGCTAGATATTCAACCATGAACAAAAACAATAATTACTGCTGGTCTGTCAGGACCTTATACCTTTAGGCAAATAAGATAGTAACCAAACAAGCAAAAGAAAAGAAATGTGGTAAGTGCTGTGAGCAATATAATAGATATACTGTGTTGTGAGAGCACCTAACAAAGATTTTCACCTTAATTGAGGAATTCTTGGTAGAGAAAGTGACATTTAAGTTAATACATAAAGGAAAAATGCATTGGGTATGGAGGAAAAGAGAACACTAGGCAGAGGGACCAGCATGGAACAAGAGATAACAATGCACATTCAAGAAAGTGAAAACAGGCTTGTATGGGCATGTGGCGCAAGATGAGGACTGAGAAGTCAGTGAGGAGCACACCTCCAAGTTCCTTTGGGCCATGTTTACATCTCCCTCCTTATAACAAAAGTGACAAAAGACTTGAGTGTTGTAAATATGGATGAGTGTATAACAGGAGGTGCTATAGAGGAGGATTGTGTTTAGAAATTATCATTGTGGCCACATAAATAACGGTTTAATTTTGTGGACGTGGGTGTTAGGAGATTATTACTATAATCCACAGAAAAGATAATTTTTACTTGGACTATAGTAAAGATGGGCAAAATCTAGGCAATCAGATAGTTCTGAAAACTCGTTAAGATATAAAATAGAGAGAACTTGACAGACTACAAATGGCTGGCACATGAAAATACTATTTCTAGGCTTCTGGTTTGTGAAAATGGTTTTACATCAGTACTACTCAATTGAGATGGAAGACTCTGGGATAGGACAATATTGGGATGCTTGGCTGTGGCAAGAGATAAAAGCAACAAGAAGACAAAAGGATACCTAGGAAAAACATGATACTAAGAAATTAATATCATATAGCACTTCCCAAAGTTCACTAACATATATCCCATATGAAATGCTTTATTACAGGTATCTTTTATTAAAACACAAAGTTAAGAAAAGTTACCAAGTCAAGTTTAAAAACTAGAAGGTTTTTAGAATTTCATTTTAATTGACAAATAATAATCATATATATTTATGGGGTAAAATAGGATGTTTTGATATGCAGTTGTGATGTTGAATGATTAAATCAGCCTAATGAAATATATCAGCTGCCATGATTTTTTATGATAAAAACATTTAAAATCTACTACTTTAGCAATTTTGAAATCTGTACTGCTTTATTGCTTATTATAGTCACCATTCCGTGCAGTGGCTCACTAAATCTTATTTTTTCTGTCTGACTGAAACTTTGTATCCTTTGATCAACATCTTTTCTTTCCCCATGACACAGAAAGACAAGTACAGCATTATCTCACTTATTTGTGGAATCTGGATTTTAGTTTCAATAATCTGTAGCTGCCTCCAGATTTCAAAGGTAATCTGCTAAAAATGTGTAAGTAAAATAGGTCACACTGATGTTCTTATATATTAGTATAGAATTATCTGATTCTTAGTTTCACTTATCATATATGTTTACCAAGTGTGGAAACCTGAAAATAATTTTACCATATATTCTGAGAATAAACCAATGTAATACCTTAGAACACTTAAATTCTTAAATACTCTATTTAACATTCCATTTCTTTCTTTTCATTTATCATCTGATAAGATTTGGCTGTGTCCCTACCCAAATCTCATCTTGAACTGTAGCTCCCATAATTCCCATGTGTTTTGGGAAGGACCCAGTGGGAAACAATTGAATCATGGGGGTGGTTTCCTCCATACTGTTCTCATTGTGGTGAATAAATCTCACAAGATCTGATGGCTTTATAAGGGGTTTCCTCTTTCGCTTGGCTTTCGGCCACCATGTAAGACATGCCTTTGCTCCTTCTTCACCTTCCCCCAAGATTGTGAGGCCTCTCCAGCCACATGGAACTTGTGTCAAGTAAGCCTTTTTCCTTTATAAGCTACCCAGTCTTGGCTATGTCTTTACTAGCAGAGTGAGAACAGTCTAATACAGCATTCCAAGTCAAGGCATCATAATCTCTCATTTAGAATGCTGAAGTTGTTTTCTAGCCAGTTCTCTCCCATTCACTCATACCTCTCTCAAACCCTTTCTCTTCTATACCACAAGTTTTATCCTTTGAAAATCCAAATCTCTCACCTAATTAAAATCCTTCAAGGACTCCACCATTCTTAAGATAATGACCAAAATCCATTACTGGACAACTTTTCCTGTGGCCCTGAAATAATTATTTATTGTGTTTTCTTTAACTTAAAAATGCAATTACAAATATATATTTCCAACCTATCTTTAAGTACTTGCAAGTTTTAACCTCTGCCGACATCAGCATTCTTATCTCTTTTCACCTCTTACTCTTACTGCATCAACACATTGAATTTCTCATGTGTTCCTTCTCACATGATCCTTCTTTCTTCAGAATGCTTGGTCATGCTTTATTTTCTGAGTCCTCTGTTCCCTTGTACCTGCCTCTGATGTCTCATACTTGTGGAATTAACAGCATTTGAATAGTAAGTCAATAAAAATGTTTAAAGAAATCAAAACAAAATGCACTTCCTTGACCAGTCATGTCCTCTCCATATATGGTAAAAATCTGTCCCCAGACTAAATCAGATACACCTGACATGAATTCCCATTGTTCTCAGTCTGAAACTTCTATTTAAATAATAAATTACATAAATAATCATATTTAAATTAAAAATTACATAAATCATCATATTTAAATAATAAATTACCCAAATCATCGTATCTAAATAATAAATTACACAAATCACCTTCTAATGAGTTTTTTTCTGGCAAATACAAACTCTTTGAGATCAGAGCTAGATTTGTCTTTTTAAATATTCATCTTGTTTATTATAATATAAACTTTGAGGAAAGAGATTATTAAAACTTTCTTCTTCACTACAGTCTTTTAAAGAGCCTCATACTGTTCTTCGCATGTGGAAGTCTCTCAGTGACTATTTGCTGAGATAAAAAATAAAACTAGATTCTTAGACACTCTATATTTTGGTGTCTAAAATTAGGAAATGTGAGTTTCATTTTGAGTCAGGAAAAGTTGGTGATCTTGTTTTCCACTTAGGAGAAAAGGATGGGATCATTTAAGAGACAGCTTCCAGAGGATGACACATTGTGGTCATACTCTAGCTTCTCTGATGTGACTTGCAAGAGAAAGCTCAATAGAGCCTATGTTGTGTTCCAATAAAATGGTGCTAAGTAGCTCTTCAGGTCAACAGCACTTGAAAAATGCAATAATCATCACATAAGGGAAACCAATGCTCCCAGTAGACATCATTATAATGCATTATTAAATGAATAATACAGAAGGCATAATTAAATGAAGATCTAGAAGGCTCCTCTAAAGGGCAGTACATTGAAGAGCAATAAGAATCAGAGAGTGACAAAGTACTATCTATGTCCACTGCCATCTTCCTAGTCTTAGACAGAGTTTGTATTTAATTCATTTTCAGTTTGCATAAATTGATAGCTTACTTTCTGTAAACTTGTTTGTATGTGTTTGAGTCCATAAAGTAAATTTTCAACTAGTGTTAGGTTCAATTGAGAAAGTAACATATCTTGATGGGGGCTCCAGGCAGGTTATAATACACGAAAATAGGACTTATATCTCTTTAAGATAAATTATTAAATACTTAACAAGGTTTACATTTAGGAACTAGAAAACCTAATTTTAAAACAATTTTAACTGTATTTAACCAACCATTCTGATCAGCTATTTCAACATTATGGTATCTAATACTTCCCATACCGAATTCTAGTTACTTTTTTTTTTTTCTAACTACAACTACATTTTCAAAATCCTCTACAATTCAGACCTGTATTTACCTAAGTAGCCCAGGAGAATAAGTTCAGACATAAGGTAGCCAAATTAAATATTCATGGTTAAAAGAAAAGAGTTTATAAAGTTACATGCACACACACATACACATACACTGTGACAAAGATGAAATCATTCTTTTTTAGTTTCTTTGAATTATATATTTTTTAAAAATACGTACTTCTAAAAGATAGAAAATATTTTATTTGAAATGTAAGAGTTTCCTGCTGCTTTGACAAAAGTTGTATTTTGTAAAAGACATGTGATTATTGAAAGATGTGAATATGTTTTAACTTTCCAGGGATGAACTGAATAGTAAAAAATAAAATAGGTGCAATAAAACAGCACTGTAATTCTTACCTTCGATACAACTAAAACCTTTGGGAGCATTTTTTTAAAAGCATGAATATTTATATTCACTTCAGCCAGTTTTTCCTTCTCTAAGTAATTTAGAAAACATTCATTTTGCGGGCTTCAAATTTACTTCTATATATGCATGACATTAGAATATATATTTCTGCCCTGAAGTATTTTCTGGTCATTATCTCCAAATGCCAGGTAACGATTACCACTTAGATGTCCTTTCTGCCACGTCAAATGCAGCATATCTTAATCATCATTGTCTTCCTACTTTGAGTTTAGTATTCCTGTTGAACACAATAGTTGCTTAAGTCACAATCTTACTTTTTCTAAGTGCTCTCTTTCACTAACTTTACCCCATGCCTAAAATACCTGAAGCCTTATATGTTCTCTATGTTAAACACTCTTTGAAGCAAAGCAAGTTACAAGTAAGTAAACAAGCAAGCAAATTTATTAAGTAAAAATAAAACTCCCCAGGCATGGTGGGTCACACCTGTTATCCCCGCACTTTGGGAGGCCAATGCAGGTGGATCACCTGAAGTCAGGGGTTCGAGACCAGCCTGGTCAACATGGTGAAACCCCGTCTTTACTAAAAACACAAAATTAGCTGGGCTTGGTGGTGCATGTCTGTAATCCCAGCTACTCAGGAGTCTGAGGCAGGAGAATCACTTGAACCCGGGAGGCAGAGGTTTCAGTGAGCCAAGATCATGCCATTGCACTCCAGCCAGGGCAAAATGAGGGAAATTCCATCTCAAAAATAAATAAATAAATAAATAAATAAATAAATAAAATTCATAATTATATTTTAGTTAACAAGAAGATGAACTTTAAAATATATATTCTCCTGATCAATCCTTCATAGTGACCTGGATTCATGTCTTTTATTCTTACCACGCTTGATTCATTCTAACTAAGAGCATCACACCCGAACCACTCAAATACAATTTTCATCTTCTTTTCCAAATACCACTGATATGTTTATCTTAGCACAACACAGAGTGATCAGAAAAACAAACAAAACAAAGCAAACATACAAACAAACAAACAAGACAATAAAGCAACTAAAATAAAAAAGGAAACAGCAGCAACCCTTTATTCACAGTTTTGCTTTTGGTGGTTTCAGTTACCCACAATCAAGTTATAAATTGCGCTCTGTTCTGAGAAGGCTGATGAAACCTCATGCCATCTTGCTCTATCCTCCCTGAGACATGAACCCTCCCTTTCTCCAGCATCTCCATGCTGTGTACACTATCTGTAGGATGGTCACATAGTACCTATCTCGGTTATCAGATCAATTGTTGCGGTATCACAGTGCTAGTGTTCAAGCAACCCTTAGTTTACTTAATATGGCCCCAAAGCACAAGAGTACTGATGCTGGATATTGTTATAATAGTTCTATTTTATTATCAGTTACTGTTGTTAATCTCTTACTGTGCCTAATTTGTACATTAAACTTTATCATAGAAATGTATGTATTGGAAAAAAGCATGGTATATATAGAGCTTAGTACTATCTGGAGTTTTAGGCATCTACTGGGGGTGTCTTGGAGCATAACCTCCAGGAATGAGAAGGGACTACTGTATGCTAAATTCATGCAACAAAACATATGCAATGACCAAGAATATCCAACTTGGTGTCCTACTATCTCATTTTCTGCTGAAGCTTTTCACTGATTCAAACTTTTCTATCTGTCCTTCATGGTATATTTATGTTGTATTTTCAGGTGAATGTATATTATGTATTTATATAAATTGTAACCCCTTTGAGGTCAAAAACTGGGACATAAAAAGGTGTATTTTTTTGGTGTCTTTTTGGTATAACAAACAAGTCTTGTGTAAATGCATTTCATTTAGTATATTATCAAAAGAGATTACTTAATTTTCAAAAATTTAAATTTAATTTTTTTAAAAAATAATATAAACTACATACTTGCATTTGTAATAAGTTAATCATATTAAATGAAGCCTATCACTATTAACAACTAGATACCTGGGACAAATACACAAAACTTATATGAATTAGGTGAGCGTTAGGATTACCGTGACTTCTATAAAGAAACTTTCAGGACTGTCGTGTAGGGAGAGAAAAACAAAGCAAAGAAAAACAATCTTGCTGAATCATGAAGAAAGAAATAAAGATTCAGGGAGGCTGAAGTAGTTCACATTTTCAGGGTAAATTACTAGAGAGAAAAGGATTATACAAGGACAGAGGTTTAGAAATATGGACAGTTACTAACATAATGGTTCGACTCAGGGTTTTTTATCTTTATAATGGTGAAAAAGCAACGTTCATTCAGTAGAAACTGTACTTTGAGTACTCATACAACTACTCTGTCATTTAGTTTCAATATTCAATAAACTGCATGAACTATTTAACATTTTATTACAAAATAGTCTTTGTGTTAGATGATTTTACCCAACTTGTAGGCTAATGTCGATATTCTGGGCACATTTAAGGTAGGATAGGCTAAGCCATGAGGTTCAGCAGGTTAGGGATATTAAACGCATTTTTGATTTACCATATTTTCTATTTATGATGGGTTTATAAGGACAAAACAACATTGTAAGTCGAGGAATGTTTCATGCATGAGTCAATATTTCATATTGGATAGAGGAAACCCTCATCCTGATAAGGGAGTATACTGTTCACTGGATAAGTGATTCCTACTTTGCTAGAGAGACAATGACACAAGCTGGACCACAAAATGAAAGTCTTACATATCCATATAGGCTAATTTTAATGTGACTATATTAATATTTTCATAAAAAATAAAAATTCCAGAACAAAGTCGTATTTGGACCACAAGTATTAGCCAGGACTGTCTATGCAAGACACAAGGTACATGCTCGTCTAGAGGATTGTAAGCCTCAAAGGAATCAACAATGGGAACAGGCTTAAAAAAGAAGAAAGAGGAGGAGAAAGAAGAAGGGAAACAGAGGAAGAGGAGGAAGAGAAAGAGGGTGAGGAGGGGGAAAATTAGTGGAGAAAAGAAAAATAGAAGAGGAGAGAAAAGAAACCTAATATT